>NC_000002.12:14918095-15224851 GCF_000001405.40 Homo sapiens
GTGTCCTCTTTGGAAGGCAGGTCTTAGATTTTCAACCCTGTTATCTATCCTGAAGTCATTTTATCAACAATACAACCGCCACTTGCATCCTAATTTCTTGTGCTTTATTTATTCAGTAAGAGATTATCAAGTACGTACTCTGTGCCAGGCACTGCACTAAGCATTGACATGAGGATGTAAACAAGATTCTTGCCCTGGAGAAGGAAGAAATCCATGCAAAAAAAAAAAAAAAAAACAATGTAATGGTGTTTTCATCTTGGGGCATGATCTCCATCTGACCTGAGTAGAGTTAGTAGAGCACAAAGAAGGAACAATATCATAAAAGGGTTTGGAAAGGAGATGTTTGGTTTGAGCTAAGCCTTTCAAGGATAAAAATATGTTAAGTGAAAAAAGAGAAGTACTGCAGGCAGAGAAGGGATTGTACAGAGGCAAGGAGAATTATAACAGGATCATTTTCATGTCTAGACCATTAACCCAGATGCAAAGAGCCTGATGCCATAGAGAAGGCTGTGGTCCTTAGTCTTGTCCCTGAGGGCCTAAGGGCCCAGATTGACAAGTCTGCACTTGACCCTGAGGGTAGTAGGAAGCCCCTGAAAAGTTTCCTACAAAGGCCACAGCATGACAAGATTGGTGTTTTAAAAAGCTCACCATGGCTGCAGTGGGAAACAGGAATAGAGAAGGCTAAGTTTAAAGCTGCAGACTAGGAGTGAAGTTTTCTCGGTGATCCAGTGGGAAATGCAGGGGAGGTGTGGGGAGGAGAAATGTCAAGAGGCAGAGTTGACATAGTGGTGATTGATGGGAAGTTGTCCTGAACCAGGACAGAAGGAATAGGGATGGCACAGAGATATCAGGAAAATGAATTACTCTCAGATTCTCTGAACCATTTAGATGGGGGAGGGAGGGTACAGAAGACAACTGGGGAGATGGCAGCACCAATTTCCAGGATAATTTGTACATGCCTGGAGCAGATTTGAACAGAAAGATGCTGAGGTTAATTTTGCACCTATGGAATATATTGTTCCTGTGGCTTATTCCAGGTGAGATGAATACATGCATCTCACCTTGGAAATATTCAGGGCTCAGTTCCAGACCACCACAATAAAGTGAATATCTCAACAAAGTCATATAATATTTTTTGTTAGCCAGTACATATAAAAGATATGTTTACACTATAGTCTTTCAAGTGTGCGATAACATTATGTCTAAAAAATGTCCATACCTTAATTTAAAAATAATTTAGTGCTAAAAAATACTAGTGATTATGTGAACCTGCAGTGTGTCATTATCTTTTTGTTGGTGGAGCATCCTGCCTCGAAGTTGATGGCTGCTGATCAATTAGGGTGGTAGTTGCTAAAGGCTGCCATGACTGGGGCAATTTCTGAAAATAAGACAATGATGAAGTTTGCTGCATCCATTGACTCTTGCTTTTACAAAATATGTTTCTGCAGCATGGCATGTTGTTTGATAGCATTTTAGCCACAGTAGAATTTCTTTCAAAATTGAAGTCAGTCCTCTCAAAGCCTACCACTGCTTTATCTACTAAGGATACGTAATAATCTAAATCCTTTCTAGTCATTTCAACAATCTTCATAGCATCCTGACCAGGAGTAGATTCCATTTCAAGAAACAAATTTCTTTCTTCATCCATTTGCAGCAACCCCTCACGTACTCAAGTTTGATCATGAGATTGCAGCAATTCAGTCACATCTTCAGGCTCCACTTCTAATTCTATTTTTCTTGTTATTTCTACCATATCTGCATTCGCTTCCTCATTAAAGTCTTGAACTCCCCAAAGTCATTCATGAGGGTTGGAATCAACTTCTTCTAAATTCCTGTTAATGTTGATATTTTGACCTCCTCCCATGAATCACAAATGTTCTTAATGGCATCTGGAATGCTGAATTCCTTCCAGAACGTTTTCAATTTACTTTGCCAAGGCCCATCAGGGAAATCACTATCTATGGCAGCTATAGCCTTATGAAATATATTTCCCAAATAATAAGACTTGAAAGTCAAAATTATTCCTTGATCCATAGGCTACAGAATGGATATTGTGGCAGCAGGCATGAAAACAACATTAATCTTATGTACATCTCTATCAGAGCTCTTGGGTGTCTAGGTACATTGTCAATGAGCAGTAATATTTTAAAGGGAATCTTTTTTTCTGGGCAGTAGGTCTCAAGAGTTGGCTTAAAAGATTCAGCAAACCATGCAGTAAACAGATGTGCTGTCATCCAGGATTTGTTGCCCCATTTAAAGAGCATAGGCAGAGTAGATTTAGCATAATTCTTAAGGGCTTTAGGATTTTCAGAATGCTAAATGAGCATTGGTATCCACCTAAAGTCACCAGCTATATTATCCTTTAACAGGATAGTCTGTCTGTCCTTTGAAGCTTTGAAACCAGGCATTGACTTCTCTCTGGCTAGGAAAGTCTTAGATAGTATCATTTCCTAATATAGGGTTGTTTTGTCTAGATTAAAAATCTGGTGTTTAGTGTAGCCACCTTCATCAATTATCTTAGCTAGATCTTCTGGATAACTTACTACAGCTTCTACATCAATACTTGCTGCTTCATCTTGCACTTTTATGTTATGGTGCGTAGTTATGTTTGTGAAGTAAACCTCACAAACCAATCTCTGCTATCTTCCAACATCTCTTCTGCAGCTTTCTCACCTCTCTGAGCCTTCATAGAATTAAATTAGGACCTTGATCCAGATTAGGCTTTGGTTTAAGGGAATGATGTGGCTGCTTTGATCTTCTATCCAGACCACTAAAATTTTCTCCATATCAGCAATAAGGCTGTTTCACTTTTTTTTTTTTTAATCATTCATGCATTCACTGGAGTAGCACCTTTAATTTCCCTCAGGAACTTTTCCTTTGTAATCACAGCTTGCCCTAAAATAGGTGCAAGAGGCCTAGCTCAGCTTTTGACATGCCTTTCTCACTAAGCTTAATCATGTCTACCTTTTGATTTAAAGTGAGAGACCTGAGACTCTTCCTTTCACTTGAATGCTTAGAGACCATTGTAGGGTTATTAACTGGCCTAATTTCAGTATTGCTGTGTCTCAGGGAATAGGGAGGCCCAAGGAGAGGGGGAGAGAGATGGGAGAATGGCCAATACATGGAGCAGTCAGAACACACACAACATTTATCGATTAAGTTCTCCATCTTATATGAGTGTGGTTCATGGCACCCCAAAACAATTATAATAGTAACATCAAAGATGACTGATCACAGATCACAATAACAGATATAATCATAATGAAGACGTTTGAAATATTGTCAGAATTACCAAAATGTGACACAGAGACATTAAGTGAGCACATGCTGATGGAAAAAAGTGCCAATCAACTTCCTCAGCACAGGGTTGCCACAAACATCTAAAAGTTTATGGAGTCCTAGAAATTAAACTTAAAAATAAATGTCTGAATTTTGGCTCCTGCAGCAAATGCAAACACCTGGGAGCTTAACTGTTGTGATGTCCTTTCTAATCCACTAGGAGAATCAAGTTGCTCCTGAAGCATGAGGTGCCTGTCAAGTTCAGAGTTAAGAGTCAGGAATGACCTGGGCTTAGGGGACCATCTTCACAGGCATGCATTGTGAATAAGCGAGTGTGTGTGTGATTGTATGTGTGTGTGTGATTCGTGTATAAGCTACAGAAGTCATCCTTCCCAAGCATCATAGTTGGCTGAAATCTAAGAAATGTTCACATACAAAATCCCAAAATGTAATTGCTATTATACATTTTTTTTACAGACTTGTCTTTGCTTTAATGACAAATGTGACTGCTAAAAACATCTTCCCCAGCAAAATCCATCCCCACACCCTTTTCAAACCCATACCTTCTAGCCTACCACTGTTCCTATTCAAATAGCATGTACTGACTATCTACCACATGCCAGGAACCCAAGGAGGCATCTGTGTGTTAAGAAATTGAAAGCTCCTATAATAATGCAGCTGCTACCTTGGAGGTGGAGCATATTAAACTAATAGCACCTCTGAGTATTTCACCAGCTTGAAAAGCCTGACCTCTTGCAGGACCTGAGTGTCTAGAAAACAGAGATGTCAGAAAAGGAAGGTGGAGAGAGTCCAGGCAGGGCTGGAGGAATCATGGTGAGTAAATCACTTTCCTTTACTGGACACTGGCTTTCCCATCTGTAAGATAAGCAGGTAGGGCTGGATTCAAGAGCATTTAAGTTTTAATAATGGTAAAATGGAGAGATTAGGAAAGTCCAGAGTGGAGAGGAAGTCCTGTTGGGTTGAGTACAGGTCTGTTCAGGCTGCCAGAACAAAATATCACAGACTAGTGACTCAAAAACAGACATCTCTTTCCTCATTCTAAAGGCTGGAAGTTCAAAGTAGGGAGGTGGTGAGTTTGGTTCCTCCTGAGACCTCTCTCCTTGGTTAGCAGAAGCCACCTTTCCTTTACATCCTCACATGGCCTTTTCTCTGTGCATGCACATCCCTGGCATCTCTCTCTTCTTATAAGGACACCAATCATATTGGATTAAGGGCCCCACCCTTGTGACTTTCTTTAACCTTAATTACCTCCTTAAAGACCCTATCACCAAATACAGTTACATTGGGGGTTAGGGCTTCTACCTGTGAATTTTAGGGGGATACAATTTAGTCCATAACAGCGAGACAGTAGGCTTTTTAGAAAGACAGTTCGCAAAAATAGCTAGTAACTGAAAGGAAGTGAAAAAATAATCAATTATAGCCAAGTTGGCCGCCATTTTACTTGCTACTCATCCTTGATAAAAAGTATTCATTTGGGCCGGGTGCGGTGGCTCACAACTGTAATCCCAGCACTTTGGGAGGCCGAGGTGGGTGGATCAAGAGGTCAGGAGATCGAGACCATCCTGGCTAACACGGTGAAACCCCGCCTCTACTAAAAATACAAAAAATTAGCCGGGCGCCATGGCAGGTGCCTGTAGTCCCAGCTACTCTGGAGGCTGAGGCAGGAGAATGGCATGAACCCGGGAAGCGGAGCTTGCAGTGAGCCGAGATTGCGCAACTGCACTCTAGTCTGGGTGACAGAGCGAAACTCTGTCTCAAAAAAACAAAAAAAAGTATTCATTCATTTATTCAGTGGTTCTCCGTTCATTCATTCTTTCATTCAGTTATTCATTACTATAAGTCAATGTTGTGCCAAGCTCTTCTTTGGCTGTTGAAAATAGGTACATATAACTAGTCAATTTCTTTTAGAGGCTCATAGTCTCTGGGGAACACAGCAGTGAGCAGATCACTGCAGTTGTGGGTGGTAAATGCTAATAGAGTTTGTGGGAATGCAGTGGAAGCAAAGAGGAGCTAAATGTGGTGGGTGGGCCCCTAGAAGAGGTGGCAAATCCTTCATCCATCACATACTTCCCTAGTGTTTGCTTTGTGACAAATGCCAGGCCAGCCCCCAGCAGTCCCATGGTGAACCAGACAAGGCCCCTGCTCACATGGAGCTTACTCTGCAATGGGAAAGCTCTCATCAGAGCCCTAAAGAAAAGGTAGGGGTGTATCCATTAGACAAGGCCAAAGAAGACATTTCACAACGTAGGACATGGAGAAGGCCAAGACTCACAGTATGAAAGAGATGGGGATTCCTAGAAACTTTCAAGTGGCCTGGCCCCACAAAGCATGCATTCTGAGGAGTGAGAAGTGATTTTTAGGCTGAGGTACCCCCACCCACTGTGGACCACTCATGAAGAGGGCAGGGTGAATGGAAAGCTCTCTAAGTTGGGGATGGGGTGTCCTAATCAGATGGGCATTTTTGGAAAAATCTTCCCTGAAGCTGTATGGAGAGTAGTTTGAAGGAAAAGGACGCTGGAAGCAGGAGAGATGCACAGTAATTCACAGCAGATGGAGGGAGAAAGTTGCTACCCACCCTCGTCAAGTCTACACTTCCCTCCCCTGGCTGGACCTTTTCCTCGCATATGCAATCACTTGGAAGCTCTCTCTAAAGAATCTCACACAGAATACATCTGCCACCACATCTTCCTTCTGATACTCCCAAGATTCTACACATAAACATGGAGGGTAGAACAATTTGGAAACCGAAGAGTAAAGAGATTTTGAATGATACAAACTAAAATCAATCTAAGAACAACGCAAATCAAGTTTTTCCAGGGGTCTTCTCTGGAACTTTCAGAAAATGCTCAATGCAGATTCCTGTCATGGAGATGATGTAAGAGATTTCAACATCCCCAAAAATATATTCAGGAATATGTAATGGACTAGTTGGTGCTCATTTGAAAGTCTGCTTCAGAATAAATCGCTAGGAAGAAGTTGTTTTATATTCCTTCTTCTACTAATGCCTCACAGCTGAATCCACAGAGCCACCACAGGCCTGCCTGCTAAGTCTGCTCTCCAGATATATGCAAAAGGCTTCCCAGCATGCATTAATTTATCAGACATCAACTTGAAACCTGAGCAAATTTAGGGCAAATCCAAAACAGTCCCCCCAATGGAGCTGAGATACTCCCATCAGTGTCCTCTCAGTTTCCTTGTGATTTCATATATAATAATGTCCCGATAATCTGAAAAGACTGATACTTATAGACTTCCTTTCGCCAAGAAAAACAACCTCCTGTGAGCTTCAGTTTTCATTTTCTCAAAGACATATTAACTCCAGTCACGGTGGAGCCTTATAGGAAAAGTTGCTGAAGACCTCACTTCATTTTTCTGTAGCTCTGAGTTGAGGGATTTCTTTCCTTAAAATAATCCCTCCCCCTACACAATTATTTCTGCAGGGAAAGGCCCCTTAACTTCATGCATGATATTTTTAAAATGCAAATACACCCTACAAGAAAGTTAGGTCTCTCAGCGGTTTCCACCTTAATCTGAATTATTTTTAATCTATTATTCTCTGGCACCTGACAGAAATCTGCCTACTCAGAGACTGACAGCTGAGGTTGGAAAGACACATACGTGACTCAAATAAGGTAAGCGAATTTCGATAAAGTTAACTTCTACTTTCCCAAGGCTTCATGAAATTACAGGTGTGTTCCCCAAGGAATTTTCACAAAGGTCAGTTCGCAAACCCAGAGCCTGGTGTGCTGGGCCATGCAGATCAGAAAACACTACTATGGCACTTGCTAAGTTTATTATAATTATGTACTGATAATAATTTCTCCCATTATGTCCTCTCCTTTTCCATATACAGAGGTCTCACCAGTATCATCTCATGCGCAATTTCCCACTGGGATCTCTGGACATTGCCTTAGCTCTTTTTCCCGCCTTAGAGAGGAGTTATTCTAGAAACTTCTCGACAAGAAATATTCATAAACTCTCGAGCTCACTTCACCTTGACATATGCCCTGACTGGACTAGGCTACACACTCCTACTTTGCCAATTATTAATTAAATTATCTAATTTAGCTTTATTTGTTAACCCATAAAATATGCTCATAAAAATGTAAGTGATAATTATTTAGAAGTTTAGAGATGGTCCAAAGCACTCTGTGAAATGCAAAACCATCTGCATTTTGGCTCATGCATCCCACTCTTTACAGAATGGCATTTTTCCCTTTCATGGCAAAATTGCATTCATCATTCAAAGTCACTGCATCAGTGTGACATATTCTGAGTCCCACCCACACGGAATGGTTTATCACTGCCTCCTCGGTGATTCATTCTTGCTACGATTATCACATGGCTAGATGTATATGTTTTTGTCTTTGTAACTATACTGTGAGCCCCCAAAATGCAAGAACTGTGACTTATTATACTTTGTCATACTATAGAAGAATTAAACAGTTAAGATGGACTAAGTGTGGAATTACATTTATTTACCAAAATGTTCAACTCACCTTTTGGATCATTTTTGTTTCTCAGGAATATATTGCTAGTGTTTAAAGCAAAGTCCATGAGGATGTAGGATCCTCTGGTAAGAACTCACAAATCCTTCAGCCTGTTTAATTGCTGCTTCTCCTGATCACACCTCTGGTGGAAAGGATACGCTGCCTTCCTTCCAGTGCAGTGAGTCTGAAACTTCCCTGTGCTTAAGAATCCTCCAGGATTGTTAAATTCAGATTTCTAGAAAAGGTGTGATAGAGCCAAAATTTTGCATTTTGAATAAGTTCCTTATTGGTACAGGAGGTCATGGAACCACACTTAGGGACCCATACTACAATTACGGGAACAGAGATCACACCTACCTCCACTGCAGCTAGAGAGGCCTGTGCCTACCACACCTCCCCTTCTATCACACACTTACTCTCCTCTAGGCTTCCCTAGAGCAGTACTTTGCAAGAGTTTTCAAAGAGCAACAAAGTCAGCAAAAGGGAGCCTTGATTAAAGGGAGGATGACCATGGTTCCAACACAGTCTCCACTAACGATTAGCTGTTAACCTCGGCTGTGTCTTGGAGTACAAAAATTGGGGGCAATATCATTTCAGCTGGTACTTGTGTAGATAAGTGAAAATGCTTATAATAGTTCCTGGTATGAAATAGAGGATCAATAAAAGAGAGGTTTTTTCATCTTTTATAGTCATAAATTATGCGTAACATAAAATTTACCACGTTAGCCATTTTTAAGTGTACAATTCACTTAAAAGTTCACTTTTAAATGTACAGTGGCAATAAGTACATTCACACTGTTTTGCAACCATCACCACTGTCCATCTCCAGGACTTTTTCATCTTCCCCAGTTGAAACCCTGTACCCATGAAACACCAACTCCCCATTCTCTCTCCCCTCAGCCCCTAGCAATCATCATTCTACTTTCTGTCTCTATTAATTTGACTACTCCAAGAACCTCATCTAAGCGTGTGATGGTTAATTGTATGTGTCAACTTGGCTGGGCGACGACGCCCAGATGTTTTGCTGAACATTATTCTGGATGTTCCTTTGAGGGTCTTTTTGGATGAGATTTACATTTATATCAATGGACTTTGAGGAAAGCAGATTGTCCTTCATAATACAGCTGGGCCTCATCCAATCAGTTGAAGGCCTGAATAGATCAAAAGACTGACCTCCCTGAGCGAGAGGGAATTTCCCAGCCAACTGCCTTCCAGCTTCATCTGCAGCACTACCTCTACCTGGTTTCCCAGCAGATGGCCTTTGGACAGCAACCCTTTCCTGAGTCTCCAGCCTATCAGCCTCTCTCATCAGATTTTGGACTCGCCAAGCCTCCACAATGACGTGAGTCAGTTCCTTAAATTTATTTCTCTATAAATACACATCCTATTGGTTCCATTTCTCTGGAGAATCCTGACTAATCCAAAGTACACTCATACAATATTTGTTCTTTATGACCGGCTTGACTCAGCATATTATCTTCAAGGTTCATCTATGCTAAGCATATGTCAACATTTCCTTTCTTTTTAAGACAACGTTTCATGGTATGTATATAACACATTTTCTTTGTCCATCCCCTGATGGACATTTAGGCTATCTTCCATTGTTGGCTATTATGAATAATGCTGCTATGAACATGGGTATATAGATATCTGTTTGAGTCTGTGCTTTCAGTTCTTTTGGGTGTCTACCTAGAAGTAAAATAATTGGATCAAGTAGTAATTCCATGTTTAATTTTTTGAGGAATCACACAACATTTTCCAGTGTCTGCACTGCATTCCCACTAGCAATGTACAGAGATTCCAATTTCACCACATCTTTGCCAACACTTATTTTCTGATTGTTTTTATCGTAGCAAACCTAATAGGTGCAGAAGTGTTATTCCTGTGGTGATGATTTGCATTTCCCCGATGACTGGTGTTAAGCACCTTTTGGGTGCTTATTGTCCACTTCTATATCTTCTTTGGAGAAATGTCTATTCAAGTTCTTTGCTCATTTTTTAATTGGGCCATTTGTTTTTTGTTACTTCTGAGTTGTAAGAGTTACAGAAGGAGCTTTATTATTTACAAGATTATGAGTTTATTCCATAGGGTATTTTGTCTAAGATTTATTCCTTTCTTTATCTTTTCGTATCTACTGCTTTCCACTTTATTTATTTTCCCTTTGTCTTGTTAGTTTTTCAAGATTTGTTAGCTTTGCTACTTGTTAGTTTTGTAAGTGGTTAGCATCTTCCTAATAATATGATGCTATTTCAGAAATATACAAATGAGTGGGTTTTCTCTGAGTAATCTCTTCTATTTTCTTCTGATTTGAAAATCTCCCTAGTGACCTGTCATGAAGAGCTAATGGCACAACCCTCTGCCTTTGATTCCAAATGCAAGCCTAGTGAACACAGCATGACTGGAATCCCAAAGTCATTATTTTTATCTCTAAGCAGATTGCTTCTCGTAGCACACAGGGAGAAAACAGAAAGCTTTTTACAATAGAAGAGAAGAAGAGAAAATATAGGAGTTAAATATATCTTTATTTATTACAAGTTTACATCACACTTGGGAAGAGCTTTAGGTAGAAAACACAAGAAAAAATAATTTTTGTATATGAGATCTAGTCATATAATATAAATACATAGTATATGTGAAGCATTAGCATACCTATCATTTTAATACAAATAATAAGAATGATTTTTATGAGTGATATTTTTGGCACTCAAATATTTATTGATTGATTTTAGCCTGAAAAGAAATTCAGTTTAGTTTAAGAGTTAGCCAGTTGGGTTTTGTTTTTTTTTTTAAGACCATGTATTTCACTATGACGTTAGTTGCTACAGTCCAAATCACAGAATTTTAGGAATCCTATTGGAATTGGAAAGGATCAAGGGGAAACAATACCCTCTGTCAAACTGGACAGTGAATCTCAGTCCTTGTAGGTCACAGGTTAGCCCACAGTCCCCACGCTCTGAACAGAGCACACATTTGTAACCAAGCTCTAGGTGACTCTAGAGGACTTGGAGCACAATAGAGACCTGGATTGAAGTATGCTCTTGTGAGGAGAGCTTTCCAAGGATCAGGCTTGAATTGAGCCATCTTTTCACCTTATTACCCTTTCATCCTCAGTAAGAAATTGGACTAATCTGGATCCCTACCTTAGCATGGACTGGAAAGCACCAAAATTGACTATAGTATTGTTTTCCCAGTAGCCAGGGAGTGGCTACTTCAGAATCAAAGAGAAGAGGAGAAGTCTATTTACCATGCAGATTCGTGGGCCCCATCCCAGACTTACTGAATCAGCAGAACTGAGGATGTTTCTGAAGAGGGTCCACTTTCAGGAGCTCTCTAGGTAAGTCTTACATGCTCTAAAACTTGAGAACCACTGGCCCACATCTATTAACATATGTAAGAATCACACACTAAAGTGTTCCCTGATAGCAGTTTTCTCCATGAGAACAAGGATTTTATGTGAATATGAAATATTAATTTTTTTACAGTATATTATGTTTTGTTTTGTTTTGTTTTTGAGACGGAGTCTCACTCTGTCGCCAGGCTGGAGTGCAGTGGTGCAATCTCGGCTCACTGCAACCTCCACCTCCTGGGTTCAAGCGATTCTCCTGCCTTAGCCTCTTGAGTAGCTGGGACTACAGGCGTGCGCCACCACACCCAGCCAATTTTTGTATTTTTAGTAGATACAGGGTTTCACCATGTTGGTCAGGCTGGTCTCGAGCTCCTGACCTCAGATGATCTGCCTGCCTTGGCCTCCCAAAGTGCTGGGATTACAGGGGTAAGCCACCACTCCCAGTCCAACAGTAAATTTTTTTTTTTGGCCAGAGAATAGCCCATGAGAAGATGGGGTTAAATCTCTGAATATTCCTAGCACATGGGTTGCTAGTGCAGAGAGGGCACTGATTCCAGAGCTCAGTAACACCAGTCATATAGGATGGTATGGTTTGGCTCTGTGTTCCCTCTCAAATTTCATGTTGAATTGTAGTTGCAGGAGGAACCTGGTAGGAGGCAACTGGATCATGGGGGCAGATTTCCCCCTTGCTGTTCTTGTGATAGTGAGTTATCACAAGATCTGGTTGTTTAAAAGTGTGTAGCACTTTCCCCTTTGCTCTCTCTCTCCTGCTCCACCATGGTAAGATGTGCTTTCCCTTTATGTTCTGCCACGATTGTAAGTTTCCTGAGGCCTCCCAGCCATTCTTCCTGTGCAGCCTGTGGAACTGTGAGTCAATTAAACCTCTTTTCTTCATAAATTACCTAGTCTCAGATAGTTCTACATAGCAGTGTGAGAATGGACTAATATATTGGACTTCACCCTTTTCCTCCTATTCCTGTCCTCCACTCTAATACTGGAAAGTACAGAAGCAGCACACAAAGTGAGGAATGAGGATCAGAAGAGTAAAATAGAGAAAAAATGAAAAATGGACCATGCTATACTCAGCCGCACTGTGTTGTGGCATTTTAGAGTTAGCCTGTGCTAGGGGAGTGTGGAAGCATGGAATAGGATGAGCAATGTCTGTTTTGACTTAGATTGAACTGAACTTTTAATACCTCAAAATCATACTGTGCGTGTACCTGAGAATGACTGCAAAAGCTATAGGCTCTGCCAGCAAAGCCATCCAAGGTCAAGGAAATGATATCTGATAGAACAGAATTGAGGGGAAATATGAGATCAAATAAATAGTTTTCTGCTTACACCCTCCTGAGTCTCACCTGTTCAATAAGCCAGTTACAGCCTTGTTGCTACCAGATGCCCATATGTGATTCATGCCCATGGCTTCTGAGTGGACAATAAACCTGAGTATTTTCTATGTTATCGGCATAGGACATCTGGCCAGGCTTTGACATTGGACACTACTTAACAAACAGACTCTAAAGGACAATGGATTTTATGATTGACCAATCTGCAGAAAGATTGCTTTTCTAATCCTAACCCTTGGTAATATTAGTACAAATCAGTTTTTAAAATTGTTATCATAAAACAGAGAAATCAGCACAAAGGGTAGGGAGATGAAGGTATATAATTTTCTGAGTCTTACAAGCTCCGCTACTAACTGAATATCTACCCTTCTCCAACAAGAGTGGGAGGAAGGTCAAATGAGCTCTGGAATAAGACCAGTGGCTGATACATGAAGTTCTTAATTCAGAGAAATGGTGCTTGAAGTTCTGGGGCCCAAAGCCCTGAATGATTGATTGAAAGAATGAATGAATGAACACCTAACAAGAATGTTAAGGAACTGGGATTTCCCAACACCAGATTTTGAGCATTGATAAACCCCAGGAAACAAGGGACAGAAGTGAGGCAGGATACAGAGGCAGAATCCTGGAAGATGCCAGCAGGCTGAGGGAGCCATGGGAATGAACACATGCTAGCTATGACCTTGAATAATTTATTGTCCAAGAAAATTGAGCAGTTTTGCAGGTTTTTTGTTTGTTTGTTTGGGAAACTGCAAGGACATGGTATGTGAGGGGTTTGCTGGGCTTGAAGGACCAGGGTAGACAAACGGCCCCCTTGTTTCTGGTGTATCATTGATTCTAAGATGACAAACCCGTAGGCCTAAAAAGGACAGATATACCGATACTCCTGGGTATCCTACTGCACCACATGTTCATGTAATGCAAATTTGCTTGTATGCAACTGGCAAATGGGAAAGGATATCAAGATAGTTCAGAAGTCACAATTCAGAGCAGTTTTCCCCAGTGTATCCATGTCCTGTGTTACAAATAACAGCAACTGAACACAAAGGACACTGCATAGCTATGTGCAGCATGAGGTGGAAAATCTGAGTACTCGGCACCATGAGCTTATCCACTTTCTTCCAGTGGCTTCAGTTTGGCCACACATTCTGTTGTGTGAGGCCCCAACAGGATTCCACCTGATCCATGTGCATTTTGTTCTCTCTCCAAAAAGCAGCAGCCCTGACCCTTCCTTATACTCCCTTCCATCAAGGTATTGTCACTTTTTGTAAGGATACAATCCGTATTTACTATCATTGTTTTCTTATGTATTAGAATTTAAGTGTGTGTGTTGTTTTACTGGATAGTATTTTTATTAAGGTTTTTAACTTTTTTTCTGGTATAATAGTAACATAGTTGACAGCCCATCATTTTTAGTTCACAGTTTTGTAGAACATGAAGTGTTTTAGGATTATACGTATCACCTTACAGCAGAAATGTCTTTACTTCTCATTGCAGAAGACTGGCAGAGTGAGGTCTGAAGAGTTGTGGTCCCTGACACCACCCCAGGTAGACCACTAGACCTTTTGGGTAAAGCTTCACAGGAGCACAAACCCTCATCCTATTTTTATCCCCTACCCATGAATTCATTGCCAGGAGCTGGCATGAACCAACCTTTGCAATTGAGACTTCAAACTATGCTGCTGTGCTCCTAAGAAGGCTTAAAGAGTTACTGCTAAGGACAAAAAGGGAGCAAGAATGACAGATAGAAGTCCAGAGTCCCCCTACTAATGACCCACTGACAGCACCTACTGTTTTGGGGCTCCAAAGACAAAGGGTTCTCATATGTTCTTTTAACTATTGTTCTGTTTTCTTCTTATTTTATAGATGAGGACACTGAGGCACACAGCCAGCTGATGACTAAGCCAGTTATTCAAAGCCCAGGATTCAAATCCCTTGCTTTTTCCATTGCATCATCTGCTCTCTTTGCCTTTTCTTTCAAAGACCAAACTGAAAAAGAGAGTTGATATGACTTGCCCAGGTTTGCTTAGTATTAAAGGCATCAATATGACAGGGGCATCAACTAGTTCCTGTGAATACTCTTTCCTGAATGGAACCCCTAATCTTCCTGAAAGAAACTGCAGGAACACCTGGTACTTTTAAATTATGCTGAGGCTGTGGCCAGACTGCTGAAAAAGTGGAGGCAGTTACAGCAAAAGCCATTGTTTATTTCTCCACCTCCATTTTTGTTGGTGTCTTTTGAAGCCCTAAAAATGTTAAAGCCTCCTTACAATAGCTGCTGTCAGTATGGTTTCTATAGTTACTTCTGATAATGAAAAAAGGCATGTTTAGTTGAGACTGGTGATACTGTAGACATGGAACTAATATTCTACTAAGTATTGTTAAGGCAGGCAGCTACCTGCAAGCTATTTTTTGACGAAAGAAGGACGTTTCTAAGAATGAGCTTTATTCCTGGCTTATCATATACAATAGTAAAGTGTGAAAGCTGCAGAAGTTTTTGGAGACTTTCTAGTATAATCCTCTCATTTACAGAGGAGGAAACAGAGGCCCAAAAAGGTTAAGTTACTTGCTTGATAAGACATAGTGCTAACAAACAAGTCAGAACTGAATCCATGCCCCTGGCTGGGACTGAGTCCCAGACCAATGTTCTTTTCATTCACCTTTCTTTTCCTAATCAATAGATGCCTTTATTGAAATGGTAAGGAACAAAAACATTTTGTGTGGAAATTTACCCTTTAATATCAACAGTTCTTTCACCAACCATCTATGCTTCTTTTTTCCAAAATCAACCTAAGCAAAGATAAACAGCTGCCTGTAAAAGTGGAGAAAAAGCACACAACCTAAACCTTATAGTTCAATAAAATGATGAATGTTCTGGGGCAACAAGGTAACTAATTATTAACTGTAACATTAAACAAGCAGTTAACAGAGATTAATCTTCCACTCTGTATGCAAAGTGCACAGATAACTCATTAGTTTGCTAATTTCTCTTTTTTTTCTGGCATCCTGAACAAATGACCCTCTTTTTTAAAACATGAGTAATCTTGCCTGTGTGAGAGGGCCCTAGCAAACCTGGGGTGAGCATTGTTCCCTGAAGGATGTCCAAGATGAGCAGATTTGATGGGAATTCAGTGAGAAGGCATGATGATACGTGAGCTGTTTTCTCAAGGCTACCGTGTTTGTAATTATCTCTTTAATTACACAGGGCTGCTTTGCAGTTATTTTCATCCTGATATTAGAAACCTTATAACCAGCCTTTCATCTAGAATTTTACCTCCTAGAAATAGAAGTATTTTATTTTTAAAGGCTCATTGGTGTAATATGCACATGTATTCATGTGGAAGCTAAACCACACTAAGGGGAAGTCAACTTGTAGATTTTTCTCTTTGTTGCATATAAAAACAAAGCCATATTGATTTCTGAGAGGTACAAATATGGAGAGTAGTGTAATGTGCTTTGGTGATAAATAATCAAGTGTCCAGGGAAATTGAAATCCTAAGATCCAGCCAACTTCCTCAGCCTGGGAATTTACAAATGGAAAGGCTAGATCATTTTGTATTTAAATAATGTTTATGTTATCAGGGGTATATGAAATGTAAAGTCCACCCCATTTTCTCAACACCCAGTCCCACTCCCTAAAAGCAATCACTATTAATAGCTAGTTGTGAAATTCTTTATGACTTTTAAATATAATTAAAAACCTATTTTTTCCATTGTCAATTTTAGATAAAACCTTTTGAATTTCTAATCTAAAATATGTATAGTAACAAAGAAATTAGCATATTTATTCAAACTTTTTCTCCTCCCTCCTCTTCCTCCTCTCGTACTACATTAAGTATTACTTATACTTTGCCAAGTTTTGTAACATTTAACTCCTTTTCTATAAGTCTATTGAGTCCGTAGTTTAATTTAAAAGTAGAAAGAACTGAGTAGTATGATTGGACCCATAAAAAAAGCCCTGTGTTGTACAACAGAGAATTTTCCAAGCAACAATGTCAAATGAAACCACTTTCCATTTCCTTGTAACTTTCTTCACTCATTCAGGCCACACAATAGTGCCCTCTTTTTAATACCCTATGTCAACTTCTTTTGTGAATTTCTTTTTTAGTCTGCTAAAGTATCTCCTAAAGTAATTTTTCTCATATAGAATATATGAGAGCTAAATTCTGAAATCATGTTTGTTTAGAAGTGTTGTATTTTGTCTTTAACTTGATGGATGGTTTGTCTGGACATAGAATTCTAGATCCAAAATTATTTTCTCTCAGAACTTTTAAGACAATGCTCTGTATCAAGAGCCCACAAAGCTGCTGACAGAAACAATCTATATGATGGTATAATGCTGTTTCTTTGTAGATCACATGTATTTTTCTCTCAGAGCCAGTAAGATTTTCTTTCTATCCCAGGATTTCTGAAATATATATTTTTCATTAATCCAGGATATATATTTTTCTATTAATCCAGCTCATCCCTCCATGAGCCTTTCTATGTGAAAATTCAACTCTCTCAGCTTAGAGAATGATCTTTTATTTTTTCTCCAATTACTTTATGTCCTGCACCATTTTTGTTTTCCCCTCTAGAATTCCACTAGGATGGAAGTTGAACCCTTAGATCTATATTTCATATTTCTCAATTTGTTTCTCATGTTTTCTTCCTCTGTTTACATGCGGGACCTTATCTCTGTGATCGGTTTTTAGTTCTACCCACATCCCTATTTAGGGCATCCATTGACATTTTTATGTCAGCATCATTTTTTAAAATTTCCTACATCTATTTCTTGTTTGCCATCTGCTCATTTTTATATTGTTTTATATTTGATATAATATGCTGACAAATATAAAGATAACAAGTCATTTTTTAAGGGTCTTATGCCCCTTGAACTTGCTTTGTTGTTCATCTTGGTCATTTTTTTATGCTATCAAATTTGTCTCAAATATCCAGTAATTCTTAGTTTTCCATGTAAACGGTACTTATGAAAGCAGGTTAATATGGACTCATTATGGATCCTGTTATGGTTTTCCTTGACAGTTGTGTAAGTCTGTTATGCCAATAATCCCTCCCCTTTAAACAGTACCATGTTTAAATGCCCATCATAATGCATTAAGTCCCACCAGCCCATTTGCTGGAAATGTGTCTTCTAGCTACTTCAGAATTCTGCAGCAGAAGAGTCTGCATGTGTGCCCTCTGGTCTGTCTGCCTCAGCCTCCTCATCGTGAAAACACTGACGTGTCCTAGCATAATTATACTTTCTAAGACTTTACTTTTCCATTCTTATTTCCCCAAAACTAAAGGCTTCCCCAAAATTAAAGCCTCTACTGCTGGGCTTCTCCCTGGCCCACCCCTAGGTGCCAAACCAGAGTATGGCACCAAGCAGGAGTCTCAGTAGAACACTGGCCAATTCAACCTCGTCAGACTCATCCGAATAAAATAGTTCCAATGAAAGCATGGATGCAGTCTCTCACCTAATCTCCATGCCATCTCCACGCTGGCCCAGAACCATTTCCAGGTTGTTTCTACCAGGACAATCAAAACAATAATGTTTAGGTCAAAATATACTAAATTGCACCAAACCTAAATGGGACAGTGCCACACCATCACCAAAACAAACACTGCAGGAAAAACCATAGCAGAATTATGGGATCTTTTAGGGAAGAGCTTGCAAACCATCCGTACTTTCCCTATAAAGATGAATAAAATTCTGTTGGCACAAACTGGCCCAAAGCTAACCAAAATCTAATTTATTCTTATATTTTTACCCTTTAGTTTTGGGAAAATAAGAATGGAAAATTAAAGTCTTAGAAAGTATAAATATGCTAGGACACATCAGTGAGTTTTTGTTAAGGTACCTTCTGGCCTAAGCCAGGTTTCTGTGCTGCACCTCTAAGGAGACATCTGGGGCAGAACAAAGAAGGATTTGGCTTCCTCACGGTGAAATATCAGTTCATTCAATGCAATGACAGTGTTCTACAGAGGGCATGTGGAGGCAGAAGCTCATCTAATCTCAAAGGCCACTTCTGACCACATTAGGAAGCCAAGATAACTGGCCACAACCTGATAAGGGTGGTGTCTCCATGCTCTTTTTTGTCTCTCATCTTTTGTCAAGGGCATCTGGGGAGATTCGAGGTGGTAGTTGATGGGAGGTAACAGGCTGGAGATACGTGCTGGAAAGACACAGGAAAACAGTAAAAGAGGGCACCAGAGAGAAACCTGCCATGCAGTAGGCTGATCTTTGATGAGGAATGGATTCCAGGGCACTGACAGGACAACACTTTAACCTGTCTCCAAGAAGTGTGGGAAGCCCTGCTGATAAGGAAGGAGGGTTCTGCTGGGGAGGAGACTACCTTTTGGAGAAACCTAGGAATGCAATTCTCAGAGACTTGACCAATGAGCCTTAATACCATGGGCAAAAAATAATAACATTAAGTATTATAAAATGGATGTGTTAAACTCCTAGAAGAAGCTACCAGCTCAAGACAAACTCTAACATTTAGTAGGTTTACCATTAAAAAGAACAGAACAGAAAAAACATAACACAGCAACAGGGCAGGGAAGTAGGAAGAGTGAAGAGGGAGACTTTGCTGGTCAAGCCCCCATCTCTGAGGGTTCACCCATTACATATGGGGGGTGGGGATATTTGATTTGCTATATGACAGGTGGCATAGTAGATTGTTACAAGTACAGACTGTTTCTAGGATTCAAATCCCGGCACTGCCATTTATGAAGCAGGTGTACTGTGCACTGGTTACCAATTTGTCTGAGTCCTGTGAGACAGAACAACCACACGCACAGCAAGTTACATGAAGCAGATTTATTTTTTACAGATAGGCAGCAGAAGACAACAGAAGCCTACAATTCATGAGGAGCTGCTCCCCTAAGGCTCAGGAAAGCTGTCCTGCAGTAGATGAGTTTCACCTGCATGTGTCCTACTTGCACTGCAGCTGAAGAACCCTGGAAAGCAGTCCACCCTGAGTCTTATGCCCTGGAGTAATGGGAATCGCTGGGCTAAAGCATTGGGAAACATCCTATTTTTTCTAGGGGACTTTGATTCTAGGAGAATCAAAGGCAAGTTTGTTTCAGCCAGACCTTTCCTTGTGTCAGGATGTTGCATTCCCAGCACATTCTATTGTTATTCTTGAGAACTGCAAGCAAGAAAGGGGGCTCCGAGGCTTCTTGGAAAATGGTCCTGCACCATTTATCAGAAGTGGGATCTTGGGCAGTTTGCTTTATCTCTGCACCTCATTTGCCTTACAGTGTTGTTATTAATAATTTAATGGGTTGGCAGGGTGCGGTGGCTCACGCCTGTAATCCCAGCACTTTTGGAGGGCAAGGCAGGGAGACCATGAAGTCAGGAGCTCAAGACCAGCCTGACCAATATGGTGAAACCCTGTCTCTACTAAAAATACAAAAATTAGCCGTCATGGTGGTACGCACATGTAATCCTAGCTACTCAGGAGGCTGAGGCAGAAGAATCACTTGAACCTGGGAGGTGGAGGTTGCAGTGAGCCAGGATCGCGCCACTGCACTCCAGCCTGGGTGACAGCGAGACTCCATCTCAAAAAATAAAAAAAATTAAAAAAATAATTTAATGGGTTAATGTAAATGCAGTAGTACTTAACACTGAAAGCATTATATAAATGTTAGCTGGTATTATTATTACAAATAAATATAAAGATTACTAATAAATTTACAACTCTGAATAAACATTTTCAAAGAAAAAATGTATACAGATACATATACATACACACACATTATAAATCACCCCCATATTCATCCTCATTTGATTTTCTTCATAATTGTCTCAAGCAGGGATGATTATGTCCAGGAGAAAACTGTGGTTTAAGAAAATTAAATGATGTCAAAACAGTTTCTCTGCTAATGAGTGTCAGAAATTTGAAACCTGATCAGTCTCATTCTAAAATCTCTGTGTAATAACAGATATAAATAGTATACAGAGAAAGAATGGCAAAACATTCTCTAGAAGACTAACTATGATTTACAAACAAAGTATCAAGAATACCAGATTCTACTGTGCCCTGGCCACTGCCCAATCACACACCTTTAATGACAAGAAGAGAACTATATCACCCACCAGGACAAAGTTTACAAAGCAATTGTACCCATATAACCTTCTTTAACATTTTCATACAACTATAAACACACCGTGTGATGATCTGTATCACGTTAACAAAGAAATTAAGGGTTATTGTGTTTAAGTGTTCTGTTCTATTAACTCTGAGACCCCCTTCTCAGGCAACTATCTGTAGCCACTGAAGTGATATTGAGAATAAGAAACTGTAGTTCAGTAGAAGACTCTTGGCTCCAAGGAAGCAGAGTGTATGCTTCAACCTATAGAAATTTTCTTTGGTCTCACAAACCTTCTAGGTCTCTCTTCACTGTTAATTGCAGGTATCATGACACCTACCCAAACAAGCTCACAAATACCCTAGAACCACCAGTGCCTATTAAGTAGGCACAACTTCACTTCCTCACCACAGATACAGATAGAGACTAGCCCACAATAAACTGAAGGTAGAAGCCAAGGGGTCCTGGGAGGGTTAGGTGTACCAGCTGAGTGCCTGCAGGGCAGAGCTCTGCCATGCTGCCCTGGCTTGGCCATAACATAGAGGTTCTGATCAAAGCTGTTAGACCATGACAGTTGAGTTTCTGTTCTATTACATGTAGCTTCTGTTCCTTTTGTCCAACTTCTTGTCCATTCAGTTACTACAGCTCTGCTTCTACTGCCTGTTTTATCACTTGTCTTTTCCTATCTCTATTTCAGGAAGACAAGAAAAGCCATTCTTTAGATGATTTCAATAATTTAATTGTTGCCTACTTGCAAAACTTTTCTTCAGCATTCCAAGAGCACAGCTAAAAAAGGCAGAGAAAGGATTTGAATAAAGACCTTCTGACTCCAGGTTCCTTGTTTGAAAGGGTTGTAATAAAGGGAGTCAGACCTTCTGACTTCTCTGCATTCTGCCTCTTCTGATTCTGCCTCCTCTGGGAGTTATAATAAAGGGAGTCAGCCCTTCTGACTTCTCTGCATTCTGCCTCTTGGCCTCCACTTCCCAATCTGCAAAATTCCAAGTGAGACTAAACTAAGTAATCTGAACCCAGAGTCCATGGACTGCTGAAGGATTCCTCAATGGGCTTTATGGAAAATGCACTCTGTGAACTTTCTTGCAGACATTCCATTGTTTGAGGATATATGTGCATTTTCCTGGAAACAACTTCTATGAAACTTTAAAATCATCCAAAAATGTCCAAATGTTAAGAATGACTTTTAGAGATTATGTCAAAGGTTGCAAGCAGCCCTAAAATTCTGTAAATCAATGCAAAATGCTAACACCATCTAGTTTAAAGTTAGCTTTATCACGGGTCATAGGAATTGAAAGGAAACTTGCTGACATCTGGCTCATTCATTTAAAATTAGAAAACTCTTTGGCCCAGATGAAATCTTACACACCCCTAATACACACTGGAGCATGGGAGTAAAGCCTGCCTTTCAGCCACTAGTTTACCCCCTACAGTAGCCACACAGCACCCCAGGAGCACACAGGGAACTCAGTTTGGAATCTCTGATCTAGCTTCATCTTCCTAAACAAACGAGTTTCTTCTACCACATCTCCTCTAGCTGCTGCTCAAGCCTCCAATAGAAAGAAACTCCTTGCCTTAGAGACCTGACTGCTGGAAAGTTCTCATTTACACTGAGGTACTGTCCTCATGATAGTGAGTTCTCATGAGATCTGTTTAAAACATATGTAGCACCTCCCCTCTCTTTTCCTCCTGCTCCAGTCATGTGACATGTCTGTTCCCCCTTCCCCTTCCGCCATGATTATAAGTTTCCTGAGGCTTCCTCAGATCAACATCGTACTTCCTGTACAGCCTATGAAACTGTGAGCCAATTCAACTTCTTTTCATTATATATACGCTGAAAGGCAATCTGTTTTTCTGATGCCTCCAGCAATTGTCCCTGGTTCTGTCTTCTAAAGAGAGCCACACAGCAGAATCGTAAACTCTCCTCTGCCTGACAACTCACCAGGCTTGGTGTGGCTCTCACTTCTACCTAAATCTCTTCTTCTCCATCTCCAACAACACAATGCCTCCCACTACCTCCCAGAAATGGGGACCCTTTTAGTCTCTTCCCTGAGAACTTGCTCTGCTTTGCCAGGGCTGCTCCCGATGTATGGTGCCCAGAATTCAACACAATACTCTGGGAAAGCTGGAAGAATCCAGGAAAGACCAGAATCTTCACCTCTTTCATACACATATCTCCATTCTACAACTCACCACATTGCAATAAATACCTGCCTGTAGGCTGCCTCCCTCACTGTATTGCAAGCTCCTCAAGAGATGGTAAATCCTCTTTTTATCTTACTGTCTAGGGCCCCTAGCCCAGTCCTTCTAAATATAAAAGCCTACTACGTGCCAGACATATCTAAAACCACTTGATAACTCATTTGTGAACAAAACTGACAAAATATTTGCTGTCCTGTAATTTACATTCTAAAAGGATGAGGGCAGGATAGGGAGGGGAGTATTTGTTATGTAGTAAGTGTCTGACAAAACTTCCATTCATGAATGAGGCCAATGGTCAAGTGAAAAGTAAGGGAAGGCTCATAACCACCCACTTAGTAGGTGACTACACTCTTTCCATAACAGTCCAGGCATCTGTGGAAATTCCAGATGATCTATGTTTATATGACTATCTCTGTAGGCTTTTGGAGAAAGACAAGCCTCTTTTCCACCCAGAGCAATGCTGGGAGGGTGTATGTGTAGCTCATTTGGACAGAGCCTCTACATGTGGGCCTCTGAAAGCTTCAAAAAGCATTTGCTCCTACTCCAAGAAAGAACAGGGAGCTCTTTTCAGAAATTGCTGACCTCATCTAAGTGGAAAGGAATCCTGGAAGCTTCAAACGCATCCGTTCTGGCCTCCAGCCCTGGACTTTCTTGCAGATGCACTTTTCAGGAAGGAGGAAGGCAGAGCAGATGGATGGTCTGCTGACGGGCTCAAAATACTTCCCGGAGCACTGAAAACAGGGTGACTGCTGTTCAGGCTGCTGCTGTGTGTCACCCGCTCCCACAGAGGACTACACTCAATTAGGAGATTGTTAAACCCAATTGTCATAGCGACAAATTATCTGATTGTTGAGATTTTCTGCTGATTTTGTCTTAGGAATTGGTCTCCTATTTTCAGCCACAGATTGTTATCAGACTGCGGATTTAGCATCTTCATTTCCTTCCACATCCTTGATTATTCTGGTCTCTGCTTTCTTGACTGACTTCAATATGCAAACATAATACCCACAGAGAAAGAGGGGGAGGCTCTCTACTGGTTGGAGGATGAGTTACAATGTTCATTGCTTCTTTTCTCCAATGGGTAGGTTTGCTTTTTCTCAGACTAGTTGGGAACATATCCAGCAGCTTCTCAGGTATTCCCAACTGCAAACCGTTGAGTACCAAATTGAGACACGATGGTTCTAGAAATTCTCTTCCAAACCCCTTATTTTACAATATAGAAACTGAGGTCTAGAAAGAAGGGTGATTTTCCAAAAGTTTATCAGAGAGTTGAAGCTAAAGCCAAAATAACTATTCTACCTCGTTCAGGATAATTTTGTATTGGTATTCAAGAGCTGCCAGTTATCTAGAAGGCACCCTGATATGGTTTGGGTCTGTGTCCCCACCAAATCTCGTGTCAAATAGTAATTCCCAATGTTAGAGGTAGGGCCTGGTGGAAAGTGATTGGATCATGGGAGTGGATTTCTCATGAGTAGTTTAGTGCCACCCCTCTTGGTACTGTCCTCATGATAGTGAGTTCTCATGAGATCTGTTTAAAAATTATGTAGCACCTCACCCCTCACTCTTTTCTTCCTGCTCCAGCCATGTGACATGTCTTTTCCCCCTTCCCCTTCCACTGTGATTGTAAGTTTCCTGAGGCTTCCTCAGAAGCTAAGCAGATGTCAACATCATACTTCCTGTACAGCCTGTGGAACCATGAGCCAATTCAACTTCTTTTCATTATAAATTACCCAATTGCAGGTATTCCTTTATAGAAATGAGAGAATGGACTAATACAGACTCTAACTCCCACTCCCTGTGGGGAAAGGTGGAGTGTCACAGCTAAAGCCTAAACCCCCTATTGACACAAGGAGAAGCCAAGGACCACAGAAAGGAAGATATTACACAGTCTAGTCAGGCCTGGCCCAAGCACATAGTAGAGGCTCAACTCATCACAGCTGAGTCTCAATCTGTAGAGAAAAATGACTTTCACCTATGCTTAAAGTATTGTTAGAAGTGTAGTCCTTTTCTTTGGACTCCAAGCCCCATAATAAAAGGCAAGACCTGGTTTCTACTATTGCAAAAGGAGAGCCAGGGACCTCTCTGCAGATCTGCCTTCTTCTCTGAATATACCTCCCTCAGCAAAGGGAACGCAAAGGTGGGTCTCCTTATGGTTTTATTATGGCTAATGAACAGCATGTTCTCTCTTTCCTCATTCTCAGCATGAGGCTATTAGCATATTCCCCAGGCTTTTGCCCTCCAAATTTGGAAGCACATGCATAAATTATCAAATGAGCCGTTCTAATGCAAAGCTTCTAGTCATGTTCCTAATCAGGGACTCTCAATGACTCACCAAAACCTTCAGAATGAAAGGCCACCGGATACACTTGTAGCAAGCTTTACTACATCTGCATCAAAGAACCACTTTATCCCCTTAATTCCATGCATGAGCAGAACTAAAAGAGCCACTAATAATTTTATCTTACCAATTTCATGTATATTTTCATGTTACAGCCTAACTTTAACCCAGAGGCTGGAAACATTCTTCTTTACTGACAAATAAAAAAGCGTATCTGCTGTAAAATTGCCTTCTGACTGTAATTCCTAAAAGCTACCTAATTGCATTGCAGTGTCAACCTAGAAAATTCATACAATCACAGAATATAATATTTGGAAGAAAACATTCAGGGTAATTTACATTATTAATGCATCACCTTCCAGTAATTAGCACAGTTCTTTGTACATAAATATTCAAGACCACTTTATTATTAATTAATAACCCTTACCCTTGTTTTACATCTGTGAAAACTGAGTCTCAGATATAAGTAGTGATTTGCCTGAGCTCACAAATGTTGGAGTCAGAATTGAAACCTAGGTGTTCAGATTCTTAGGAACTTTGTTTCTTTTATTATGTCTCTGATAGAATCGCTTCTATTTTTATTAATTTTTTAAACTTCATGACTATAACCTCAAAGTAAATTATTTTCCAATAGGATTTGAGAAAGCCCCATGATTCCTTTTTTGCAAGCACAGCAAACAAGGAGTAGGCACCATCTCACCAAGTCCCAAAGAAGGAACCACATTGGTCCACAAAGTTCCCCCTGCTTCTCCAGGAAGCTATGAGGATGATTGCTCCATTCGTTCAACCAAATAAAAAAAACTACTAATCCCTGCCAGGTGCGGTGGCTCACGCCTGTAATCCCAGCACTTTGGGAGGCCGAGGCGGGCGGATCACGAGGTCAGGAGATCGAGACCATCCTGGCTAACGCAGTGAAACCCCGTCTCTACTAAAAAATACAAAAAATTAGCCGGGCATGGTGGCGGGCGCCTGTAGTCCCAGCTACGCGGGAGGCTGAGGCAGGAGAATGGCGTGAACCCGGGAGGCGGAGCTTGCAGTGAGCCGAGATCGATCGCACCACTGCCCTCCAGCCTGGGCGACAGAGTGAGACTCCGTCTCAAAACAAAAAACAAAAAAACAAAAAAACAAAAAACTGCTAATCCCTGCTATGAATCCTGCACAGTGTAAAGTGCTTCACTTCAAGTATCTCATTTATTTTTCACCCCAACCCTACAAGGTCGGTACTCTTCTCCAACACGTCCTTGACACAACTGGTAAGAAGCATACACAGGATCACACAGCCCATCATTGATACAGCTGTGACTTGAACCTTGGTGACTTTCAGTGATATGAGTTCACTTTCCATGAAGGTATTAAAAGAACAGTGAGATTTCTGGTTCCAAAATGGTGGCATACAAGCAAGCTGACATCACTAGCCCTTACAGAAAATCAAAAAATGAACATATGGCACAAGATTATCACCAGCAATCTTTCAAAACTCAAATATGAAGACGAGACAGTCCTCAGGGACACAGAAAGTGAAAAGTGAAAGAAAAAAAAAAAACTCTGAACAGATGGTAAGAGAATCAGGCTTCCACATTCACAATGTCCCTCCCCCCATTCTGCCCAGCACCAAGTGAGCAGAAAATTTTTACCCAATTCACAGTTTCTATACCGGAAATGGTGATTGCCCACCTGAATCTCACTTTCCCCACTATCTTGGGTGTCCTGGCAGGACACTTGCCTCTGCCGTAATGCAGGAGAAGCATCATGAGTGCCTGAAGGGAAAAATGTCCCTGTGACAGGCAAAGACAAAGTGAAGAGGGAGGGCGACCATCCCCATCCCTGGAAACTCTACTGTGTAACTCAGCCAAAGGAGATGCCAAATCAGAGTGGCTGTTCAGCAGCACCAAGCTGCCGGAGGTTTATTCACAGGATCCCTGGGCAGGAACCCCTAGCCAAGTTTCCAGCAGTGCAAGAATATCCCCTTTGGGACTTCCCCCATTCAGGAAGGGCAGCACTCCAATCCTTTACTGAAGCTGAGCCGAACCCGGACTTATGGTGCCACCTAGAGCCAAACAGGAGGCAGCAACCTAGCAGTAAAGAACCACTAAGCAAATATATCCAGGAAAAAACAAAACAAGCCATGTAGAGAGGGCTGGAATAAATAACTAATACTTCAGTGCACAGACACAGACCTACATCACAGAACACAACAGCAAACAAAGAATCATGATCTCCCAAAGAAACAAAGCAAGGAAACAGTGACTCATACTAACAAGATGGCAATATATGAGCTCTCTGATCAAGAATTCAAAACTTTAGTTTTAAAGAAAATCAGTGATTTCCAAGACAACACAAAGCCAACTCAGGAATTTATCATAAAAATTTAATGAGATTAAAATAATTTTTAAAAATCAAACAAAAATATAGGAACTGAGAAATGTACATGTTGAACTAAAAAATTAATTAGAGGCTCTTGACTACAGAATGGATCAAGCAAAAAAAAAGAATCAGTTAGCTTGAAGACAGGCTACTTCAAAATATACAGTCAGAGGAGAAAAAAGAAAAGGAATGAAAAGAAATAAAAATCACCAACAAGATATAGAGAATAGGCCAGACATAGTGGCTCACACCTGTAATATTAGCACTTTGGGAGGCCAAGGTGGGCAGATCACTTGAGGCCAGGAGTTCAAGACCAGCCTGGCCAACACAGTGAAACCCTGTCTCTACTAAAAATACAAAATTTAGCCAGACGTGGTGGCACGTGCCTGTAATCCCAGCTATTGGGGAGGCTGAGGCATTTGAACCTAGGAGGCAGAGGTTGCAGTGAGCCGAGACTATGCCACTGCACTCCAGCCTGGGTGACAGAGCAAGACTCAGTCTCAAAATATATATATTACTTCAAAAGACCAAATCTAAGAATTACTGGTGTTGAAGAGAGGGTATCAAGCAAGAGCAAAGAGTAAAAAGTTTATCAAGGGGATAATAACAGAAAACTTTCAAAACCTTGAGAAAGAGATAAATATCCAGGGACAGGAAGATCTGAGAATACCAAACAGTTTCAACCCAAACAAGACTACTGTAAGGCATATAAAAATCAAATTTTCAAAGACCAAGTACAAAGAGATGATCCTAAAAGCGGCAAGGGAAAAGAGGCAAAAACATATAAAAGACCTCCAATTTAGACTTCTCAAAGGAAACCATACAGGCCAGGAGTGGGATGGCTACAAATCAAAGACTGTAAAAAGAGAAAAAGAAGGTCACTATATAATGATAAAAGGGTCAATTCAGAAAGAAGATATGACAATTATGAATATCTATATACCCAACACCAGAATTCCCAAGTATATAAAGCAAATACTAATAAAATCTAAAGGGAAAAGTATACTGCAAAACAGTAAGAGCAAAGGACTTCAACACCCCACTCTCAGTAATGGACACATCATCCAGACAGAAACAAAGAAGCATGAGAGTTAAACTATACTAGACCTAATAGACCTAACTGGCATTTACAGAACATTTACCCAACTATTGTAGAATAAACCTTTTCATCAGTGCATGAAATGTCCTCTAGAACAGGTGATATCTTAGTCCACAAAACAAGTCGGAACAAATTCAATAAAGTAAAAATCATATCAAGTATTTTTTCTGACTAAAGTGGAAAAAAATCAATAACAAGAGAAACCTCAGAAACTTCACATACACATGGAAGTTAAATATGTTCCAGACCTACCAATGAGTCAATTACAAATTAGAAGAAAATTTTAAAGTTTCTTGAAACAAATAAAAATGAAAATATAACATACCAAATCTATGAAATACAACAAAAGAAGTTCTAATAGGAAGTTTATAGCAATAAATGCCTATATCAGAAAAGTAGAAAGATTTCAAATCAACAGCCTAACAGTACACCTCAAGGTACCAGAAAAGCAAAAACAAAACAAACCCAAAATTAGTAGACGGAAACAAATACAAAGATCGGAGCAGAAATTAATGAAATTGAGACTAAAAAACAATACAGTAGATCAACAAAACAAAAAGTTGATTTTCTTAAAAAGATAAACAAAATTGACAAAGCTTAAACTACACTAGCCAAGAAAAAAGAGAGAAGACCCAAATACATAAAATTAAAAATGAAAAAGGAAAAATAACATTTGAGAACAAAGAAATACAAGGAATCATCAGAGGCTATCAGGAGTAACCATATGCCAAAAAATGGAAAATCTAAAAGAAACAAATAAATTACTGGAAATATACAACCTACCAAGATTGAACCATGAAGAAATTTTTTAAAAACAGACATTAAACCAATAACAAGTAAAGAGATCAGTTGTAACAGGTTTTTTGGTAGAGTCTTTAGGTTTTTCTAAGTATAAGAGCATGTCACCTGTAAACATGGCTGGTTTGAATTCTTCCTTTTTAATTTGGATGCCCTTTATTTCTCTTGCCTAATTGCTCTGGCTAGGGCTTCCAGTACTATGTTGAACACAAGTTGTAGAAGTTGACATCCTTCTCTTATTCCCATTTTTAGAGAAATAAACTTCAATATTTCCCTGTTCAGGGTTTGTCAGATATGGCCTTTACTATTTTGAGGTATGTTCTTTTATAACCAGTTTCATGAGGTTTTTTTTTAATCATAAAGGGATGTTTAATTTTATTAAATGCTTTTTTCATGTCTATTGAGAAGATCATATGGTTTTTGTTCTTGGTTCTGTTAATGTGATGTATCATTATTATTGATTTGCATATGTTGAACCATTCTTGCATCCCTGGGATGAGTCCAGTTTGATCATGGTGAGTGATCTTTTCAATGTATTGTTGAATTTGGTTTGCTAGTCAAATTTGGTTTGATGGAATATATGGTTTGATGGACAAAGTAAGACCTAGTGTTTGATAGATCAATAGGATAACTATAGTCTACATTTTTGCATCTATGATCATCAGATGATGAGTATCAGGTGTGATATTGACCTGTGGTTTTCTTTTTTGTTATGTTCTTGTCTGGTTTTAATATCACTAATGCTGGTATCTCACCACATGTTTGGAAGTATTACCTTCTTTTCCATCTTTTTGTGGAGTTTGAGTAGAATTTATTTTAGTTATTCCTTAAATGTTTGGTAGAAGTTAGCAGTGAACCTATCAGGTCCTGGGCATATTTTTAATAAAAGACATTTTGTTATGGCTTGATCTCTTTACTGATAAATCCAGTAAAGTTGCAAGATACAAAATCAACATACAAAAATCAGTAGCATTTATTTATGCCAACAGTGTAAAATGTGAAAAATTAATCAAGAAACCAATCCCATTTACAATAGCTACAAATAATATAAAATACCTAGGAATCAATTTAACCAAAGAAGTAAAAGATCTATACAAGGAAAACCATGAAGCAATGATGAAGAGGATATTAAAAAAATTGAAAAGATATTCTATGCTTATGGACTGAAAGAACTAATATTGTTAGGATGACAATACTACCTAAAACAATTTATAGATTCAATGCAATCCTCGTCAAAATACCAATGACATTATTCACAGAAATAGAAAAAAAAATCTTAAAATGTATACAGAACCACAAGACTCGGAATAGCCCAGCAATCCTTGGCAAAAAGAACAAAGGTGGAGGCATCACATCTTTACTGCAAAGTGGCTTCAAAATTTACTACAAAGCTAGTAACCAAATTACCATAGCACTGGCATAAAAACAGATACATAGATCAATGGAACAGAATAAAGCACCCAAATATAAATCCACACACTTACAGATTTATCTTCAACAAAAGCACCAGAAACATACAATGGTAAAAGAACAGGCTTTTCAACAAATGATACCAAGAAAACTGAATAACCATTTCAGAAGAATGAAACTAGACCCCTATAACTTGCCACACACAAAAATCAAATCAAATTGGATTACAGACTTAAACTAAGACTTGAAACTACGAAACTTCTAGAAACAACAATAGGGAAAACACTCCAGGACACTGGTTTTGGCAAATAATTTTTGTGTAAGATCTCAAAAGCACAGGTAACCAGAGCAAAAGTAGACAAATTTGATTTAATCAAGCTAAAAAGCTTCTGCACAGCAAAGCAAACAATCAAAGTGAAAAGACAATTCACATAATGGGAGAAAAATTTGCAGACTGCCCACGTGATAAGTGATTGATAACCAGAATATATAACAAGCTCAAAAAACTCAATAGCAAAAAACAAATAACATAATTTTAAAATGGGCAAAAGATCTCAATAGATATTTCTCAAAAGAAGACATACATATGGCCAACAGGTATGTGAAGCAATGCTCAACATCACCAATCATCAGAGAAATGAAAATCAAAACTACAGTATATTGAATAGATATCTGCCCTACCATGTTTATTGCAGCACTATTCAAAATAGTCAAAATATGGAATCAACCTAAGTGTCCATGAATGAATGAACGGATAAAGAAAATGTGATATATATGCATACATATATGTGTGTATAGATATAGATATAGATATATAATGGAATGTTATTCATACATAAAATAGGGTGAAATCCTGTCATTTGCAGCCACATGGATGGAACTGGAGGTCATTTTGTTAAGAGAAATAAGCCAAGTACAGAAAGGCAAATACCACATGTTCTCACTCATATGTAAAGCTTAAAAAGTGGACCTCATGAAGATAGAAAGTAGATTGGTGGCTACCAGAGTCTTGGAAGGGTAGGCAGGAGGTGAAAAGGAAGAGAAGTTGATTAATTGGTAAGAACATATGGTTTGATGGAAGAAGTAAGACCTAGTGTTTGATAGATCAATGGAGTAACTATAGTCTACAGTAATCTATTGTACATACTTTTGCATTAGTTATTGGGGTACAGGTGGTATCTAGTTACATGAGTAAGTTCTTTAGTGGTGATTTGTGAGATCCTGGTGCACCTATCACCCAAGCAGTATACACTGCACCATATATGTTGTCTTTTATCTCTCACCTCCCTTCCACTCTTCCCCCTGAGTCCCCAAAGTCCATTGTATTATTTTTATGCCTTTGCATCCTCATAGCTTAGCTCCCACATATCAGTGAGAACACACAATGTTTGGTTTTTCCATTCCTGAGTTACTTCACTTAGAATAATAGTCTCCAATCTCATCCAGGTCATTGCAAGTGCTGTTAATTCATTCCTTTTTGTGGCTGAGTAGTATTCCATCATATTGTACATTTCAAAATAGCTAGTAGATTATAATTTGAATGTTTCTAACATAAAAAACACAAATATTTAAGGTGATGGATATCTCAAGTATACTAATTTATCCTCACAAATTTTATGAATGTATTATCACATGTACCCCAAAACTATGTACACCTATTATGCATCGATATAAAGAATGTTTTAAAAAACAAGACTGAAATTGTGCACTGTATGGGAGAACTCTTACTCCAGTAGGGATGATGGCAGGTAACAGGTGAGGACAATACAGCATGATAGGCCCCAAGATGATGGTAAGTAGAAGTAGGTGCTATTTGCAAAACAGCCAGGGTGCACCAAGCTGAGGCTGGGTGGTGGACAGTGAGAGGCAAAGGATCACAGAAGACCTTCCTAGAGAAAAAACATTTGATAAAAAAAGAAAGTATTGCTTCTTAATTACTATCCTGGTAAATAACCAAACATATTTCTGAAATACAGTGCCTTTCAGTTGTCATTAATTTTATTAAGCATGGAGAATTTTAGAAGCTTTGTCCCTGTAGTTCTTGAAGAAACAGCTCCCCCTCCATCCTCCTCCATAAAGTCCCTGAGGGCTTGGGGAAAGGACATTTGTCTTTTATTAGTGTTCTCTGTAGCCAAAAGTACTCACCCTCAACCTACTCTCCATATGAGCTGAAAAAGAACACAGCATCTACCCTCCACAGAGTCAATATCTTGATTTCAATTCTATTTCAGACTTAGATTTATACCACTTTGCCTCCATCAGCGAATGTGAGTTTCACCCTCCAGTTTGCCTAGTACACAGAAGAAAGGATGGGAAATAGGTTGAAAAATATTTTCTATTTAACTGAAGCATAGGGTGGAGCTATCCAAATGAGGAAGAGAGTGATCCAGAAACGGAACAAATCATACCACATGCTCGACCCCCCTCCCATCTTAAAGCTAGAGCTCCAGTCTTGGTATGACCAAAGTCCTGTTCTATCCCTACCCTTCCCATCAACACCAACCTCCATGGGCTTTGTCGCTGGAGCAGTGCGTCTGCTGGATGTCCCTTGGGAAGTCATGATAGATCAATTACCCACGTCTGGATTATACCTGGAGAGCCCACCTGAGTATGGCATTGGCACGAGGAGACAAGTGTTACTCACTCTGCGGATCACATCAGCCAAGTACAAGACCTTTTAGCCAACCCAGCTCACTCACCTATGCATTTAAATTTTCCCCAAAGTTTGATGTTTCTGTTTCATACAAGAACTCCGCATTCCTCATTAGAAAGGAATAAAAGCTCCCTTTTATTGAATACTGCCTGTACTTTAGACACTATAGTTAGTGCTTGACATTGTTTATTGCATTTCACCTTCAAAGCCACCCTGTGAGGTAGTTCTTACTCATCCCAGGTTACAGAGGAAGTTAAGTAACTGGGTAATTGACATGGGAGCAGGCAGAAAGGTACATGTGTGTCAAATTCCTCTTAGGGCTGCTCTTGAGTCCGTATTGTCTGACCACAAAGCCTTTGCTCTTTTTCTACAACCCGGCTGTCTTCCTCCGATTTTCACATATTCTAGATGTCCATGGAATCCAGTTGGGTGGAAACTGTCTTCATTTCATTGGTGGGGGAGGTGAAAAGCTGATTAAATATTTTCACTCTCTGGTACTCTAGAATTCCAGATGGTAGAGCCACTTCCTTCTGCACTCCCTCTACCTCTCAGAAAGGACCCTGCCTCCCCCTGGCCATCCCCACTAAGCTCAGCTCAGGGGATCCTCTGACTTCCTGCTTTGCTCCAGGAAGCTGGTGCCCCAGTAGCAGCAGCACCTTAGCAGAGCCACAGAATCCCTGCATGGAAAGTCCTATAAATGGCACTCTCACGCCCAGGTGCTTACAGAGTAGATAACATGAAGTCAGGAGAGAGGCTGTAGAAGAGCCCCAAAGGCTTCCATCTTCCTCCTGTCTTTTTTCTTTCTGGCAGCAGATATGAAGAGGACAAAGATTATTTTTCCCCTTTACTTCTCCTTCTGGCCCTTTGGAAATTTGCTCATGCAAAACACTTGTTTAACACCCACTCAGTTCCAGGCCCTGTGCAAAGCAAGAAGAACCCAGGGATAACTTGAGATGTGGTCAGAGAAAGAACAGAAAACAGAAGATCAGAGGCTAATGGAGTGAAAGCTGTAAGAAAGCTACCTGACATGCTCCTGACGCCCAGAGGAGGGCACGTTCATTCGGCCAGCCTGTTTGGGGCGTTTTTCATGTCACATTAGCCTCAATGATGCCAGTCATGCATGCTTTTAAGCAGAGAAATGACCTGATTAATTGTGGTTTTAGGATAATCTTCCCAGCAGGGAGTCTTTTCAAGGTCAGAAACACCCAGCACCCAGCAGAGCGCCTGACAGGGTGTTCACTGATTCCAGTAATATTTGCAGAATTCCTGTTATATCCCAGGCTCTCTGGACACATAATGTGCAGCAATGAATCCCTGCTCTAAGAGAGTAAAACAGTCAAGTAAGCAGACTGCTAAGTGCATGATATGGTCACACGTAGGAGAAGCAACTCAGGGAGTCTGGAGCATGTCAGCCCTGGCTGCCCAGACATGATGTTTAAGGTAGAGGATGAAGGTAGATGGAGAGGTAGCAGTTCACCAGAAACATGGGGCAGAAGTTGGAGGGACTGAGCAGGGAAGGATGTTCTGGGTGGAGGAAATAGCACAAACAAATGCCTGAAGGCAAGAGGGAGTGCGACTCAGTCAGTGACTGGCCCTGGTTAGAGTGGCTGGAGCTGTGAGATGGAGCTGGAGGGCTGGACGGGCCACACTTCTTCTGCTAAACTGAAATGGCTGCAGTGAGGACAAAACTGGAGGGAGAGACAGAGCACCATTTGGACTACAGCATGGTGAACTGTATCAGGGAGGATGATGAGAGTCAGGGCCAAGGCAGTAAGAGAGGGAGAAAAGGAATCAGAGGAGAACAGGTGTTTGAAGATGAGGTTATCAAAAGACATCAGGAAAGGATCCACATTCATTTTCTTTAAGTAAAAGAGATAAAAATAACCTTAAGAGCATTGCACAAAGCAAACGTCTCAGCAGCAGTCTTCACAATGAAAGGGTGCAGTCACCCAAGGTGTCAACTGGCAACAGGACTGCCTGATCAGGGCGAGGATCCCCTAGCCCCATGGAGTGGTGGATGTGGGTATGTGTGTCTGGTCATCCCCTTTCCTAGAGACTCTGGCTAAACTTCCTACCTGCCCAGGCACATAGAACCAGTAAGAGCTCCATCCATTGCTGACACCAGTTTTCCAGGGGCTCCGTGTCCAGACTTTCAGCCAGCCTAAAATCAAATTCCACAGGGGATGAGGAAAAAAGAAGAGTAGCACTGGAGTGACTCCCAGCATGGATTGGGCTGTGAGAGGAAGAGGAGCAGCTTTCGTTAGAGTTGGTGGCACTAGGCAGAGTGAGGTACAGAAGATAAATGGATAAAAAGTTATAAAAAGGCAGATGCCTCAGAAGATATAACCATGAGAGGTGATGCTTCATGGAAAGGGATGTGGTGCTCTGGATGGGACAGGCATGGAAGATATCTGGGTGCCAGGGGTCAAACGCTAGAGCAGGATATTTTACCTCCCTGAACCTGAGTCCACAGTAATAAAATGGGCCAATAAGCCCTACCCTGCTTCATTCTTAAGATTTTCAGAAGAAACCAAAGTGGTCTGACGAATGTAAAAAGTGCTTTGTGCATGCCAGACCCTCTGTTGATTGATGTAAAGGCAGAAATTATCTCATAAATCTGTAATGACTATGGAAATGGCTACTGAAAAAGTACAAACAGAATGTTAAGAGTGGAAATGCCATGTTCCAGGTGTTTTCCCAGGATGTGCTAAAATGAATTAATTGAGGTCTGCTATGTGGAAAGTGTATGGGCGCATGCATGAGTGTTAGGTAGGGGGAAGGAAAGATGCAGGATGCCTGCACGGGGGAATCAAGGCATGAATGCTTCCCATGCATTTGGAGATGAGTAAACATCTTCACCTGCTCTGGGCACAGTGGCGACCAGCAGGCAGGACACATGCTGACCACCTGTTTGCTGCAGTCTCTTAGGCTATGTTTCTTTCTCTGGAAGCATCCCTTGTTAGTGAGAAATGGAATCTTGATAAGTGTTATGGGTTGTATTAGTCCCTTCTCATGCTGCTATAAGGACATACCCAAGACTGGGTAACTTAGAGAAAAGAGGTTTAATTGACTCACAGTTCTGTATGGCTGGGAAGACCTCAGGAAACTTACCATCATGGCAGAAGGGGAAGAAAACACATCGTTCTTCACATGATGGCAGGAGAGAGAAGGTGTGTCAAGCAAAAGGGGAAGCCCCTTATAAAACCATCAGATTTCATGAGAACTCACTCACTATCACGAGAACAGCATGGGGAAAACTGCCCCCATGATTCAGTTATCTCCACCTGGTCCTACCCTTAACATGTGGGGATTATGGGAACTACAATATAAGATGAGATTTGGGTAGGGACACAGCCAAACCATACAATTGCACTCCTGACCCCTTCCAAATCTTATGTCCTCACATGTCAAAACACAATCATGCTTTTCCAACAGTCCCCAAAACTATTCCAGCATTAACCCTAAGGTTCAAAAGTCTCATCAGAGACAAGGAGAGTCCCTTCCACCTATGAACCTGTAAAATCAAAACCAAGTTAGTTACTTCCTAGATACAATGGAAGTATAGGCATTCGGTAAATACACCTATTCCAAATGGGAGAAATTGGCCAAAACAAAGGGGCCACATGCCCCATGGAAATCCAAAATCCAATAGGGCAGTCATTAAACCTTAAAGTTCCGAAATGATCTCCTTTGACTCCATGTCTCACATCCAGGTCTCACTGAGGCAAGAGGTGGGCTCCCACAGCCTTGGGCAACTCCAACCCTGTGGCTTTGCAGCATACAGCCCACCTCCCAGCTGCTTTCATGAGCCAGAGTTGAGTGTCTGTGGCTTTTCCAGGCTCATGGTGCAAGCTGTCGGTGGATTTACCATTCTGGGGTCTGGAGGATGGTGGCTTTCTTCTCACAGCTCCAGCAGGCAGTGCCCCAGTGGGGAATCTGTATGGAGGCTCTGACTCCACATTTCCCTTCCACACTGCCCTAGCAGAGGTTCTCCATGAGGTCTCTGCCCCTGCAGGAAACTTCTGTCTGAACATTCAGGCATTTTCAGACATCCTCTAAGATCTAGGCAGAGGTTCCCCAACCTCAATTCTTGACTTACGTGTACCCATAGACCCAACACCATGTGGAAGCTGCCCAGGCTTGGGGCTTGCACCCTCTGAAGCAATGGCCTGAGCTGTACCTTGGCTCCTTTTAGCCACAGCTTGAGCTAAAGTAGCTGGGACACAGGGAACAATGTCCCAAGGCTGCATAGAGCAAGGGTCCCCAGCCTCCACTCACAAAACCACTTTCCCTCCTACCTCTCCAGGCCTGTGATAAGAGGGACTGCCATGAAGGTCTCTGACATACCCTGGAGACATTTTCCCCATTGCCTTGGGGACTAACCTTTGGCTCCTTGTTACTTATGCAAATTTCTGCAGCTGGCATGAATTTGTCCCCAGAAAATGGGTTTTTCTTTTATATTGCATTGTCAGGCTGCAAATTTTCCAAACTTTTATGGTCTGCTTCCTCTTGAATACTTTGCTGCTTAGAAATTTCTTTCACCAGATGCACTAAATCATCTCTCTCAGTTCAAAGTTCCACAGATCTCTAGGGCAGGGGCAAAATGTCACCAGTCTCTTTGCAAAAGAAAAGCAAGAGTCACTTTTATTCCAGTTCATAACAAGTTTCTCATCTCCATCTGAGACCACCTCTGCCTGGACTTCATTGTCCACATCACTACCAACATTGCGGCCAAAGCCATTCAACGAGTCTCCAGGAAGTTCCAAACTTTCCCATATCTTTCTGTCTTCTGAGCCCTCCAAGTCTCAAGGAAGTTCCAAACTTTCCCATATTTTTCTGTCTGTCTTCTTCTGAGCCCTCCAAACTGTTCCAACCTCTGCCTGCTACCCAGTTCTAAAGTCACTACCAAATTTTATGGTATCCTTATAGAACCCCACGCTCTGTAGTACCAATTTACTGTATTAGTCCCTTCTCATGATGCTATAAGGACATACCCAAGACTGGGTAACTTATAAAGAAAAGAGGTTTAATTGACTCTCAGTTCTGCATGGCTGAGAAGGCCTTAAGAAACTTACAATCATGGCAGAAAAGGAAGCAAACACGTCCTTCTTCACATGGTGGCAGGGGAGAGAAGGAGTGTCAAGCAAAGGGGGAAGCCCCTTATAAAACCATCAGATCTCATGCGAACTCACTCACTATCATGATAACAGGATAGGGAAAACCACCCCCCAAGATTCAATTATCTCCACCTGGTCCTGCCCTTGACACGTGGGGATTACAGGAACTACAATTCAAGAAGAGATTTGGGTGGGGACACAGCCAAACCATATCATGGGTTGAGGTATGCTCCCCCAAAATTCATATGTTGAAGTCCAAATTCAACATATGCAAAGTGATCTTATTTGCAGATAGGATCTTTATAAAGGTAATTAAGTTAAAGTGAAGTCATCAGGGTAGTCCCTCATCCAACATGACTGGTGGTGTCCTTATACAAAGTGGCAAATTTGGACATAGAGATATTCCAAGAGAGAAGACAGTATGAGACACAAGGAGAAAACAGTCATCTCTAAGCCAAGGAGAGGGGCCTGGAACATATTCTCCATCAGAGCCTTCAGAAAGAACCAACCCTGATGACACTTTGACCTCAGACTTCTCTCCAGAACCGACCAAAAGAAAAGAGAGCTATTTGGGAGGCACTAGCCCTGTTTCTCTGGATAATATCTTACTGGCGTTTAGTTTATACATATACGTGTGTGTGTGTGTGTGTGTGTGTGTGTGTGTAAAGTCCTGTGATGAAATAAGTGAAATGCAATGTAATTTTTTCGTGACAAGGTACAACAGAATTACCTTTTCAAAAGTTCTCAGGAAAGAACCTTATTTAGCTTTAACATAGAATTTCCCAAGCGCATTTTATCAAGTAATACCCACTATCTTTGCATCAAATTCCAGGGTGACACAAAGATCAGTTTGAGGGTGAAGACACTAGGTTGTTTCTTGGGCTCCTCCAATTTTAACATTGCATGAATTGCTAAATCTAATTTCAAACTCTCCTTGGGGAAGGTTCCTACCCACCTTTCCAGCCATTCTCCCTGATTCTGCTTCCAAAACCTCCTCTCCAGCCAGGTGGCCTCCTCCTTGGTCCCTCACCATACACGTCTTCCTTGCTCCTTGGCTCCAGCCGTCAGCCCTGCCTGAGCGTCCCATCTCTCTTTTCCATGTAGCTACAGATAAGTCAGCCCCCTGCACCTGTCTCATCCTTCCCACCAGGGGAACCTTCCCAGCTGCCATTTGCTGAGTGCCAACTCAGTCCGAGAATACCTGTTACTTCATTTCCTCACCACTGTGAGCACCTTGAAGCATAGCAACATTTGGGGACATGCCAAGTTTACTCATCTAGTAAATGGCAGATTTGGGATGGAAACCCACAGTGGGCTGATTCTGGATGATTCTCGAGATAAGCCTCTGAACCCATCTAGGCTTCCCACCTGCATCTATTCTCTGGCCCTCTGACAGATGTGTGCATATGGTGAGTTTGCCTTGTCCTTTAACTTGCCATGTGTTTTAAACTTGTCACCCAGCCAGGCTGTGAAGTCAGGAACTATACTTTTCTCTTCTTGTGATTGCCCCAGAGTCCCATTTAATTGAAATTAACATTTTACTGGTAGAGACAGAAGGCAGAGTGAACCAGTGGGAGAAGCCCAGGTGAGAGCAGGAGACCCGGGTCCTGGCCTCTCCCACAGCCAGCTGCCTGGCGTCCTTGGAGAGTCACTTTCACTCATGGAGTCTTTGTTTTCTCATCTGGGCAGGGTTGGATTTAACGATCTCTAACTTCCCCTTTGACATTTGACAACTCAATCAGCAGAACTCTGAGAGAAAATGCTAAGGGGCACTGGAGCCAAGCTGCTCACAGAGGGTCTCTGAGGAACCAGCTGAGTAGCATCAAACAGAAGCCAAGGGGACCCAACTGGCAACAATGGAGCAAATGCGCTACTCAGTTACTGAGATTTATATTAGAGGGATGAGAAATGAGGGGTGGGAACCTGTAAGAGGAAAGGATATGGTAAGAGCAATGGAACACGGGCATCTGTTATAAATCTTCCACCTTCAATTTCTCTTAAAGATGTTTATTAACAAAATGCTTCATGAGGCTTTGCTTTTGAGAAAGTAAGCAATTGTGGAAACAAAAGTTGATGATATGTAAAGAGTGACTTGAAAAGTAATCAGAGCAATACACAGGTTGCCTGCCTTATCTTTAAAAGTAAAGGTGGAACCTCACATCAAGAAAAAAATGGGGATCTACCAGGTCCATAAAAATAGGGGCTCTATAATCACAAACCGGAGGATCTAGGGCATTAGAAATCAAAAAGTAAATCCTGAGGATTATAAAAGGGATAAGGAAGGAAGACTGGGGATTGCAGTGGGAAAGGAGGAAGGGTGGAGTAACACTGAAGAGGCTTGGGTGACCCACATTTAGGATTTAAGTTCATGCCTTTGAGGATGATGAAGGAAGGAGTTGAGAAGAACTCTCCATGGACATATGGCAACAAGCACTGGGGTGGGACTCAAGACGCCTGTGTTTGTGTCCTTACTCCACCACCACCAGTTGGTTTGGTGATCTTGCACAAGCCACTTCAGCTCAATGAAACTGTTCCCTCATCTGCAAAGAGAGATGCAATTCCTATCTGCTCATACTGAGCTTTACCAGGTGCAGGTAAAGCCCATAATGCACCAGGTACATTGAGACATGCTATACACATGCACACTACCTTACAACAGAAGAATCATCGTATTAACCCTCTGGAGGCATCAGGCCTAACAATGTACCACCAGTCTCCATGGCATCTGCCTTCTCTAGATTTCATCATCCCTTACCTTAACCATTGCCCAACTGCTTCATATTTTGCAATTTTGATCCATTGTGGACCAGAGCAATCTTTCCAAATTGCAACTGTGATCAAGGCTCTCTCTTTCTTACAGTCCTTCCCAACATATCTAGAATACATTTTATGCTCCTTAAGAACACACATAAGACCCTCCATTACCTGCCCTCCATCCACCATTTCTAAACATTAGTTAACCACTTGCTGTGACAATTCTTATACATCGGTCACATTGAACTATTTGAAATTCTGTCAAGATACTTTGATCTTCCATGATTCCAGGACTTTGTACATGCTTGCTCCTTTTCCTGAAGTGCCTTTTCCCATATGACATGTTCCATCTTACTCCTCAAACCCAGTTCAAATACAATCAAGACCTACTTCAAATACAATATTCCCTGAGAAGCATTCCCCGTCTCCCCCAGGCAGTTAATATTTCTGTTACCTTCGATTTTTATCAAAACATATTTTTTCCACACTGGAATTTCTATCATTTCCTTTAGGTAAAAAAATGTTCCAAAAACTACTTTTTCAGCTGGATTCTCTGCTGTTTCCTTGGTAGCCCTGAAAATTCTACTGTATTGACAGCTCCAAGGTCAGTGTTTTGGAAATGACGTTTCTTTTACCTTATAGTACTTGCTAGAACTAAACTGCACTTGGAAAAAAAATGGATATGATTTTTAGGTCATCATCTGCCATATGGAACATTTCTGTAAGTGTAAGAGATGAGGCTGTGCAGAGATTCAAATGCTTTTGTTAATTCTAGAGACTCTTAACATCTGATTGAGAATTCCCTCCTGTGCCTTCACAGTGCTCTGTGCACAGCTGTAGCACAGCGTTTCATCCATACTCCTCACTGCTATCTACTTCTCAACTTCCCATAGAAGGCCCTAAATGCTTTATGGCTTGAAACTATGTGTTTATCTCCATATTCCCTAGCACACAGCCCAGTTTATGAGACACAGTGGCACTCAATCCAGAAATGTTCATTGGATGAATAATAGCTTCATTTGTAGAGTGTGTTCTATTTGCCAGGCATTATCCTAAACACCTTCTGTGCATTAAGTCTTCTAATTCTCACAATATCGCTGTGAGACAGGTTTTATAATTATCCCCACTTTGATGATGAGAAATCTAATGCCCAGAGTGTGTGTGAAGAAGTCTGCTTTAAAACAAAGACACTCTGGCAAGAGAGCCCATGCCTCCACACTACATTACCTTGACTCTCATGTTGAATAAATAAAACATTTATGAGTCCAATTCTAATTGAGCTCTTTAGCCTTTTGTCAGTTTTGAGGAAAAAAATAAGGTAGGTCTAAATGCCGAGTTGTTTTATTCAGTATGTATTCACCAAATGACCACTTTGTGCCAAATGTCTTCCCTGTGTTCTTAGGGATCCAAGATGAGTCACCATTGTTTCATAGTCAATGAACAAGACCTGGCCTTCCTTCTAATCCATTGCCAAAAACAGCATTTCCTGCTGTATATTGTTGTGTTTGAGGTAGAAGGAAGTTACCACCTAGAGGCAAACCTCTCAAAAGCAGCAAGTCACCCTGACAGCAGCAGACTTAAGGAAGGGCTCAAAGATCTCTGTGAGGCGGCCATCAATACCCAAAGCAAGATGGAGAAGACATTGTTCTCCCAACAGCTGGCCTGGAATTCCTCTTAGGGACAGTTTTCTTTGGAGGGGTTGACTCTCTGTGGTATGACTGTCAGCTGCCCCCTAGTTTCCATGAAGGAGAACTGAAGAGGAGAATAAAAACTTGCAGCTCTCAGGAGAGCAACCTTAGAGAAATGGGAGTGAGAAGGAAAGGTGGGAAGGGAAAAACAAAACTCAGATAATGTAGCTTGAACATTTGTCTACTCCAACTCTCATGTTAAAATTTAACCTGCAATATTGGAGGTGGGGCCTAGTAGGAGGTGTCTGGGTCATGGCAGCAGATCCTTCATGAATGGCTTGGTGCCACACTGGAAGTAATGAGTGAGTTACTGCACTATTAGTTCCCACAAGAGCTGATTTTTTTTTTTAAAGCTGGGCCCCCTCTCTGCCCATGTGATCAGCACACACTGGCTCCCCTTCACCTTCTGCCATGAGTGGAAGCAGCCTGAAACCCTCAGCAGATGCAGATGCCAATGCCATGCTTCTTATGCAGCCTGCAGAATAGGCCAAATAAAGTTCCTTTATTTATCAATTAGCCTCATGTCTTCCTTTATAGCAACACAAATCGACTGACATAGGATCAAAATAAAAATAATAATTTCATTCTTATAGTAAACCTCTGACACAGGTACTATTATTATTCCTACTTTATAATTTAGGAAACTGAGGCACAGAAAGGTTAAGTAGGGAAATGTGTGTGTGCCATAACCCTTCTCTATGATTTTCTTTTTTTCAGTCTTGTGCTGTCATCCAGGCTGGAGTGCAATGGCACAATGTTGGCTCACTGCAACCTCCACCTCTCAGGTTCAAGTTATTCTCCTGCCCTCAGCCTCCCAAGAAGCTAGGATTACAGGTGCCCGCCACCACACCCAGCTAATGTTTTTGTATTTTTAGGGGAGATGGGGTGTCAGCCAGGCTGGTCTCGAACTCCTGACCTCAAGTGATCCACCTACCTCAGCCTCCAAAACTGCCAGGATTACAGGCGTGAGCCACTGAGCCCAGCTCTTCCCTGTGATTTTCTATATCGTCCCAAAACTTTACCAAAATGTATTAGAATTATGGGTGAGTTTGATACTGTGGATATTTTTCTTCACAGCGTCCGTCCTGAGCTCCCTGTGTGGGTTGATTTAGGGCAGAAAGAGGGCTGGAGCATATGTAGGCACATGTCTGTCTGGGACATGGGAGATTTGAAATGACAGCATGCATTAAACAGCAAGAATAACCACCACCACGGACAGCTCAGAGGGAGGGTTACATGTATGAACTGTAATTGGTTCAATTGCTGGGAAACAGAAAGAAATTTCTTAAATTTTTCAGAAATCCAAACTAAAGTATCCCTAGAGTCACTGGAAGAAATTTCAATGGATAGGAGAGCTCCAAAAGCTGTAAAGAATCTACCCAGATTCTCTTTCACCTTCCACTGGGGTTCACTAAAGCGATCTGCTTGAGACCAGGCTGTCATGGAGGGATAGATTCTTTTGTTCTTCCCCTTTTCACAGTTGTTGTTATCACACTTTACCAAAAAAAGCTTATCTCCCATCCCTTTCAAGAATTCAGATGGTGCATTGTTCAGGGTATAAAAGTCTCCCAGGACAAAAGACACTATTCAAAATACAGTAACCATCTCTAGCACAATGAAAATTGACGTATAAGGTCATTAGCCATTGACGCTCCACCTCTGCAGCAGACTTACCCCTACTTTTCACTGATGTCACAACAGGCCTGCATTTTAGGACACTGAAATTTTTAGATTTCATAAAAGGCTTGTAATAAATTAAGTTGCTGTTGCAAAAGGGGATTATTCCTAATACTTGTGTGGCATCAGGGCTGGCAAACGACAGCCTGCAGGCAACCCCTCCCACAAAACAAAGGAGAAAAAAAAAAACAAAAAACTGTTTTTTAAAAAATAAAGTTCCAGGTCGGGAGCGGTGGCTTACATCTGTAATCTCAGCACTTTGGGAAGCTGAGATGGGTGAATTATCTGAGGCCGGGAGTTTGAGACCAGCCTGGCCAACATGGTGAAACTCCGTCTCTACTAAAAATATAAAAGTAGCCTGGTGTGGTGGTGTGTGCCTGTAATCCCAGCTACTCAGGAGGCTGAGGCAGGAGAACTACTTGAACCTGGGAGGCGGAGGTTGCAGTGAACCAAGATCGCGACCCAGCACTCCAGCCTGGGTGACAGAGTGAGACTCCATCTCAAAAATAAATAAATAAATAAAAATCAAAAATAAAGTTCCTATGGGAATACAACCACACTCAATCGTTTAAATATTAGCTAGCTGTATTCATGCTGTAACAGCAGTGCTGAGTGGTTAAGACACAGACCATCTGGCACATGCACATGAAGCCTATATTTACTATCTGGCCCCTTATAGAAATCATTTGCCAACCCTTGGTGTAACACATACTTTTTCAAGTCAGGTAGTTTCAAATTATTTTCTTTCAACAAAAAGGAAAGAGAACTGGAAGGTGTGTGTTTAACACCTACTTTCCTTCTGGGAACCTGGAATTCTGGTGCATGCTAGGCAGAGGATGCTCACACGACCAGCACCCAATTAAAACCTTAGGTGCTAAATGACTAAGGAGCTTCCCAAGTAGATAACATTTCCCATTTCTTGTCACAACTCCTTGCTAAGGGACTGAAGTGCACCTGTGCAATTCCACTGAGACAGCACTCCTGGAAGCTTGAGCCCAATTTTCTCTGGACTTCACCACATGTGCTTTCCCCTTGATGATTTTGCTTTGTGTACTTTCGCTATAATAAATCCTAGTTGTGAGTAGGACAATATACTGATTCTGTGAGTCTCCCTAACCCATTCCCACCAGCCAGGCTGGAACATCTCATAATTCATGAAATACTCAGACGAGTCTTCCTCAGCAAAGCGGAATAATTAGCCTAAGGCTAAATGCTACCGTAGCCTAGCAAACAATTATTAAAAGCAAGACCTAAAAAAAATCAAATTGTTTCTAAGCAACTTAGCTTATTCTAACAGAAAATAAAATCAAGAATATTTATAGGTATACAATACCAAACACTGAACAAGGTAAAATTTACAATGCCTGGCATCCAATCAAAAGCTACCAGGCATGCAAAGCAGCAGAAAAATACTAATCACAAGATAAGGTAAATCAATAAATAGAAACCATCCAGAACTGACACAGACGTTGGGATTAGAAAAGACATTAAAACAATTATTATTATAACTGTATTCTATGTATCTAAAAAGTTAGAGACATAAACAATATTAGTAAGATTCAAATCAAATTTTTGAATTGAAAACTATAATGTCTGAGATAAAAAAATACACTGGATGGGATGAATGGCAGTTTAGACATTACAGAAGAAACTGGAATGGCATAGCAGTCACAACTATTCAAAACAAAACACAGAGCAAAAAAGGATCAATTCATGAAGAGGACATAACACTCCTAAAAGTTTATACACTTAATAATAAATAATCAAAATACATGAGGGAAAATTGATTGATAGAACTAAAGGACAAATAGACAAACCCACAGTTTTAGTTGGATGTTTTGATACTTTTCTGTTAATAATGGATAAAACAAGTAAGCAGAAAAGGATATAGAATATAGGAAGAATATAGATGGCTTGAAAATAACACCACACAACCTGATTAATTGACATTTATGGACAATGGCACAATATGCACATTTTAAGTACACAGGACACACTGGTCAGGATAGAATACATTTTGAGCCATAAAAAAACTCAATAAAATTAAAAGGATTTAAGTCACACAAAGTATGTTGTCCAGCCAAATGAAATTAAATTAGAAATTAGCAACGGAAGAATCTCTTTCAATATTGCCACATATTTGGAAAACTAAACAACACACTTCTGAATACCATATAATCAAAGAATAAATCAAAAGGGAAGTGAGAAAGTATTCAGAATGAAATGAAATAACACATAATATAAAAGTGTGTGGTATACTGATAAAGCAGTACTTAAAAGGAAATTTATAATACTAGATACCTGCATTAGAAAAGAATACACTCTCAAATCAATAACTTCGCCTTCCGTTTTAAGAAACTAGAAAATGATGAACAAATTAAGTGCAAAGAAAGCAGAGGAAGATAAATAGTAAAGATCACAATGGAAATTGATAAAATAGAAAACAGAAAGATAGTAAGTAAAGCCAATCAACGCAACTAAAATCTAGTACTTTGACAGATCAATAAAATTGAGACCCCCCCTACCCAGACTGGTTAGTTAGAAACAAAAAGAAGGCATAAACTACAAATATTAAGAATTATTATAGATTCTACAGATATTAAAAGGATAATTCGAAAAGGTTAAGAACAATGTTATACAAATAAATTGTACAATTATGGTGAAATGAACAAAGACCTTGAAAGACACGCACTATCAAAGTTCACTCAAGAAGAAATAGATAAATTAAATGGCTCAATATCTATTAAAGAAAGTGAATTTGCAGTTAAAACTCTTTGCAAGAGAGAACTTCATAGCCAAATGGCTACACTGGAGAATTCATTCAAACATTTAAGGAAGAAAATATGACTAATTCTACACAATTTATTCCAGCAAATAGCAGAGGAGGGAATACTTCCCAATTCATTCTGTGAGTCTAGCATTGTCCCTAGAGCAAAACCAAAAAATTAAGACAGTATTTTCTAAAAGTATGAAAAACATCTCTTATGAATATAAATGCAAAATTCTAAAAAAAAAATCTAACAAATTGATTCCAACAACATATTTTTTAAAATAATACTTCATGATTGTAGAGGGTAGAATTGGGTCTCTCAGAAAGATATGTTAAGTTGTAACCCTTGGTACTTGTGAATGTGACTTCATTTAGAAATCAGATCTTTGCACATATAACCAAGTTGAAGTGAGGTTAAAGTGGATTAGGGTAGGCCTGGTGTCCTTATAAGAATATAGAAATTTGAACACAGAGATAAAGAGACACAAGAAGGACAGCAAGTGGCAACGGAGGCAGAGGTTGGAGTAATGCAACAACGAACCCCAGAACACCAAGGGTTGCTGGCAACCACAGCAGCTAGGAAGAGACAAGGAAGGATAAGTCCAAGAGCCTTCAGGGAGAGCATGAACCTGGAAATCTTGTCAGACTTGAAAACTCCAGAACTATGAGAGAATAAATTTCTGTTGTTTCCAACCACCCAGTTTGTGGTACTTTGTAACGGCAGCCCGAGGAAACTAGTGCAATAACTAAGAGGAGCCTATCCTATGAATGCAGGTCTAGGTTAACGTTTGAAAATCAATTAATGTAATCTACCATATTAACACACTTGTTAAAAATAACATATGATCTTCTCATCTATTCATCCTTCAGTATATGCAGAGGATTGGTTCCAGGACTCCCTGAGTATACCAAATCACACATGATCAAGTCCGTCAGTCCCCCAGTACAGCTGCTGATACTAAAAGTCGCCCTCCATATACACAAGTTTCCCATTCTGCAACTACTGTATTCTCCATCTGTTTGATTGGAAAAAAATCCACATGTAAGTGAACCCACACACTTCAAACCTGTGTTACTCAAAGGTGAACTGCACTAATAAAAACCCTCAGCAAAGTAGGAATAGAAGGGAGTATCTTCAGCCCCACCTTCAAAAATCTACAAGTAATATATAATGACTACTTGTTTTCTCCCTGAGACCAGTAGCAAGACAGGGCTGTCCACTCTCGCCGTTTCTATTCAGTATCATATCAGAAGTCCTCTTTAGGGCAATAACTTAAGAAAAAGAAGTAGAAGTCATCCATATTCAAATAAAATAGTAAAACTCTTTGTTCACATATAACCTGATCATCTACGCAGAACATCTGATAGAATCCACAATAAAGCTACTAGAACTAATAAGTGAGTTTAGCAAGGTTTTGGTATACAAGATCAATATACAAAAATCTATATTTATATACACTAATAAAAATCATGTATACTGATAAACAATTAGAAATTTAAAATACCATTATTAATAGCGTAGAAATTATGAACTACTTAGTGATAAATCTGCCACAAATGAGAAAGACTTAGATAATGAAAACTATAAAACACCACTGAGATATATTTAAGAAGACTTAAATAAATGGAGAAACATATTGTGTGTATGAACTGGAATACTGAATATTACTAAGGTATCAGTTCTTCCCCAAACTGATATATAGATTCAATGCAATTTCAATCAAACTACTAGCAGAATTTTTTTTATAGAAAGCCAGTTTCAAAATTCACACGGAAATTCTAAGGATCTAGAATAGACTAAACAACTTTGAAAAAGAGCAAAGTTGTAAGACTGATACTACCCGATTTCAAGACTTTTTATAAAGCTACAGTAATCACACCAAGCCTCCACTGGCATAAAGATAGACAAATAGATAAAGAAAACAGCATAGAAAAGTTAGAAAAGGAATATACATAGTTAATGACCAATTATTGACAAAGGTACAAGAGCACCTCAGTAAAAACTATTCACATGCAAAAATTAACTTAAAATGGAACATATACCTAGAGGTAAAAGTTAAAACTAAAATTTCTTAGAAGAAAGGATAGGATTAAATCTCTGTGGCCTTGGGTTAGGGAAAGGTCTCTTAGCTACAATATCAAAAGCACAAACAGTAAAGGAACAAAAGATAAATTGGACTTAATCAAAATCAAAACTTTTGTACTATAAGCAATATCATCGACAAAGGTAATCCACAGAATGGAAAAAAATATATTTGCAAGTCATGTATGGAGTAAGGGACTTGTATGCAGACAGTGAAAAAGAGTAACTCCATTTTGATGTTTTCCTCTTGGCAGCTCTCAAGCCTCACCACTCTTCCCCCACATCTGGGCAAACTGATAAGAAAGCCTGTGTACTCCCTCCTTTGGCACTGGCAAGAGTTAAAACAGCAAAAGCCTTGGCATGTGTGTGAGAACCTCCCCCTAGCTCCACCCCCTAGCCATAATAAAGGACAAGCCAATCTTCTTTCCTACTCTCTCGGGCCATTCTTGTACTTACTTGAAAGGCTGCCCTGCTCTCTGCAAAAAGCCTGATTATGTGAGCAACAAAGCTAAGCTTTTCATACCCTCTTGATGCATGTGTGGTGTTATCAGTGTTGACACCCAATCCAAATTTTGGGTAAGGGGGCCCCATTCCACTTCCATGGGATAACCATGACACAGAATATATAAAGAACTCTTACAATTCAATAATCAAAAGACAAAGAACCCAATTTAAAAGTTGGCAAAGTCTCTAAATAGTCATGGTCTCCAAAGAATGTATACAAATAACAATAAGGGTATGAAGAGATGCTCAACAACTTCATATGCCCCTGAGGTTTGGAATTTTTTTTTTTTGTTTGGTTGGCTTTGGGTTTTGTTCTTTTTTAGAGTTGTGGTTTTGCTATGATGTCCCAGCTGGAATGTAGTAGCTACTGACAGGTGTGACCACCATGTGCTGTAACATCAAACTCTTGGCTTCAAGAAATCCTCCTGCCCCAGTCTCTTGAATAGCTGCAATTATAGGGGTGCACTACTGTGCCTGGCCGAACATGTTTAGTCATTAGGGAAATCCAAAACAAAACAAAAATAAGATACCACTTCACACTCTCTAGGATGACTATAATCAAATAGACAAACAATAGTCTTCCAAGAATGAGGAGAAATTGGAACTCTCTTATATTGCTATGACAATGTAAAATTGTAAAGTTGCTTTGGAAACAGTTTGGCAGTTCCTCAAATTACTTACATGTAGAGTTTTAAATAATTCCAGCAATTTCACTGCTAGGTATATATCAAAGAAAAACAAAAATGGACACCCGCATAAAAATTTATATTAAAATATTCATAGCAGTATATTTACAATAGCCAGAAAGTTGAAACAACTCAAATGTCCATCAACTGACAAGTGGATCAATAAAATGTCACATATTCACACAATGGTATATTATGTGGCCATAAAGAGCAATGAAGTACTGACAAACATGGTACAATATGGATGAACCTTGAAAACGTTATGCTAAGTAATAGAAACTAGTCAACAAAAGGCCACAAAGTATATGATTCCATTTCTATGACATGCCTAGAATAGTCAATTCTACAGAGACAGAAAGTAGATGAGGGGTTGCTTAGGGCTGAAGAAAATGGGTACCGTGGGGTGAATGCTTGTTAGGTATGGGGTTCCTTTTGGAGTAAGAAAAACATTCAAAAGTTGATTGTGGCATAGTTGCACAAATCTGAATATTTGTGCAACTAAAACCATTGATCACATACCTTACCTAGGTGAGCTGTACAGTATGAAAATAATATCTCAAAGTTATTATTATTATTATTATTTTTGAGATGGAGTCTCATACTTGTCGCCCAGCCTGGAGTGGAGTGGTGCGATCTCAGCTCACTTCAACGTCTGCCTCCCGGGTTCAAGCGACCCTCCTGCCTCAGCCTCCTGGGTAGCTGGGATTATAGGCACACACCACCATACGCGGCTAATTTTTTTATTTTTAGTAGAGACGGGGTTTCACCATGTTGGCCAGGCTGGTCTCAAACTCCTGACCGCAGGTGATCCGCCTGCCTCGGCCTCCCAAAGTGCTGGGATTATAGGCGTGAGCCACCTTGCCCAGCCTGTAAGTTATTTTTTTTAAATGCAGTGGAGAAAGGTTAGTCTTATTAGTAAACGGTGCTGGAAAAAATGGATATCCATAAACCAAAACAAATGAAGTTCAATCCACACATCCTTTCACTGTATACAAAAATTAACTTCAAATAGGTCCCAGTGATAAAGGCTTCGGGTGGTGGGGGGGATGGGAAGTCAAACTGGGGAAGGATGCAACAGCTGCTGAGACTATAAAGACATCAGAAGGGCTCCAAATGCAATAACAACCATGGACTCTCATCAGGAGAATATCTGAAACTTGCCCAAAGGTAAGAGTCAAACTTAAACTTTTAGAAATAAACTTTTAGAAAATAAACTTTTCAATTTAAATAAACTTTTAGAAAAATAAACTTTAGAAAAATTATCTAAATCTAACTTTAGAAAAATTAGTTAATTTTCTAAAATAAACTTTTAGAAAAATCAGTACTTCAGGCCTCTATTGAATCAGATTCTCCATGGGGAAGATTTGGTAGTCTTGCAATTTCATATGCACCCCATGTGAGCTTTGTCATTGGAGAAGTTTAGGAAATACTGCATATATATTTCTTATAAAAAACAACTAGAACTTCTAATGATCTATCTGGATCTTCAATGATTCCAACATGCTTTATGAATCTCATTTATATAAGATAAGACTACACCACTTAATGTTTAAGAAACTAGGCTCTAGAGCTGGGCTGCTGAAATTCACACTCCATCACTGAACAAGTAAAATCATCTGTCTTCATCTGTATAATGGGAATAATAACAGCACCTAACATATTTGAGGGTAGAAATAAGGGTCTCCCTGAAGGAAACAGACACGCCTGGTTTAAAACATCAAGAAAGAAACAGGTCCTCTAATAGAACACAGGAGTAGGCAGACCTCAGGCAGGCAGAGAAGAGATTCTCTCTGGATTTCGGTCTCTTGGATCTGCATTAGAGGACTCTAACACCCTGGGAACATTCTAATTGGAAGTGGAAAGAACTGGAACTGGGCCAAAGGAAGGTACCCTGGGACCAGGTGTGAAGACCTCTGCTAGGAGGCCTCAAATCAAAGGACAAGTCAACTGTACCTTTTTCTGACCAGGTACAGAGCCAGGCAGCATTCATTTCCAGTTTGTTACAATCAACCCTTTAGTAAAGCCTTGTCCAGCCTCAGTCCCACTGGGCTATAGTGTATTAAAGCAAGGATTTGTTGTTCCCTGCTTGGTATCATCACATAAGCTGGAGCAGTGCCTCCTGGAAGCCAGCAGAGTGGTAATATTAACTGGTACAGAATTCTAAGAAGTGAATCTCTGGGAAGAATTATGGCAGAAAGACCAGCGAGCCCCTTCCCACATGAAATTTGTCTCTTCATTGCCAACAATGGCAGGTTTAAATTTTATTCATTTTTCTCATAACTACAAATTTTAGCCCTCTTGAACCAATTTCTTGAAGTGTTTTCTTGTTTCTACATAAAATGAACATTTGGTTCAACCCATTCATACAATAGTTTTAAGCTATCACCAAATTAATTACTAGATAATTTATTGATCTAAAAACTGCCAGCCGGACACAGTGGCTCATGCCTGTAATCACATCACTTTGGGAGGCTGAGGCGGGTGGATCACAAAGTCAGGAGTTCGAGACCAGCCTGACCAACATGGTGAAACCCCGTCTCTACTAAAAATACAAAAATTAGCTGGGCATGGTGGCACACACCTGTAATCCCAGCTACTTAGGAGGCTGAGGCAGGAGAATCACTTGAACTCAGGAGACGGAGGTTGCAGTGAGCCAAGATTGCGCCACTGCACTCCAGCCTGGGCGACAGAGCGAGACTCTGTCTCAAAATAAATAAATAAATAAAAAATAAAACTGCCAAAGAGCCATTATTTTCTTAAATCCCTTCGTTTTCCCTTTTCTTCCACCACCACCATCAACCTGTTGGCCTTCTTTCTGGCACCATGCCACAAAGAACATTTTCTCCCCATCACCAATTTGACTACTTACTGACAATGGGTAAGAAACAGCAATGCCACACTGAGATGATGTTGGGCAGTCCACCACGGTGACTCACCATGCTTGTGGAGTCATGAACTTCACATCTGAGTCTCAGCTAAATTGTAAATGGCTACATACAGGTCAAGGGATTTGTGTGTGCCATGAATTGTTAAAACCATAAATACTAAATTTTCAAATACCAAGACAACCAGATACAATGTCACTGCAACAAGCTGTATCCATTCCTGGTGGTTCTTGTATCTCCATCAACTATAGTCACCAGTACATAAAATGATGCCAGTGATGAAGTATCTGAAGAAGTATAAGGACCTGTCCATTTCAACTCTGTTTCTCACCATGCATAACACAGAGATATGTACAGAGAAAAAAAAAATGTCAATCCTGAACAAACAAAATGTGGTACACATACACCATGGAATACTACGCAGCCATAAAAAGGAATGAGATCATGTCCTTTGCAGGGACATGAATGAAACTAGAATCCATCATCCTCAGAAAACTAACACAGGAACAGAAAACCAAACACTGCATGTTCTTACTCATAAGTGGACATTGAACATTGAGAACACAGACACAGGGAGGGGAACAACACATACCAGGGCCTGTTGGGGGTTGGGAGGTGAGGGGAGGGGACTTAGAGGACGAGTCAACAGGTGCAGCAAACCACCATGGCACACAAATACCTATGTAACAAACCTAAATGTTCTGCACATGTGTCCCAGAACTTAAAGTAAAATAATAATAATAATAATAATAAAGAATGTCAATCAACGTTTGTCAAATGGTACCCTCTGTTAAAGCAGGCAGATCATACACAAAGATTTCTAAAATTAAAATTTATTTGCCATACATATGAAATTAACCCAAACAGTATGAATATCTAAACATTTTCACATGTGGTATTGAATTTATTCTCACAGGCTAAAAGAAGTTAGACGACTTTCTAAGGTCACCAAGTTAATAAGCTGTGGAACCAGATGTAAGTCCAGATCTCTATAATTCTAAAAGCAGTGTTGCCTCTCAAAGAAATCGTCTGAAAGTAGCCTTCAAACAAGAGAGACAGAATGTGTAGGCTGGATGGCAGAGTAGGACTATGTTTCCTGTAATCTAGTTTTATAAGAGGCCTAAGTTAAAGATCACTGTAACTGTCACTTAAGCCCTCGGCTGTCTCCAGGGATGACATCTTCAGAGTCACCTAGTGTTTCCAAAACCAAGAATAATATTTGACAAATGATCATTGTGGAAAACACTTGGCTAGAACCATCAAACACACAATGGAGAAAGGCCACTGTGTCCTTGGAGCCCCTTCCCTGTGACACTGCCTTTTCCCACACCCTTCCATGGCGCTCACGCCACCCTGATCCTCTTTTCTAATGCCCACCCACAGGTATTCTGGTAATACTGAGATGTCAGTGACTGATCGCAACATAAAGGCATTAGTTATAATGCACCTCAGCCCTGATGGGGAATTTCGGAAGCCCCAGTAATCCTGAAGTCTGCATGTGAAGATCAGGTATGGGCTAGAACCTTCCTAAGGGTCCTGAAGTGACCACCTGTTGACAGACACCTAGTCCTAAAAAGTTATAAACCCTGCTGTATCAGATAGACCTTTGGGTGTGACTACTGTTGTGCAACTGCTTTTGAATTATGGTTTATAAAATTCTTATATAAAATAAACCTCTACGAAGAAATGACAATCCAGGAATACTTTAAGAAGTAAAATTGATTTAATTTTTTAAAAGAATTTTAAAACTGGCTTTGAATGTATGCATTCCACCTGACTCAAAATATGCTTTTGATAGATATAAGTAAAGCAGCCAACAGAAAAACAGAGAGAGAATTTTAAAGTATATCCAAGGCTTTCACAGCATTGCACAAGCTTCATTGACACACACAAAGAAGCAGCTTCAAACTACAGAACAGGAACAATGAAAATCAAAGGCAAAGGAAAATGAACAAACAGGATAAAGCTAGGTGTTATTTCTTCCTCAGGAATATTTTTAGTTTATTATTTGTTGTTAAAGTTTACTGTGTGCCATTATAATCCTGTACATAAGTTATTTACGATATTTGAATTGCCCTGTTTCTGTAAAGTTTTTCAGGAGGAGATTATTGTCATTATTATATGCATTTAGCAGAATGCTTTCTGTTGCCTACTGAATCAAGCTAAAGTCCTCAAACTCGTTCAAGTCCTGACAAAATAACTCCAACCTCTTTCTCCAGCTTTGTCTCCATAACCCCCTCTGCCTGAAATGCCATTCCCCATCTATACCGTACAAATCATTCTCATTCTTCAAGACCTAGATCTAAAGCCAACTCTCGCCAAGAATATTTCTCAGATTCCTCCAGGAGAAAAGGACAATCTCCTCACTCTTTTTAATTCCCATGCATTTTATCTATACACTCCCACAACTGATTTATTTAAAACACCACAACTGGTCTTACATAATAGTTATTTATGCACATCTTGTTTCTACTACTGCGCATTAAGCTCCTTGAGGGAAGATACCATGTCTTCCCTGTCTTTGGAAACTTTGAATTATCTAGGAAAGAACAGGTCACATAGAAGGAGCTCAAAAATAAAAACCAACCAACCCCAATGAATAAATGAAAGCTTTACCGCTATAAATATTCTTGATGCAGAGAAAGGTGGAGCAGGTATAGAGTGGGATCTTTGGAGTGGACATGGCATGGGGCCAGAGAAAATGACTTTGCTGGTAGGGGAGGTAAGAGAAATATATAGACCTGACACTGTAACCAAAAATATTTGCTGCTGTGCAAGTTGATCAGCCAATGTTAGAACAGAGATGAGCTAATTGACTATCCTAGGTCAACAGTTTCTGTCAACAGATTCCTATTTGCAGTCCCTGTTTCTTATAAATGTTTAGTTACAAATCCTGTTAAAATGCTCATAAAGCTTCAGGACTAAAAAGGACCTTAAAGTTCATCTAGCCTAAGGGCCCATTCTATGCTTGAGAAGACTGGGTGACATTCCTGTTAAGTGGTCATCAGTTCTCTGCTGGTGTGTATCCTATAGTAGGCAGTCCTAAAAATAACCAGTAGATTCATACACCCTAATCCCTGGAACCTGTGAATATGGGGAGATATCACTCCCATGATTGTGTTGTTTTATACGACACAGTTCATCCTAAAAAGGGATAGTTGTCTGGATGGATCTAACCTAATCCCCTGAGCCCTTTAAAGCAGAGAACTTTCTCTAGCTGGTGGCAGAAGGAAGGGTCAGAGAGATTCAAAGCACAAGAAGAATTCAACATTCCATTTCTGGCTTCGAAGATGGAGGGGACAGACCAAGGAATTCGGCTGGGTTGGCCCCTAGTAGCTAAGAATGACCCCTGGCTCACAGCCAGCAAGGAACCAGGATGTCGGTCCTCCAACCTCACAGAACAGAACCTGCCAACAACCTGAATGAACCTAGAAGCAGATTTTTCCCCAGAGCCTCTAGATAAGAGCTTAGGCCAGCCATCATTTTGATTTCAGCCTTGTGAGACCCTAAACAGGGTAACTTGCTGAGCCTAACTGGACTTCTGACCCACACAACTGTAAGATAATAAAGGGTATTGTTTTAAGCTGCCAAGTTTAAATTGTGGGTGTTTGGCAGCAATCAAAAGCCTATATGCCTCCATTAATATGAAGTCACTGCCTCTTCCATCTTTGGAGAGCTTTGGTTAGTAGAAAGCTTTTGTTTCAATTCAACGAATTATTCCTTCCTGCAACACCCATTGATACTACTTCTATCACTTGGTTCACTCAGAGCAAATGTAATTCTTATTCACATGACAGCTCATCAAGAATTAAAATCAGTTTTCTGCAGCTTTCTTTCTACTGCATGGCTTTGAGAGCTTCTGCCACCCTGTTCACCAACATATGAGCATGGTCTCATTTTTTCAGATGACTAACATAATGAGTCACTCACAAAAAACACTGTCAATGCACTCCTTGCATTTCTGAATATCATGGGCCAGCTCTACCAGCTTCCTGCAGCTTGAAGCCTAAGTCCCACATACGTTGATAATTTGTACTACAAGATGGATTACCTTCCAGTGTCCAGAGAGAAACTGTCTTGATATCTCCAGAGATGGAGATGGCTACTCAGCCATTGTTTCATCATGACTGGTAGAAAAAAAAAAATGACCCAAAAGAAGGCTAATTTTTCAATTCAAGACAGCAACTTGACATCCACCTCAACATATGTGTGGTTTATGAAGTTTATGAAGGAACATGCCCTCTGACAATGATGGAATAACTGGTACTGAACTAGCTCTCCCACTGTAAACAGCTATAAAACTGGGGAAAAATATATGAAACAACTCTTTTCAGACATTGAACAATAAACAGCACTACACTATGATCCTTGAAAGAATACGGAGTGGAGCAGTCAGGGCCCTAGGAATAATGGGGGCAGATGTAGAGCTAAGAAGCAATGAAGTAATAACTGGAACACGGCATGAGCCTCTCAGTTGCCCTCACTTTCTACCTGGAGGCACTTTCCAGCCTTTAGTGCAGGAAGATGGAACCTAAGTAAAGAATAGTAGTCTGGTTGAGCCGAGGAGACTGAGATAAGTGTTTATTGCTGACAAGTTAGCCAGCATTTGCAGGCCATGGTACCATAGTGGAGGGAGCAGCACAGGGAAAGAGCTCCACAAATCTGCATAAGGGATTTCTGTACGTCTTCGTCTATTAAGTTGTGCATGTGCACAAGGTCTACCAGAGAATATTTCTGAGAGACATAGGAGCACCTGCTGACCAAAGTAGATGGAGCTCATTGAACATTCCAGGCATTCAATTGAGATCCCAGAATGTTTATACCCTGGGAGTAGTACCACTCTATCTTTCCAAGTTAAGTGTATTCTAGGCCCACCTGTAATGAGTTGAAAAGTGGTCGTTCCAAAAATACATCTAAGTTCAAAACTTCAACACCTGTGAATGTGACTTTATTTGAAAAAAGTTTTTTCTACAATGTAATCAAGTTTGGGACCTCATGATCCTGGAATAGCTGGGTGGGCCCTAATTCCAATAACAAGCACCCTTGCAAGAGACAGGAAAAGAGGACAGACACAGAGGAGAAAACCATGTGAAGATGAAGGCAGTGATTGAAGTTATGCATCCACAAGCCAAGGGGTGTCTACAGCCACCAGAAACTGGAAGAGGCAAGGAAGGATTCTCCCCTAGAGTCTTCCAACGGAGTGCAGCCCTGCCAACAGCATGATTTGGCCTCCAGAATAGTAAGAAAATAAATTTCTGTTGATTCAAGTCATAAAGTTTGTGGTAATTTATTAAGACAGTCCTAGGAAATGAATACACCACCCTAACAAAACTGGAAAATCAAACACCAAGAGGGTCCAGCTGACCTTCTAGTAAATATGCTACCCGCCAAAATGAAGCTCAATCTTTAACAGAAGACAGTAAAATCCAGACTCTCAACCTTGTAGCATTAGCCATAGCCAGTATAAAATTAAAAGTAAAAAAATGCTTAGATATGCAAAGGAGCAAGAAAATGTGAACTGTAGCCAAAAAGAGAGAGAGATCTAGAGATGAAACATATGTTGGACTTTACAGACAAGACTATGTTTAAGAATTTAAAGAAAAAGAAACATACAGTGGATGAACAAAGAATCTTAGCACAAAAAAAGTAATAATAGAATGAAATGGAAATTCTATAACTGAAAATTACATAACCTGAAATGAAGTCTGCAAATATCTGAAATATACAGACATTTTTCATTTAAGAATCAAGGCACATTAGAAATATCGTAAGGTTTGGTATTCAAATTTTAGCTTCACAATTCACTAGTCATGGAATTTGGGGCAAGTTACAGTGGTAGATTAATTTTCTTCTGAACTGTACAGCATCACACTTCCCAAGCTATTTCTTCTGGCTTTACTTTTTGTCCCTGCCATAACCAAGGGTTCAAATGAAAGTAGCCATCTTAGAAATCTCACATTCCATTCCAGAGTAGTTGGTCCAAGGTATGGTGGCACCTGACCTAAGCTTGGACAATTAGAGTCTTTCCCTCATCATTTTTAAATAGAACTAAAAGAGAACAGGGTCAAGTTTCTCTTAGTCAGAGATTCCTCTGTGCCTAATTAAATGATGCTCTCCTCTCAGGATACCTGATTGGCCTTATTGGCCTTACTCCAATTCTTCAATAGGGATTGTTTTTTTTTAAGTTGGCCTTCTCTCTGTTAAAAAAAGAAAACCATCAAGTTGCATAGTTTGAAGAGAACTTGGTGCAAATGTTTTTATGTTACCTCTTCTTGCCGCTGAGGACAGTGAAGTACTCAAAAAACAAGTGGTTCTCTTCAACTGTCTCCTATTTTTCTACCAGACACATTATACTCCCACTCATTATTCCCCCAAATGTCCATATCCTGTCTTGACTTATGTTAATCTCTCCACCTAGAACTCCTTTCCTTCTTTTCTCTTCTTATAAAAATTCCACGTATTCCTTTAATGCTTAGTCTAGTGATCATCTCCTCTGTGCAACTTTCCCTGGTTCTTCCAAGACAGCGTAATTCTCTTCCTCATATCTCTACTATGGAATTTTTTAAACCTCCTTCAGAGTATGTAGTATCATATTACTTGCATTAAAGCTCATTCTGTTGATGTGTATCTTTCCCCAAAGTGTAAGCTTTGTAGGAACAAGAATTGCATCTTTACTCCTCTTTGAAGCCCTCACTGATCCTGCCTAGTGAAGCTTAGAACATATAATGATTAATCAATATTGCATTAGTAGAGACTAACTAATCTCAAAAATTTAATTTATGAACATATTAGAACTATAAAAATGTATTAGAAGAACTGGAATTTCTTTCTGGGTAAAGGTAAAAATCAATAGAATTCTGGCTTTGAATGCAGCTAGCACATAATAGGTAGACAACTAACACTTGTTAAATTGAATGACATAATCAGGTCCACAGCTGCTAATCAGAAAAATCCTTACAGATAAGGAAACTGAGGTCAAGAGAGGTTGGGCAAATTTCCTGAAGTCACAGAGCAAGTAGTGGCAGAACTATCTTTCTATTAGATAAACTTCCTCCCATTCACACCTTTTCCATTGCATTACCGTAAAACCCAGCCTTTGCAACATTACATTTCAATGATTCTCTCTCCATCTCCCTTCTCCCTTTTTCCCCCATTTCAACCCCGATAAATACCTTGTATCTTTATGGAAAGGCTCCTCTTTAATCTCACTTTTCACAAGACTCTCAAGGTGCTGAGGGGGTACTCAAATTGCAAAACTTGAATAGAAGTTTCACTGGAGGTGCATGGAGAGCTATTTTCTGCTGAATTCCATTAGTCATAGCCCAGGTTGGGGGAGAAAGTTTTCATTTTTGTGAGTCACTGTTTATCTGTCTATAAATTTAGTAATGAAATGCCTATGCCACAGGGATGTGAAGAAATTTCATTTTTGCTTATAAAATCCTCAGGGCGTGTTTGGATACAAAATGCAATAACACTATAAAATATTGCCCTGATATTGCTATCTCCAAGCCTGGAACTCATTTCTGCATTATGAGAAGCAAAGAAGATTTATAGGAAAGATAAGGAGATAGCTTTTCTCAAGTATTTAAATGAGGTTTTTCTTTAAATAGTCATTGTCTGCTAGTGTCCTCTTAGGAGCTGACAAAGAATATTTGTCAGTGGCTCTAGAAATGTTCTATTTATCAGTGGTCAGGGTAATACTTTAGTAATGGTAAAAACAACTACGATTTATTAAACCCTACTACAAGACCACTTTCAACCATCGTTACCTTAAATCCTCACAAAATCTTTGCAGAATACTTGTTAATAGTACTTTACAGATAAGGAAATGGAGGTTCAGAGAAGTTGAGCAAATTTCCTCAAGTCACAGAGGGGCAGAGCTGGGATTCACGACCAGATATTTATGACTCCAGAGCTTTTGCTTTTTCTACTACTAGTCTACATAAGACCAAGTAACATAGATCTATAATCTACTATTCAAAGTCAGACTCTTCATTTTTATCTTCATTGTTATGGAAACATCTGGCAACTCCTCATTATCTTTAGAAAAAAAAAAGTTTTACAATAAATACAGATAGGGAAGGCACACTCCCAGGACACGGAATAGATACTGTTGGAAGCCTCTCCTGGTTAGTGCGTTAGGAAAAAGTGTAGGCCTGTAATTGTAACCCAAAGAGACAAATTTAGGAGCAAAATGTGGGCACCCTTGACTGTATAAAACCCTGAAGGTAATGGAATCACCCTCCTTCCTGTGCCTCTTAAAATCCTGCTAAATGTGAATAAAGGTGTGAAAAACTAAAACTTCACAAGGTCAAACTGAATAGAAGACATCAATATGTGAAATCTTACAAAAAATGTAAAGACACAAAGCAGATAGAGGAGTGGCAATTGGCTTAGCAGTGAAGGAAGCCAGTAATGCTGCAGAAGAGAATGCTAATGGGAAAGAAGCCTTTGGAGAAATAACTGGAGTCAGCCAGGCAAAAGCACATGGATGTACACGAGAGACCCAAAGATGCCTGGTCAGGCCCCCAGCTGCCTCTTCTCAACCCTGAGCAGCCAGGCAAAGACCACCTCACTCCATGCAACTCCCACGAGAAATCTTGAAGTTGGTCCTTGGAAGGAACTAAATCATTAAGCCTTTGGAAAAAACAAGCAGAGCTCAGGCAAGGCTGAAGCACAGGGGCTGAAAATAGAAATAATAAGAGACAGCCATTACCCCAGACATCTTGCCTTGCTCCAAAAAAACCAGCAGCCTGACAGACAAGCAAGGGGATTATGATTGCAAGGAAACCAAATAACCTCAGGTAAAAGACTTCTAATTTCTGCTGTGGGAGACTTCCCAACAAAACGGGCAACTTGCTGCCAGACCACCCTATAGGGAGGCTTATCAGAAGAAACACTATGCCCACCCAGAGGTCCTGATTGGGCCTTTAATCATTGAATTCTTACTGGTTAACACTAAATGTGAATAGGCAGGAAAAAAAATCACTAGATATGAAAAATGGACTCTCACGTGAAATGGAGAGACCAAATCAAGACAGCAGAACTCTGGAAGATATAAAAGAAACAATCAATTTAAAAATAGCTGTTTAAAAATATAATTAATATCTTCAGAAAGATAAGAGAACATAATGTGTACTATGAACAAGAACAAGACGCTATGGGCAGGTAAAATCCAGAAAATAAGAAAGAATGTTTGTTGAAACTTAATAACTACATATTTTGATGCAGTAGAACTGTTGAAAGGTAAAGTTGGGGGATCATTTAGAAAGTAGATCTAAAAGACAAAGAGGAGAGAAAGATAAAATCAGTTAATTAATTCAAGACATACAACATCTAATAACTCCTGTAAAAAAGAAAAAAATGAGAGGAAAAAAAAACAGAAGAAAAATTTATCAAATAAATAATGCTGGAAATGTTCCCATAAATGAAGCATATGAGTTTCAAGACTGTAAGGGCCCACCAAGTGACCCAGCACAATAAATGAAAACACCATGTTAAATTATAGCAAACTGATATCCCAAAGCCCAGGGATTAGTGTATGATCTTCCAGTCTGCAGAGAGAAAAAAACAATTCACATTCAAAGAACAAGAATCAAATTGGCATCACACAGTGAAGCAAGCCTTCAAAAGTAAAAGAAAATGATTTTAACAGAAAATTCTCTATCCAGTCAACCTATTCATCAAATGGAAGGCCAGACTAAGTCTATTTTTTGAGGTACAATGATGAAAATATATTCCTCCCAACCACTTTTGTCAAGAAACTATTGGGAGTTGTGCTCTTGCAAATAAGCATGACACAGACAACTAGCTATTCGTCAGAAATTATAATCTTCCTTCCGTCCACAAAGCTTTCCTTGGGTACCTGCTACCCAGCCAGGGACTACTCTTCCTAGCCCTCTTTGTATCTGGGCTTGGCCATACAACTGGGTGTAGCAATATTCCACAATAGGATGGGGCAGACGTGACTTGTGTTATTTCTGGGCCAAAGTGATTAAGAAGCAGAGGTGTCTGCTATATTCACTCTTTCTTCATCCTCCGGCTAAAAGCAGAGAACTCCAATGCTCTAGGGAAAAAGCCATAAAATAGAAGGAGAGACAAGAGAAATGTAAGTGGGAATAAAATATTGTGTTATGTCACCAGAATGCTGGAGTTTATGACAGCAGTGTTACCCTAACATGGTAGCTAGTCTCAAAGGTGGCTGCCAACTAGTTCTTCCCTCCCTCTGTCCACATACTGCTCCTCACATCAAAAGATGTCTAATTTCCTCCCCTGGAATCCATGCTTGCCGTAGTGATTTTCTTGAACAAATATGGCAAAAGTGGTGTTCTAGGTCTTCCAAAGTCAGATAATAAGAAGCCTTGCAGATTTCCTCAGGGCATTTTAAAAAGCTCACTCTTCAGATGCTCCACCACAAAACCAAGCTGCTGTCCTGTGAAAAGTCCAAGCCACATGGAGAGGCCATGCATAGCTGCTCTGGTTGACTGATCAAGCTGAGCTCCCAGCCAACAACCAGCACCATCCCCCGGCTGTGTGAGGGAGCCGCCATCACTGTGCAGAACACTCAAGCCCCAAGATGACTGCAGACGTGCCAGCACCCCAAGTCACTAGCACACGGCACAGAAGAACAACACAGTTAACCCACGGAATGGTGGAAATCAGAAACTGCTTCATGCCATCAAGTTTTAGGGTGATTTGTTATGCAGCAATAAGTAACTAGAACACTTACATAATATGGCAAGGGAGTAAATTAAGAAAAGGAAGACACGGAGTCCAGGAAAAAAGAACAAATTTTATGGAGAATCCCAGGTTAAGAGCGGTGCAGCAGACCCAGAAAATGACTAGTCACTTCTGGAATGGAAGAGAGGGTATCTAGAGAGAAAAAGCTTTAGGAAAAACATGAATTTCATGAGTTATCCAATATATGTGAACATTTAGAAAAAAATATCAAGAGGTATGTGACATTGGATGGAATGCCTGAGAAAAATAAGGATAGAGACAATCATGAAAATGAAAAACAAGGCAAGTATTTGCCCCAGGAAAATAAAAATTAATTTAAAAATGCAATAATTATAAATAACTTGATTCATAAATAATCAAAAATAACACGGTTACAAAAAGGTAAATGCTGATGAATTAGAAAGTGTGAGACAATAAGATTAAGAGGTTGGGGCAGGAAATAAGAAGGGAAAGGATGTACCAGAGCTAAATAGAAACAGAGGTAAACATCAGAAAAAATATCAAAAAGAGTACATAATTATCTGTGGAAAGAGGAACCAGGTACGGGAGGAGTAGGTCACGGTGCTACCACTTCCATTGTAAGCAGAACAGGGACATAGAATCTTTAGGCTACACCACTTGCTTAACTGTCAGCTCCACCACTTATTAGGTCTTTGAACTCAGGCAACTAAATTAACCTCTTCATGTCCCAGTGTCCCATCTGTAAGACAGAGACAATACTACTAAGTTGCTGTGATTATTAAATGAGTTCGGATGTATAAAACATTTAGAACTGTGCCTGACACATGTGAGTGCATGCCATGTGTTTTCTATTAGTACATCCAGCCTTTTAGCCTCATTGGATTTTAATCCAGGTGCAAGAACTACTTTGAGAAAAACGAAAGTTAACTTAAAAAATTAAAAATTCTAAAATGAATCCAGAAATTAGAGACTTGCTTGCAAGCCTTTCTCATATTCTCGACTGAGTGTATAGGTCCATAGAAAAAGTTTGATGCAATTTCTTTATTTCTAAAGTGAGCATGATACCTTGTCTCACAGGGCGGCAAGGAGAATCAAATCCGTTAATACGTTTGCAATAACTAAAACAACTCCAGGCATGTAATAAGGGCCCAAATATAAGTCCCCAACCCACTACCCAAATTTCAGAACATTTTATCAACAAAAAATACAATCAATGAAGAAAAGTTAAAGCAATAGGATTACTTGGCAAGGGTAAGAAAAGTTTGAGGGACAGAATTAATAACTGCCAAATTATCTACATAGAGAAGGTGTTTGCTGTCCATCTTCAGGGAAAGGGATAGAAGAAAGTACTCCAGGTTTGAGATAAAGGAAGACTTTGGTCTTGTGAAGGAACATTAAACATACAAATGGATTATGAAAGGAGGCATTAAAAACCCCTTCGTGGGAGTTTTAAAAGCAGAACTTGATTCTGTGGTTTAGGATGAGTTTCCAGTGCTCCTGGCAACACAGGAGTCATGGACAACAAGACTTCTGCTGTCAGAATCCGCGATTCATTGAACATAAATATTTGCCCACGTATGTGGGGCTTCCGAGGGGGCGTGCCAACCCTGGTTCTTTAATGAGGCAGAATCCCATTAAAAAATGCAATTTCAGAACATTTTATCAACAAAACAATATATAACCAATGAAGAAAACTTAAAAGCATTAGGATTATTTGACAAGGGTAAGAAAATGGCTGACACCATAGTCAGCCATTCAGCGCCCTCTGCCCAAGCCCCACGATGTACCTGGTTTTCCTTCACTCCTCATCTTTTCTCTAGTTTCATCCTTTAACTCCACGCCCTGACTTTAGTCTCTGCCCCCTACCCTTCCTAGATTCAGCTCTGTTCACTACCTCCTTATGGGCACTGAGACCTTGGCAATTCTCTATGACTCCCATGCCTTCAAGGTGAGACTTTTGCACTTCGGCTAGTAGACTAGATCATTAGAAGGTGAAACAAGGGCAATTTCCAAGTCAGTGTAAAACAAATGAATACATTAAAGGTTGTGTGTTTTCAGCGTAAAACAAATGAATACATTAAAGGGCGTGTGTGAGCACTGACTTAGTTGGGAAATAAGTGAGCTGAAGCGGAATTTGAAAGTCCCTCTAAGTGAACTACTTTAGAGGTATAGAATGCATCTCTAGATACAGTAAATACAACTGCTTATATGTCAGACTCCAGTTCTATTTCTAGCCCAGCACTAATTCTGTCCCTCTCCCTATACTTCCCTCCATATTCCCCATCCCACCCCTTTCTCCACCCCCAGAAGAGTTGATGTGATCACAGAAGAGTTAATTCGAGTTGGTCATTTTCCATCCAGAATGCTGATTAGTCATGAACATCATGTGAAAGGTCATATGCATGAACGTAGGCAGGTCTTTTCCTACCTACTTCCAAGTGGCTGGATGTGTAGGCTGAGTGGGGACCTGAAAGCCCCAGCCTGTGAGATGCCTCAGAGTGGTGGTGGGTGAGGTGTTAGACCCTACGAGCAGGCAGGCAGCAGAAGAGCAAATGAGCAAGTCCCTGTGCAATTAGGAAGGTGTCATCTTTTGGAACTCAGGATGGCGGCCCAAGTTCATGAAAACTTCGTGAAATTATCATAAATAAAGGCATAAGTGAGAAATATAAAAACCCATGTCTGGAATACTATTGTTCAAAGGGCAGCTGTCAGAGCAGAGGTAAATGTACAGTGACGGGCTGGGAAGGCTTCGGAATTGGTATATTTGCAGAACACTATTGTTTACACAGGGAACGCCAGCAACAGAAGAAATAGATCCGATTTTAAAAACAGATTTTGGTCCTATAATGAGAAGAGGGATTAAAGAAAAAAGGAAAGAGAAAACACTGTCATCCAGGAAACACTGTCAGTCCTGCCCAGGTTAAAGGAAAAATTAGAACAACTTCAGGAACAAGTCAAAAATTTTAAACATACTTGGGCTAGCCTGAAAAACATAAGGTAGCAAGAGAAAACTAGAGAACTGGAAACATATCCCGCAGCTGCGAACAGCAGAGACGATAGGAAGTAAAGCTTCTAGTGACAGTAAAGTGGAATAAGATAAAGTCAGACAACTAAATAGCTGAGAAAAGGCAAGATGTTGGACAAGAGTGTATAAAAAATATAAATCGTTTCCTCTGAGTCCCCAAGATCTCAGACTATGAAGCAATAACTGCTGTTTCAATGCAGAAATCTATTGAGGACAGGGGCTCTTTCCATACATTTGTATTAGAGGAGTTAAAATTGTAATTGTTGGTTTAAATGTCTAGAAGCTAGTGGGGTACCTAATAAAGATATTCACTGAATTTAAAAATATTACATACATGGCTTCCACTTTGAATTTCTGAATCCTTTATACTTGATTTTGAGACTGCTTTAATATAAAAAAATCAAATGCAGTTAAAATTGCATTATTAATTCTGAAAAGGTATGTGAAAATTAGGGTGTTTACATGTCATATAGTGGGTGCACTTAGGAATCTCAAGTGTACTGATGATCTAAAACCAGTTTCTGACATTAACCACACAATCTTCCATGGCATTCTCTAGGTAGAGATCAGTAAAACTATGGCCAGAGCCACATGAGTAGTTGAAATAATTAAAGCTCCTTTTAAGCGCAATGCATTTGGTTAGAATTCACATGTAAATTGTGGATGTTAATCATTTTATTAACAAGGTACTATTTTGAGTGTGTGTTTTAGCTAGGAATTATCTTACAAATATCCCAGAGCAAAATTAAATTGCTCATTTTCAGGTGTTTAAATCCCTTACAGGTATATCTTGGGGCAGCATAATTGGGGAAAAAAAAAAACCTGTTTTCAACTAACTAAAAAGATATGGATTGAAATGTTCCATTATAATTCCCATACTAATATCTCCTGCCAACATATAGAGTAGCCCATTAAATCCACAACAGTTCAGATAAAGAATACACTTAACACTACCGAGTATAAGGTTGTTAAACAATTAATCTAATACACTGAACCCTTCTCCCCTAAGAATATAAACTCCAGCTTACGGTACACCTTCAACCAATGGAGAGAAAAGGAGGTTTTCATATATATTACATTTCATTAGTCTCTTCAATTCTCCATCATTTCCTGATTTTTTAAAGAAACCTAACTGAATTATTTCATATAAAGACCTACTTATATTTCACAGTACCAATTTTCATGCACACTTAAAGAAATTGATAATAACCTCCTTCATTTGCAGAAAATAGACCATAGCTTACCACTTGAAGTTTATTTACTTGAACTTTCCAATGAGACAACTTCAGTGTTTAGACAATCAAGAATTCTTCCCCTAAAGCAATCTGTAAGAAAGGTGGCTATTTTAATACTTGGAAAATCAAATATGAAGTTTGCTTAATAAAGTAAGACTCTTCAAAGTTACCCACAAAAAAAGTATGCTAGAAATGCCATCATTTGATCAATACAGGAGTTCTCAAATTCCATAGGAAAAAATGTAATAGGCAGTAGGTGAGAAATTTTTATTTTTTTAATTATAAATTCTGAAATACCTGAAATAAACACTGAAAAGACAAAGTCCATTAGTTTATCTCCTTGATTCCTAGTGGAATTGATGTCCTAATTATTAGATAAATATAGATCTAAAATAGATATGACATGATTTCAGGTCATCAGTTACTTTTTTAATCCTAGCCTTTAGATTTTAAAAATGATAATAATCTGGCTCATGAAATGCTATATCTTTTAATAGAGCACATGTACTTTAAATTAAACAATATGTTACCAAGAAGGAATATTCTGATTATTTAGAATAAATGTACTTGACAAACATCAGTTGCTGATTGTCTTATAAGTGCCTGAAATTATCAAAGCACCAATTTCAATAATAGTCATATTCATAAAACAGTATTGCTGATTTCTCTTGGTGAGTTCTACAAGACATTAGATTTCCTTCTTTTTTATTAAAAATAAACGTTTTGCTTTGTGTACTAGATTGAGTGGTGTTTGCTAAGCATTGCATTTTACCGACATAGCCTGGCTTAATACTGACAGGTATTTCTTCTTATGACAAATATATATATATATATATCATAAAATCACAGACTATAGGGTTGGAAGGTACCACCTTAGACATTATATTCATATCTTTTGGGAAGTATACTATGCAGAGAAATATGAATGTAGAAATTTATTGTGGTACAATGCTTTGTCAAAATATCAAACAAAAAGGAAGCACTAATACTCATAGCTTTAACATAACATTTTTTACTTGATATTTAAAGTAAGATGGGCTAATTATAAAAACTCGGAAAGCATGAAGGGAATAAAGCTATGCTACCCATAATCTTACCTCACAAAGATTTTCTCTTATGCCTAGAGAAAAAATTCAATTCACCCAAATACCCAGGGAATTTGCGTAGGGAAATATTTAAATATATTTCGGTATATATTCTTTTGCTCTATTTTTTATGTGTTTTTTACATAGTTGATGTCTTACCCCGGTATTCAAATCTTAATAAATTTTGAAGTGGTTTCCAAGCCTCTTCTCCCTTTCCCCTCCTGCCAGCTTTCTCTCCCATTTTCTGTTCCCATTAGAATGTGACAGCTCAATCCATATGATAAGGTGTCCGTATTTGTCCAGCCTTGTCTACTATTGCCGTGAAGAAAAGTGTGAGCCAGCAGTGTTGGTGCACATCACCCTGAAAACATTGTTGTGGAAACAAATATCTCCCACTCCTCAGCTCACCTCCAAAATAAGGTGAAAAAACAGGGAACTCTACCCCAAATATTTTACCAACTCTTTTCTTGAATTTGTCCCTATTATACAAATTTTGGTGGTATCACTGAGGTTTATGTCCATTTGTAAGAAAAGAGTACCCTTAATGGGAGAAACTATAGCTGCTTATCCATATAATTTCATTTTAAAGTAAGAAACAATATAAACAGACCCAGATACAATATAAACAGACCCATCTACTAAAAGTGCCAGGACAACGTATTATAAATGGAAAACAGTTTTGTCTTAAGTCAAATCTACTTTTCAAAATGGTTTAATGACATTCCTCTTAATTCAAGAAGAATCTGTGAGAAAAATCAATTTCAGGGTGCTTCGGCTCCCTCCCTCATGAGGGAAGTTCACTGTGTCATAGTTCCAATGACAACCAAGAAAATTATAAGAAATACCAGGAAGATTAAGATACCAGTTAGGTAAACAAGCCAAAAATATCAGAAAACATGCTGAAGAGCTAATTCACAAAAGAATAAATACAACTGGTAAACAGATATTTTTCTTTCATACTCAGACTAATTGGTCATAAAATAAATACAAATCTAAAACAGAAAATCCAAGTTTCTGCCTATTAAGTAAAAATTTTAAATTTTTAGCTGACAATTTCCATGACATTGCTAAAACTGATAAACCCCTAGTACTTGTGAAATTTGCAAATTTGTAAGACTAGGAAAAATGTTAGGCATGTGACATAAAACATTTTGCCTACTTGATAAAGTGAGGTTAGAAGTAACCTCAGTTCTATGAGTTTATTTTAAGAAATAATCTCAAAAAAGGAATAAGGCCACATGCACCAAAACAATCAAGTAAAATCAGAATTAATATAAATGTCCAGCAATAAAAGAATAAAGTTAAAACATCGCACATCTTCAATGGAACACTCAGCATCCCTTGAAAGAATCATTGTAAATACCACCAAATAGTATGTATTTTAGAAAAAACAGACAATAAGATCATAGGTGTAACATGACTCTAAGTATCCAAAAGATAACTCTATAGTCATGTTTGTGTTTACTGAATTGTAATATATCATTTTCAAAAGGAAACCATTATATATATGGTTCCCACTACATATAGTATACATATATAGTAGATGTATGTGTATGTGTGTGTGTGTGTGTGTGTGTGTGTATAACTTTATATATATATCTTGAGGTCAGAAGTGCGAGACCAGCCTGGCCAACATGGTGAAACCCCATCTCTACTAGAAATACAAAAATTAGCCAGGCTTGGTGGCGCATGCCTATAGTACCAGCTACTCGGGAGTCTGAGGCAGGAGAATCGCCTAAAACCAGGAGGTGGAGGTTGCAGTGAGCTGAGATCGCAGCACTGCACTCCAGCCTGGGCGACAGAGTGAGACACCGTCTCAAAAAAATTAAAATTAAAATTAAAAAAAAGACAATGAAATGGTCAGTCTCACACATTGCTGGTGGTAGAATGAATGGCATAAATTTTAGGGATTAATCCTCAGAAGATATTGACATTGACCCAAAGAGACAAACTTAAATTCAGAAAAACAAGCCTTCAGTATAAAACATCACTGCAGCATCAATTGACATGTAGAAAAACTGAATAGCACCTAAATGTCCAACAGCTGGGTAATACATATGCAAAATGTGATGCGTATACTTACTTAGAACAGTATTACATGGCCACTAAAAAAGATGCTTACAAAAGTAATAACACAAGGGAATGAGTTAGCTATAATTGTAAATGAAAAAGAAGGGCGTAAAATGGTACACAAACAGCATCATTACAATTCTTTTTTTAAAACACTGTGTGCATAAAGCAAAGAAATATATCAAAATTTTACTCATTTATATTTGGGTAACAAGATTATGGTTAACTTTTCTTTTTTTCTCTTTTTTTCTTTTATTCCTTATCTTCTGATGAATTTTAAATGACCCCATTTCTCATTGTAATCCTTAAATTGTTAAAACAGGCCAGGTGCAGTGGCTCACACCTGTAACCCCAGTGCTTTGGGAGGCCGAGGAGGGTGGAACACCTGAGGTCAGGAGTTTGAGAGAAGCCTGGCTGACATGGTGAAACCCTGTCCCTACTAAAACTCCAAAAAAAAAAAAAAAAAAAGCTGGGCATGGTGGTGCACGCCTGTAGTCCCAGCTACTCGGGAGACTGAGGCAGGAGAATCGATTGAACCTGGGAGGCAGAGGTTGCAGGGAGCCGAGATCATGCCACTGCACTCCAGCCTGGGCAACAGAGTGAGACTCCATCTCAAAAAAAAAAATTGTTAAAACAGCAAGAATACTTTTTATGCCACTGAAAATTTCTGGCACAAAATGCAAAAACAGGTTTGCATCTCGGTTAAAAATAATAATAATATCTTACAGTAAGTATTATGCTTTTAACTTTCCAAAGTACCTCTTAATCTTCTCATAGTCTTAAAACATCTCTCCAATGCAGATAAAGGCATTTTGTCATACTTTTTAATTTGTATTTTTAGAGACAGGGCCTCACTATGTTGTCCAGGTTGGACTCTACCTCCTGGCTCAGGGGATCTTCCTGCCTCAGCCTCCAGAGTAGCTGGGACTGTAGGTGCACTCCACCACAGCCAGCTATTTTGCCATCTTTTTAAATACAACATATATACTGAGGACATCTTGCAATAGATGCTGTAGTGTGTATAGAGAACATGAGATAATAAGCCATGGTTCCTGAAGCTGAATCGCTCACAGCCTAGAGGAAACAAATGAAGAAATAGACAATGGTGACAACTACAGAGGAGAGACATGGGAGGGACTAAACCTGCCCCAGGGAGCAGGGACAGCTGAGCCTGGGCTTGAAGTGGGAGTGGGAGTTTGACAGCTGGAGAAGAGGAGGAAGACAAAAGGAGGTGGTGTCTTCATCCATCCACAATCTAGAGCTTGAGAAAGACGAGTTAGCAGGGCAGATGGCCTGCAGGGAGGGCCAACCCTGGTGTGCACATGGGAGAACGTGGGGACATAGAAGACATGCAGGGTCCAAAAATCAAGTGATACCCAGCTCTAGTCAGGGCTGGGACTAGAACCCAGATCTAACCAACAACCCTTTCTCCATCAACGGCAGGGAAAAATAATTAAATTATAATTTAAAAAAAAAACCCACCTGGATTAATGTCTCAGCTCTGTAAGGATCATCTTGCTGAGCCTGCTGCTTATCTGAAGGACGCCTTCCTCCCACGTTGGAGGGAACTAAGAAATAATAGATGTAATCATAAAGTCCTTTTCAAACTCCAGAAACATAAGGTACCATTGACACTCTTCTTCCCAGTGTTGCAGGGAACCACAGCCTTTATTTTGAAGGTTGTATAGCCCATGGCAAATTTCCTGCAGCACCATGGTTCTCAAACTTTGAAGTACGTTAGAAACACCGGGAGAGCTGTTACAACTTTCTGCTGCCCAGGTGCATTACCCATTAAATCAGAAACTCTGGAGGTGTGGTCCACGCAGGGAGCCTTTTAAAACTTCCCCAGATGATTCCAATGTTCAGCCAAGTTATCCAAAGTATGGTCCAAGGACCATCAGCATCACCTGGGTCTTGGTAGAATCTTGGGCCTCACTCAGACCTGCTGTATGAGAATCTTCAGTTTAACAAGCTTTCCAGGTGGTTGGTGTACAGATTAAAGTTTGAGGAGCACTGTTCTAGACAGATTTAGCATTCTCCAAATTCCTACTCTGAATTGTCTTTCAGGATGCGGTGGGAAATTAATCCCAGCCTCACCCTCAAGGACTCACTCTCTACTAAGCAGGGCATGCCGGTGCACAGCGCTCTGGAGGTTACGGAGGAGGAGCACCTTTGGCTGAGAGGGTGGAGATAGTGTGTGGAGATCAGGGAAGGCTTTCTGAAGGTGGAGAAGTGGGAATGGAACAGAGCTCAGTGTGGGCAATGCTACATTTTAGAAGCAGCAAGCTTGCACTTTGGAGGTTTCATGTTTCAGGAGGAGGTCCAGATTGGTGACATAATATGTGTGAAAATGCTCTAAAAACTGTAAATCATTATGCAAATGGGTATTTGCATTATCCCTCCCAAGTCCTAGTGGGTCTTTCTCATAACAGAGTCTTCAGGGAATTAAACTCTTAATTGTAGCTAAAGGAAGTCTTCAAATCCAGATGGGTGTTCAGCTAGGTGCCCAAGTCCTTGCAAATGATGAAAATAATTCCAGGCAGCACAATCCAATTTATACCCTCCTCTGCTCAGGGTATCTGACAAGGGGAACCATACATCCTGTTGTGCCTAAGACCATCATAGTTATTCCTGTCATCTGTGCACAATTTGTAATGGTGCCTCCACTCATTCTCAAAAGCTTGGATGATTAAAATATACAGTCACATTTTGTTGGACACAATAGTGCTTCAAAAAATGCAAATGATATTTCTCCATTTTCAGGAGATGGTTCAGGGCTGCCCCTAGCAAGAAGTGTCCAGGCTTGTGTGGAGTCAGCCCCGAATCTGTGTATTTTCTTTGCTTTTTGGGGACACTCTTAGGAGGCCCAGACATTCTGCATGTTCCACACCAGTGTCCTTCATCCCTCATCCATGCAGGCATGAGTGAGGAGCTGCAGAGGCTTTCAGGTGTGCAATTTGCAGGTAACAACAAACACTCTCCTCCACCACCACCTACAACCACCATCGATTCTAAACTGGTCAAAGGACCTTCGCTGGCCATGGAATTTCATGGGGTAAGGAGAGCGAAGCCACACACCACAGCAATGCACCATTCTAGACAAGCTTCAACCTGCCATTTGTGACCCTTCACCAAAGACTGCAGCTGCCAACACCCAGTACATTACTGGCTCCACATTCATTTCTCCAAACAATTTTATAATGTTTGTGAGAAACTGTTCCTGATTTCTGAGCTCCCACTAAGCTCCCTGTAGTTATCTCAGGGAAGGGGACCTTTGAAGGGAGTGACCATTTATTGAGCGTCTCCTATGAGCAACTTATCCTGTAGGGCACATTACATATAGCACCTCACTGGATTCTCACTCACAGCAGCCCTGGGAAGAACCCTCCATGCTCCCCATTTTACACATGAGAAAAATGGACACTAGGGGAGGCTAAATTGACCAAAGTCACTATTTACAACACTGCAGACCTATGCTTTAACTCACAATGGTCCCGTTTATTTTTTTTCATTTCTACCACATCCAAGACAAATTGTTTCAGGTTGACATGAGGAGGGGACAGAGGAGCAAAACCTGCTGATTTACCTTTTTTCTGTCTTATTCTTCTGCTCTCCCAAACCTCTCTTCTTTGCTGAGATGATCTCCAGCCATTCCATTCTTATTGGTCATTTAGAGACATTAATTTTTTCTTCTAGAACAACACCATACATTAACGACAATCATTCCATTCAATTTTATCGATACTCTAATTGGTCCAAATAATTTTGAATCACAAAATTTGCTATTTCAAAGTGTTGGCAAATTCTTCTAATTTAGAGTTGTCTAAAAATGTTCAAACTATATTTTATTTTTACTCCTTGCAGCCAGCATGTTTATTAAAAACCCAGTCACTGCCAGAAATAAAACTAAATCCAACTCAAACACTCCTAAATTTGTCTTTCCAATAGCTTGATATTATATAATGTATTCCCAAGAGACTTTTAAATGAAATCAAATAATTATATTTATTAAAAACATATCATTATATAGAATTTGGTTTAAGCCAAACCAATAAATATCTATTGAACACCAACACAGTTCCATTCACTGTTTCAGAGGGCGGGAGTACAAAAATGACAGAGACATGTCCCCAGTCCGGAAGACAGAAGAGATAAAGTCAGATAGAGGAGATAAAGCATGCACAGAAATAGATATTACACAGGACTTTTTAAAAATTAGAATTTATCTCTATCATGTACCTAGCACACTGAAGGATGTTTGCTTACATGCATCTTTCTTTCCCTGCACCAAGCTCCCTGAGAACTGGGAACTTGTCCTAATTTTTCTTTTACATTCCAGCAACATAGTCAGGAATTCATTCATAACATGTGCTCAATAAGTGTATGTTTAACAGAACTGAATTGCCTTAAGCTTAAAACCGATTGCCATAAACAAATGGAAATCCATTTCAGATGTACCTTGAAAGAAGGTGCAAGCTTCAACCATTGAGAGATGGTGAAGGGATTGTTTCCAGTAGTGGGAATAGAAAGATGAGAGAGGAGGAGGTAGAATTACATTCACTGCTAGCATCCAGTCTTGCTGAATTTCTCTAAACCCTCAAAGCCCAGCAGGTGCCTACAGCCTGAAGCAGCTCAAAGATCAGAGAGCCCATCCTGCATGTGCCAGGGTGGGCTATGATAATAACGGACCCTAGGATATATGGGATTCCAGATGCACCCTCCTAGAGCAAGGGGCCTTGGATGTGGCTGACGCTCCTCGATTCTCTTCTAACAAGGTTCCCGAGAGTCACAGCCTGGGAGCAGCTATTCCCCTCACTCTGAGAGGTCCACCTTCCGGGCATGCCAGAGCCTCTAGCACCTGTAGCCCTGGGGCTGATTGCTATTCCTTGTCCTATCTTCTTTTCCCAACCTTAACCCGTTACCTGTCCCACATGGATTGTGGGCTCTGCCAGGAACAAGGCTGTCTTCCTCATTCTCTTAACCTGCCCTTAGCACACGCTGAAGCTCCTTCAGTCAGAAAAGCCTAGCATCACTATAGGTATCAGGTAACTTCCCAACAGGGAGCTGCTTTATCACTGCTCATTGCTCAATGGGCTACACCAGTGATGCCCAAAACCCCATCCTTGAAGCCCATGGCTGGACTGTTGTGCATGAATCAGCTGGTGAGTATGTCAAAAAGGTATTCCAGTTTCTACCTCTCAGAGATTCTGATTAAGTGGGTTGGATGTGTGGCAGGAAAATCTGCATTTTATTTTATTTTTTTATTATACTTTAAGTTTTAGGGTACATGTGCACAACGTGCCGGTTTGTTACATATGTACACATGTGCCATGTTGGTGTGCTGCACCCATTAACTTGTCATTTAACATTAGGTATATCTCCTAATACTATCCCTCCCCCCTGCCCCCACTCCACAACAGGCCCCAGTGTGTGATGTTCCCCTTTCTGTGTCCATGTGTTCTCATTGTTCAATTCCCACCTATTAGTGAGAACATGTGGTGTTTGGTTTTTTGTCCTTGCGATAGTTTGCCGAAAATGATGAGTTCATGTCTTTTGCAGGGACAAGGATGAAGCTGGAAAAATCTGCATTTTAAACAGCTCCCCTGGAGATTGTGAGAAGCAGCCATATGTGGAACCCTCCATTCCTGCCACGGGCTGTTGCACCTGTTCTAAGCCCTTGGGCTGGGTCAGGAACACTCACCTTTGTGACTGCTCAGCATCCTACAACATCACATGGAATAGGCTTCCCCATTCCGTCCTACTCCACCCCACCTCAGCATAATCCACCCACACTCTGTGCTTTGTTCAGCAAATGCAGACCACATGCCTCAGGCTGACTTGACACTAGCCTGGACACATCAACATCTGCTGTTCTTCAGTTGCTCAGAGCTGAGCTGTGTCTCCCCAAAGAACTTCCCCCTTTTTTGATGCAGAGTCTTGCTATGTTGCCCAGTGCAGTGGCTACTCACAGGCATGATCATAGCTCATGGTAACCTTGAACTCCCAGGCTCATGCACTCCTCCCAGCTCAGCCTCCCAAGTAGCTAGGTCCCCACCACCACGGCCAGTCTATTATCTTCTAATGCCCAGCCTGGCAGCCCATGCCCCATGGTTATAATCCATATCATGCTCCCCTCTTCCCCCCAACACAAGTACACACAGCTCTGTCTTAGGTGCCCCCCATGTACTCCCCACCTCCAGCATCACCAGGCCTGTTCAGAAGTCAGTGAGTTGGTGACGTCCCTGTTGTCTTCCTTTGAGGTTAAAAACAGGTAACAATTATAAGCCTCTGTCACAGTGCTTGGCACACAGATCTTCAATCGTGTCTTTTGGGTCTGAATCCAGAGAAGACAGAAGAGACCCCATTGGGTCTCTCTGATAGCTAGATTCACTGGGACACTAATAAGGACAGTAGCCACTAATACTTATGTTCGTCTTAAGTGCCAGGAGTATTTTAAGACTTTTCATATATATTGGCTTTTTTCATCCTGATGACCCTCAGCTAACTAAATACTATTTATGATTTCAATTTACAATTGAAGAAATGGAAGCCTAGGGGTGTGACAGAACTTATCCAGAGGCACAGAGCGAATGAGTGGTGGAGTCCCAGTTTCAGTCCAGATAGTCTCCACGGCAGACGGCGTACAGCACCAAGCTGTCCGTCAAGGTCAAATCCCCATTCCAAATCACGGGACATCTGCTTCTGCCTTGCCCACCTGCCCATGTCTCAGCCCAGAGGGAAATACTTCCAACATAATTGCTCTGGGCTGTCGGAAGATATTGTTGTCTCTTTGCGATGACAGATGCCCTCAGATGCCAGGAACAACATTGGAAACCTTGACTTGACAGGGCTGAATTTAATATTATGGGAAGAAGCAGTCTGCTGGGGATCCCAGAGCTCTTTCTGCCTTCCAAAGGGCAGGAAAGCAGATGCTGATATTGTAAGAGAATCTTTCCTTAGACAAACCAAGTACAAAATGCTTCAAGGACTCAGAAGGAAAAAAGCTGTCACCACCCCCTCAATTTTCTCTCTAGCAAAGCTGTGTGCAAAAGTTAAAATCTCTCTTCTCCATCCCAAGGAACTCAAGGGAGACACACTGAAATTTTCAGAAAGATCCTTATCCAAACAACAGGAAAATTAACAATACAGATTCTAAAACAAACAAAGAAAACAAGACTGTGCTTGAATTTAGAAAACCCAAGTTTCTGACCCTATAATAGCAATTTTATGCTTTTCTTTTATAAAAAAAAAATGTGGTGCCAAATATCTTACTAAATTATCGGAGCTCCATGATGAGAACTTATGGATAAAGGAGAAAACAACAGATACTGGGATGTACTTGAGGATGGAGGGAGAGGAGCAGGAGAGGAGCAGAAAAGGAGCAGAAAAGAGAAAAGTATTGGGTACTGGGCTTAATCCCTGGGTGATGAAATAATCTGTACAACAAAGCCCGATTACATGAGTTTACTTATGTAAAAAACCTTGACACATACACCTGAATCTAAAATACAAGTTAAAATAAATAAATAAATAAACTATACGTGGCTTCCCTTTCTAGTCTGGCACATGAACTTGGTCTTCTGCAATGAACTAGTTCAGCTCAACATTTGCCCAGCACTGACCCAACGCCAGGCCCTGTGCTTGTTTTTTTTTTTTTTTAATTTTCCCCAAGCTTTATTGAGGTATAACTGACAAATAAAACTATAAATTTAAGATGTACAACATGGTGATTTGATGTATGCTTATACTGTGAAATGGTTATCACAATCAAGTTTGTTAACATAGCCATTACCTCACATAAATACCTTTTTTTGGTGGAAATATTTATCATGCACACTCTTGGCAAATTTCAAGTAAACAATACAGTATTGTAAACTGTCATCACCACGCTGTGTATTAGAGCCCCAGAGCTCATTCATCTTATAACTGGAGTCTATATTCCTTGACCAACATCTCCTCATTTCCCCCAATCCCAGAGAGTAGAAACCATCCTTTACTCTCTGCTTCCATAAGTTTGATTTTGGTCTTGGAGCCAAGAGATGAGTCAGACATTGCTGGCTTCCAGGCAATCACAGAAAAGAGACATGAACAGAGGGGCAACCTCTGTTAGGTGAGATAAACAGAGGCACAATCCTAATTTATTTTGGACTTTCTCATCTGTTCCTTTCTCCTCGCTTTTTCCCATTCAGAAAGTCTCCTCTCTGGTTGATGGTCTATTCTTTACACCCTACCTGTGTCAGCAAACAGTACATCTTACCTTCCAGGTCATGGTGGCCTCCAACTAAACAGTATAAACTCAACCAGTTGGATTTCTGACTTTCCTGCAGGACTCTGGGAAAGAAAAGAAGTCTTGAGCCTATTCCCTTTCTTCTTTCTCCCAAACACGATAGTGCACTAGGTGGTTGTTTCTTCTTCCTTTGATAGATTTTCAAAACATAAAAAAAAGAAAATGGATGCTCTGATTACTTAAGAGATGTGCCCACATTTTCAGAACTAGTAAGTGAAAGTTGGGACTTTGCCCAGTCTGCCAGCCAGCTAAGCCCACGGGTCTCCTGCTCTCACAGGTTGTTGGCTCAACAATCTCTAGAGGCAAAGGCCCACACAATGGAGACCTGCAACAAGACCCTGTCTCCTAGGAGTCAGCTGCTTTGTCCTCAGGGTGTCCTTGGGTGAGGCGGTACCTTACCTACGTGAAGCCCAGAAAAGAGAAGAGACAAAAGGGTGCAGTTTGCTACTGCAATGGTGAGGAGAAAATGTACAAATTGGGGGAAACAGTAAATCCAGTATCAGGCTACTCTGGGGGATTCATGTCCCATTCCCTTCCCTTCACAGTTCCACATTCTAGACTTGTATGTGAAGATAAGCTGCTTTTTCTCCCAAATGCATATGTTAAATGTGTCTCACATACACACACACACACTGCAGTTGCTATGGGAACCATCCTGGAGAATTTCCTGTCTTTTATGCAATTAAAATTTCACTCTCACATCTTCTTGAAGTGGAATACACTTTCATTCACAAGAGGACACTAAGAAAAAGGTCTCCTGATGAGTTTCATTTCCAATGAGCAGGCTGAATTTCTCCAAATCGGATCATCTTCCAAGAGACTCCCAGCACGCTGGCAATCATCGAATTAGTCCTAATTAATGTTCAGGTGAGCATACAATGCTCAGGCACTGAGTGAGCCTCTCTCTCCTCTTGGCTCTGCAAACTACAGCTTCCCTGCTCCCTCTCAGAGACCCTCTAAAAGTCTCTTCACCTTCCTGGGCCTCTACCAGCCATCTGTGGCAGACCAGAAAGAAGGGGGAGCAAATGCCCATTAATTCAAGGCTGCAGGAATTCTGCCATTGTGACAATTCTCAGAGGGCTCCACTCCAGTTAACCTTCCCTCTCTCGGTGGAGAAGGAGGCTTGCAAATGACTCTTGTTAATACATTAATGTAAGCTAGCCAACTATTTCAAAGCACTGTGGAGGAGTCCATTTACAAACCTAACCTGGGAATTGCCAAGTCAGCATATAGAAGGACCGCTTGAGCCTATGTACAGATAAAAATCAGTTTTATCTGATATGGTTTGGCTCTGTGTCCCCACCCAAATCTCCATGTTGAATTGTAATCCTAATGTGTTGGAGCAGAGGCCTGGTGGGAGGTGATTGCGTCATGGGGGCGGATTTCCCCCTTGTTGTTCTGGTGATAGTGAACGAGTTCTCAGGAGATCTGGTTGTTTAAAAGCATGTAGCGTTTTCCCATTCGCATGCTCTCTCCTGCTCCACCATGGGAAGACATGCTTGCTTCCTCTTCACCTTCCACCATGATTATAAGTTTCCTGAGGTCTCCCCAGCCATGCCTCCTGAACAGCCTGTGGAACTGTGAGTCAATTAAACCTCTTTTCTTTGTAAACTACCCAGTCTTAGGTAGTTCTTCATAGCAATGTGAGAATGGACTAATACATTATCTATTAATTTATCTATTATTTAGTTCATTGGGTTGGAAGCAGAAGACCTAAATTTATATCTCATTTGCAATATTTACCGCCTATGTGCTCCACAAATATTCAAAATTCCTTGAACCACACATTTCTCATCTGGAAAACAGGGCTAACAATGCATAGGGTAGTGTATACCAGATGATGTGGTAAATGACAAATGACAGTGTGAACTTTGCAAATTGCAGAATGTACATGTAAGTTGGTTTTATTGAAGTTATTGCCAATAAGGCCAAGTTCATATACAACTTGCTTGCCAAACTGTGAGTGAAAAATCACAGTTCACTCTATTATTTTATTACTTAAAAATGTTTTTAGTGAGTGACGAATATCAGGGCACATGTACATGTGGGCGGTGAGATTGCCATGAAAGTAGGCACCATGCTGGCTTAATCTCACTGGGCTGGGATCAAACCTTTCTTATCAATTCCTTAAAGCAGGATAACTGCCCTGTATCTGAAAGTAAAGTGCTTAGGCTTCACTGAAAAAACAAAAGCCAACCACTTAGAATGAGATACTCCTGGGTAACTCTGGACTAGTCAGTTTTCAATACATAAAACCACTCTTTCTGCTATTTAACCCAGTTTTACAAATAGGCATAAAAATGAGCCAATGTCTTAGAGAAGATGGGAGCCTGACCTTGCTCCTCAGAATGCAGGAACACAAATCTGCTGAGGACAGAAAATATACATGAAAGCCCCAGCACACTGACCGAGAGTCTAGTCATAGATGATTGCAGTTGCTATGACCTAAACTGAAACTGATTATTTTCCAAAGTTTATGTCCCGCCTACCTCCTGTGGACTCAGCTGCTCTCAGGTAATATGACTGTAATGAATGCTTCCAAGATTCCAAGAAATTGTGAAGGAGCTGGTGATGAATATTTAATACCGAGAGGTGAAGGATGATAAATAAACTGCATTTCTAATTTTCTCTCTGATGAGGACGTTCTACAAAGGCAAGCGGTGTGCAAAGCATTTGGGATGGCTCAAGCCCAATGACAGTAGTGATCAGGCTCCTGCTTGAGAGAGGCCACTATGTGCCAGACACACCTGGGCACTTGGCAGTCATGTTCTCACAGCACCTTCAGAAGGGCCTGGCAAGCTAAGAATTCCTCTCACCATTTTATAGACAAAGTAACTAAGGTGCAGAGAGGGTGAACGACACACCACACAGCCAGTACATGATGGGAACAGACATGGGCATGAGCGTGTCTGAGTCCAGGACAGCACGGCACCCCTCCCACAGGCAGGACTGGGAAGAAGGAATTCCAGCAGTCATTGTCCTAACAATGTTCAAATAGCATAGGCTTGATGACACGTTATGAATTTCCAGAGAAATTTAATGCCCTTATGAGGAACACAAGGTTGATGGAAGGAATCATTGAGTGATCTCTCTACTATTGAACTATCTACTTCCCAGACCTTTCCTTCGCCAGGATTTTCACATATATACACATATAGAGAGAGAGAGATATGTTATATATATATGTATGTTATATACATGTATATATGTTATACACACACACAGCTATTCCAGTGCTACATGTGATTTTATATATATAACAAACAGCCACACATTTGCTTGCTATTCCAAAATCACTTATTGAATATCTCCCATATATAATGTAAGATATTAGACTTATTAGGTGATAAAAAGATGATTACAACTCAGTTCTTATCCTCATGGATTTCAGAGACTAGCAGGAGAAAACCTACATACTTAGATTACAAATATAGTTATATTACAATAGTTATAATGCTACAACATAGTAAATGTCAAATCAAATTATAATTTGACATATCATATATATATAATACTCTAACATAGTATTGTGTCCAGAATTTGTGGGTTCTTGGTCTCACTGACTTCAAGAATGAAGCCGCGGACCCTCGCAGTGAGTGTTACAGCTCTTAAGGTGGCGCGTCTGGAGTTTGTTCCTTCTGATGTTCGGATGTGTTCGGAGTTTCTTCCTTCTGGTGGGCTTGTGGTCTCACTGGCTCAGGAGTGAAGCTGCAGACCTTCGCGGTGAGTGTTACAGCTCATAAAAGCAGTGTGGACCCAAAGAGTGAGCAGTAGCAAGATTTATTGCAAAGAGCGAAAGAACAAAGCTTCCACAGTGTGGAAGGGGACCCCAGGGGGTTGCCACTGCTGGCTCGGGCAGCCTGCTTTTATTCTCTTCTCTGGCCTCACCCACATCCTGCTGATTGGTATAGCCCAGTGGTCTGTTTTGACAGGGCGCTGATTGGTGTGTTTACAATCCCTGAGCTAGACACAAAGGTTCTCCACGTCCCCACTAGATTAGCTAGATACAGAGTGTCGACACAAAGGTTCTCCAAGTCCCCACCAGAGTAGCTAGATACAGTGTTGATTGGTGCATTCACAAACCCTGAGATAGACACAGGCTGCTGATTGGTGTGTTTACAAACCTTGAGCTAGATAGAGAGTGCCTGCCGATTGGTGTATTTACAATCCCTGAGCCAGACATAAAGGTTCTCCAAGGCCCCACCAGAGTAGCTAGATACACAGTGTCGATTGGTGCATTCACAAACCCTGAGCTAGACACAGGGGGTTGATTGGTGTATTTACAATCCCTGAGCTGGACATAAAGGTTCTCCACGTCCCCACCAGACTCAGGAGCCCAGCTGGCCCACCAGACTCAGGAGCCCAGCTGGCTTCACCCAGTGGATCCCGCACCGGGACTGCAGGTGGAGCTGCCTGCCAGTCCCACGCCGTGCGCCCACACTCCTCAGCCCTTGGGTGGTCGATGGGACTGGGTGCTGTGGAGCAGGGGGTGGCACTCACTGGGGAGGCTCGGGCCGCACAGGATCCCACGGAGGTGGTGGGAGGCTCAGGCATGGCGGGCTGCAGGTCCCGAGCCCTGCCCGGCGGGAAGGCAGCTAAGGCCCGGCCAGAAATCGAGCACAGTGCCAGTGGGCTGGCACTGCTGGGGGACCCAGTACACCCTCCGCAGCTGCTGGGCCGGGTGCTAAGCCCCTCATTGCCCAGGGCCGGCAGGGCGGGTCAGCTGCTCCAAGTGCGGGGCCCGCCAAGCCCACGCCCACCCGGAACTCCAGCTGGCCCACAAGCGCCACGCGCAGCCCCTGTTCCCGCTGGCGCCTCTCCCTCCACACCTCCCTGCAAGCTGAGGGAGCCGGCTCCGGCCTTGGCCAGCCCAGAAGGGGGCTCCCACGGTGCAGCGGCGGGCTGAAGGGCTCCTCAAGTGCAGCCAAAGTAGGAGCCCAGGCAGAGAAGGCGCCGAGAGCGAGCGAGGGCTGTGAGGACTGCCAGCACACTGTCACCTCTCAGTATCAAGTATTTTAAAATGCTCAAGCCATTCAGAGGAGGGAGAAATTAATTTCCAGAGCAGAAGTCAAGGCAGGCTTTTGGGGATGCAGCATTTCTTCTGGGCTTTTAGGACATGAATGTTGGTAAGGGGAAGGAGATAGTGTAGGTGGAAGATGCCGATTCTGTACTCCATGTGTTTTGAATGATCAAGGAGTGTCTGGATTGGTGAAGATGATCTGGCAGTTGCTTATATTCTTGTATTTATTTGCCCACTCATGCTTTTGATAAATACACAGGGAGTGCTTATCAAGTGCCAGGTGTGGTTCTAGGTACTGTGAACACAGCAACAAACCAACCCACTCATAAAACTTACATCCCAACACCAAGAAGACAGAAGAACAAATTCATTCTGCATCTCCCAGTTCTCAAAGCTATGAAGAACAATAAACAGGTAAAGGGAAGAGAGGGAGAATTGTACTATTTTATGTAAACGGACTAGGGGAGGTCTCTCATTCTCTCTTTAAAGGTGAGCCACTGTGTAGCTCCTTGAGAGTGAGGGGACGAAGGGTCTCAAGCCTCCTCCTCCTCTGAGCCTGAGCCCAGCCAAGAGATCTCTGAGCTCTTCTGACAGAACAGCTTCTCAGAAGTCATTACCACTTTGTCACTTTTTTGAATTAGGCTCTAACCAACCAGGGGCAAAATATTTATGGCAAGACAGTCTTGGCTGTTAAAAAGCAAATCACATTAAAGCACCTGATATTTCAAGTTCTCCACTGGATTAGTTTTAATTAGAATGCTCTCTCGCTGCTGAAAGATAAATGCAGGACACAGTATCAGAAAATCGGCTTTACTCTAGTGACTCGTGCAAGATAAATCAACTTGAGAAACTCTCAGTTGTTTTCAGACATCTATTTTTTAAATGCCGTAAAAAAATTGGACATACTTTAAAATATTTTTAGGCCACTGGAATCTATAACATTTAAGAGTGTGTCTCAGAACCAAGGATTCAAATGCACAATCTCGCATTATCTTCACAAATTGGATTCCTGGCCTCTGGTCACTAATAAACTTAGTCTCCTTCAACGTAGAAAATCGTTTCTTTACTATCCAGTTCATTTAGCACAGCGTCAGTGTTTGTCCCTTTTTTACTGTATTTTCTGATTTGATGCCAAATGTTTAAAATAAATGATATCTAGACCTACAAATCTATGCAAACAATTTACAGTTTCGGGAAATTTTTAAAAATAGCATTCAATTAGAATTAAGGAAAAGTTTTGGCACACAAATCATGTTTTCAATATTTTTATCATTACATTTTCCTGATTTTTATATTTGTTTCAACATTGTACACAAGAATCCTTGATACTTTCCCCCAAACTGGCATGTGATGATTTATTACCTGCCAAACGGTGAGTGAGGAAAGAGTTACCCTTTGTTTTTAAGACAAGAGTCTCACCCTCTGTCCAGACTGGGGTGCAGTGGCACGATCATGGCTCGTGGCAGCCTCAACCACCAGGCTCATGTCATCCTCCCACTTCAGCCTCCCAAATAGCTGAGACAACAGGCGCAGACCACCACTCCCAGCTGATTTTTTTTTTTTTTTTTTTTTTGTAGAGACAGGGTTGTGCAATGTTGCTCAAGCTAGCCTCGAACTTCTGAACTCAAGCGATCCACCCCCCCTTGGCTTCCCTAAGTGCTGGGATTATAGGTGTGAGCTACCAGACCCAGCAACAGTTAATTTTAATTAAGACTTTAAAAAGTGTTTTCAGGGATCAGTGAGTGACAGATATCATACATTGTATTCTATGGTGAAGTTTATATTTTCAATAGTAAAATTATATTAATAAGGTTGTCAGGATCTGGATTCCTTAGGAAAAGCTGGGAGAACTTCCTGCCAGGAGTGAGCTTAACACCCAAACTGACAACAATTAAACATTGTTTCACTCAGACATGCTGCAACTGTATTATGAATTTTGGCAAGTCTAAGTTACTTGTGCTTATAAAATAAAATCCTTAACACCAAATTTTTAAAAATTCTTATTTTATCATGGTAAGAATACTTAACACAAAACCTACCACCTTAACAGATTGTTAAATGCGCGCATGGGTATTGTTCTCTATAGGCATGATATTACACAGCAGACCTCTAGAATGTATTCATCTTGCATAACTGAAACTGTACACCTGTTGACTAGCGACTCCCCTTACTCGCTCCCCAACATCCCTGGCAGCCACCGTTCTATTCTGTTGCTTCTATGAGTTTGACTATTTTGCATACTCATATTTTAAAGGGGTAGGATTATTTATTTGGAAGAGCGATTCATTTAGTTATTCATTTACACAATGCACTAGTCCTTTTCATCATTTTACTTTACAGTCAGAATAACTCTGGGAGATGGGCATTATTTCAAAGGTTAAGTGACTGCCCCAGGCCATGGCCACATGAGTGGCAAAGGCCAGACTGGAGCCCAGGAATTTCTGACTCAAGGGCAGAGGGGGCTTGTCCCTGCACTGCTGTTCCATTGGAAATGTAAAGGCGAAATAGGGACCAGAGTTCCAGTGGCATTTCTTTCATCCAGATTCTCTTATCAAAGAAAGCTTGGCTGCCTACCTGCTAGAATTTAAGAAAACATGTGACCCTAAACAAGCCTCAGCAAGAGTTGAGAACACTGCACAACTCTCAGGAGACTATTTACTTCCATATTGCAGCTACCTGATACCAGGCAGTGTGATAGCTTGAACCATATTGCCGTAGTTTTCACAGAGAGTAAGAAACTTACTATACTTCTGTAGACATGGAAATCCTTTGAAATATTTGAGTGAGCAGTAATGTGATTGAGGGTATTGCTTTTAGGAGTAATTCTAGCAACATGTGAAGGATGGTTAGACCAGAGGTAAGGGAGACCAGTTTGAAGCCAATCCAAGATGAAAAGGCAAAGAACATGAAAAACACAAATAACATCAAGAAACATATGTGGTAATGAACTTGGTAAAATACTTTGTTTTAATAGTGACTCAATAAGTTTACATGAATTGAACATAGGGTTTTTAATTTAAATTAGCAGAGTTCAAAAGTAAGAATATCTAGTGCTAATGAGCACGTATTATAATAGAAAAAAAATCACAGTCCTTCCAAGAAACAAATTGTCAGCCTTTATCAAGAACTTATCATATTGTTTGATTCAGAAATTCTGCCTTTGGAAATTGATTCAAAGGAATTCTCCGGAAGCCAGAAAAGAGGTTTTATGCACGATGATGTTCATTATGGAATTTTTTATGAGAGTGAAAAAATGGAAAACACCTAGGTATTAATGGGGTATGTTTACTGTGTCGCCTCTATTTAAGGCATTATTATAAAGCTATTAAAATATATAATTATTAAGATGGTTTTACTAAATAATAACTGAAAAAATATTAATTGTATACACAATATGATTACAACTATGCTTTAAAAATGAAATCTATGCTAGCGTAAAATATGAAGGATTCCCATGAAAAGGTCAAAGGTGATTTCTGTTTGGTGATAAGACTAAAGTCAATACTTTATTCTTCTTTCTGTGGTCCTATATAAAAATAAGCTTTATTTAATACATAACTATTCGTTTACAATTAAAAATACGATTTTTAAAATGTCTCTCCCAACTTTCCAAGCACCTGCTTTGCAAACTCAGATGTTCAAAGAAGCCAACTGGTTATGCATGTCCAGCCATCAGCAGTACTTGGGACAGGCCAGCAAGTACTTTCAGGTTCATACATGCTAGCTTGTCCCAATGAGCTCTCTGAGTTTATTAATCCTCACTGCTGCAGGAAGAGGTTTGTGGTTATTGTTCTGTTTCTGACTTTCATTTGTATTTCCTCTACTCCTTGATGTTGGTCATGAGCCTTCACTTAGGATCTACTTAAAACATCATTAAACACTATTTAGTCCTTCTTTGTCATCATTAAGGTAGACATTAAGTCAGGAATTCTTAACCACCCCAGGGGACCTTGGACATGATGCCAAGCAAGGACACAGGACCATATATCATTTCACTTTGCTTTCCACCAAGGGCATTTTTAATACATGTGCTGATTTTCATCTTCATAGAATTTGAACTAATTTTAAAACTAAATTATCCGGATACACTAGGTGAGGCAATTATCTAAGGCCAGCCACTGAGCGCCACCATGGTCTTTTTTTCCCACATAATGGGTAATTCCACTTAGAAACCAGCAGTGGCTGCTGAGACTCATTCAGTGACATGCTGTTTGATAGGTAGGAAGCCAATTCTATCAATGTTTTTGATTTTCCCTCTTAATGTTTGTTTCATTTATTCATGATTTTTAAATTCAAGCATATCTTAGAATTTGCCATCCTTTGCTCTCTTGATTTTTAAACTTATGCTGTTTATTTGAAGGAAGCGAAGTTTTTTTTATTGCAGTCCTTTTTCTTGTGGAGCTTTTTTGTTTTTTCTTTGCGAACTACATATTTTACCAGAAATCAGTATGTAGAGTTAGTGTAAAGGTCCCTGTTAATAGCTTGAGCTCTATCCCAGATTGTCTGAGCTTCTAATCTCATCAGATTGTCATCTGGGAAACTGTGATTCTTTCTTTTTAGTGGAGAGTGCATTGACCAAAAAAGATCTCCATCCAACTCCAGATATCAAGCATGGCTCTCACTAGGATGATAGTAAAGGCTAAAGACCATTAAGTAACAAAATGTTTTGAAAATGAAAAGAGCTTGGATTTGGTCATCTGATCTAAGTTCAAATCCCAGCTCCACAATTTAGTATACTGCATGACTTTAATAGTTACTTAAGCTTCCCAAAGTTCAGTTCCTAGCTCTGTAAAATGCAGATAATAATACCTAACTTAAGAGCTATCATGAAGATTTACAAAATAATGTTTTGAAAGTGACAAAAACAAAATAACATGACATAATTTGGTCCCTCCATCTTAGGAAGATGTTGCTATGCAACAGATGTTCCAACCTGGACTCCCACTGACAATTTCCCCATTAGCCATGGCAACAACTTCCAACAGTTATGGCTCCAAAGTGTCACTCTCAACAGCAATGACAACCCACAGAGGTAATTACACCCAGAAACAGCCTTCAGCAGTGGCAATGCCAAACAACTGTTGCCACTGAAGAGTCCGCATAGGGCCTCATCATCTACTCCCTGGGTTCCTTAGTCACAGAGACCCCGCTAAGTTCTGTCTCTCCAGAGCACAGAGTACACCACTCTTGTGTGCTACAGGATGCTACCAAAGACCCATTCCTCTTGGAGTTAATTCACTAGATTAGTCTTGATGCATCTCCAGTTCTCTCCCATGGTTCCCTGATGCCAATCCAAGTCTGTGACATAACCTCTCACTCCAAGTGGCCTCTCCAAGGTCCATTCACTCCTGGAAGTGTACTTAGGTAACCAGGAACTTGACCAGAACCTACAGTTTCCTTTCTCATGTCCCTTCCACAAGGCACTATCTAATTGACATAAATGGTGCCTCAGAAATCACTCTGGAGAGCCCCTCATTCCTCAAGGTATAGACACCTCTGATCGGGGCTACTTGCTTACCTGTGTACCATGATTTCACTTTCTATCATGATAATTAAATGCCACTCTCCTTAAACTTATTTAAAAAATAGGTGAAATCAGGTACACATTGTTTTATTTTCACTCCTTGCCCTAAAGAATAGCAGGAAAGCACACACAGCCAGATTGGGTATTTAAATCTTTCTAGTAGCAAAAATAAATAAATTTAAATTTTAAAAACACTTATATGGGTCTAGGTATTCCCACCTCATTGTTTAAAAAATATACCTCATTTATTGGTCCCTTTGATCCTCATAAAATTTCTGTTAATCAGTTCAGGCATTTAAATTTAATAAGTGAAAAAACTGAGGATTAGCAAATTAAAGTGATTTTCCCAAGGCCATCTAACCAGTGACAATCAGAATCAGCCTCTGGGTCTCATTCAGGTTTGACTCTGAGTCCAATGCTCTCCTTAATGCACTAATAGCTGTGAGAATGCTGAACTACCATCAAGAATGACCTTTGCTAAATGACAAATGTCATAAATTCTGATAAGTAAAAACATCGCCCCTTGTTTCACAAAGGTTTGTGGACTGAGACAAGAAAAAGGAATAACCTCTCTCTTAACCAGTCTCCAGCAATCCCAGGCACAAATGGTAATCTATCCAAAGCAATTCTACAATGGCAATGTCAAGGACTCACTCATACACTGACAAATAAGAAGTACACCATCATCCTCAAGTTATTTCCTTAATGTTGTAAATACCCATTAGAAAAAGATTTATCTGTTTCCTTTTAAAGGCTGATAAAAAAAAAAGTCTCCAATTTTCAAAGATTCTTAAACTTGAACTACTAAAAATACTATTTTCAGAGCCCAAAATGAAGCTCTATGTGGTTGTTACCTCAAGTGGGCTCAGTAAATAATGCAGAAAGTAACTGGAAAGGCTAAAGCCATGAAGGATATAACATGTTGCCACAACCACAAGCTAGCAAGGTAACCTGCAACATCATACACACACACACACACACACACACACACACACACATATACACATATATATGTAGGAATGCATATATATATACATATATATGTAGGAATGCATATATATATATATATATATATATATACGGTGCATATGTATGTGTGTGCATGCATGTGTGTACACAGAGAAAGAGATGAAGCAGCCTGTGTCAGTTTCCCATAGAGCGATTCCCCACAGGACCATGCAATGTGGACCTAATATCTCTACACATGCAGGAGTTTGCAACACAGAACTAGAACCGCAAAATTATGAAACTCAGAGCTTACATAACAAACTACTGACACATCTTCCCAACTTCTCTTCTGGAGAGAGGGAGATTTTATGTTTTGCTCTGGAAAACAAACAAATCGCCTCATGGGAGAAGAGGGGAAATTCTTCAATCTGATACATAAGCAATGTCCCTAGAGAGATGAAAAGATGTTTTTAGACTTTCTTTATTACCCTTACAATGGGAACAAATGGCTCTGGAAGAGAGGAAACATTCTCTTTTTATAGTGAGTCCATGTCCATTGCTCAGAAGGCCTGACCCATACAGGAACACCAAGAAAACAGGAAGAATTGTCTTCTAACACTAATTAGCCCAGCAAGGAATTATAAACCCAGGAAGCACATTTTTGGACCAGATGATATGAAAGAACATATACATCTTCTACAGCCTAAAAAAATTAAAAATTAATATGAAGAATAAAAGGCCCTTGATTTGGGGAACTTCTGTCCCAGAGGAGTCTCTGGGAACAGAGGCAGTATTATGTTAGTGTGAGAAAAACACACACATCAATGAAAGAAAGAGGAGGCAGCAGGGAACCCTCCCACCCCCCACCTTATACCCCTTAGGTGTCAGGGATATCCTTTACCTTACCTGGTAGCTGAAATGAGGTAAACCAATGTGAAAGTGAACCCAACCAAGTTCAAGTAGTTAGTCACATTGGTCCTCAAAGTGAAACCACCTTTGAGCACTCATTTCACACAGCCCAATTTCCCAGTAACCATGTGAATCCCCAGGGTCTTATGGTAAATAAACTATTTTACAAGAAATATTCATATCTTATATCAAATATTTGTTATTCGTAAAAAATCTTATGAAATTGGTGGAGTGGGAGCTATGATTATCCCTATTACATATATTAACACAAAATGTGGCTCCAGAAAAGAAAACAACCAACAAGATTACACATAGTTGATTAATGGCAGAAATAAGATTCGAGCCCACTTTCCACGTGCAGATTCTGTGATTTCACACTAACATAACACTGCCTTCTCATAACTGCACTAGGCTGATACAACCAGGAGATATTAAAATCTAATAAATAATGTCAGCTTTTTTCTTGGAACTTTCAAATCATTCAAATAACAAGTATGATAATTTTCAAGCCATTGATTTGTTTTATTGTTGTTGCTATTGTTTTAAGAGTATTTTTAAAAGTCATCCAATTGTTGCGGTATTGTGGGGCCTAAGCATTTCACCTTGATATATGAATAAAGGCTTGAGTTACATTTTCTCTTCCTTTCTTAATAATGAATTATTCAATTTTTAAAATTCCTGACATGGTTTAGGGTAGATAGGATGGGAAAGAGACAGGAAAGGATTTGTGTTCTCTGAGCCTGTGGTCAGGTTGAAGTGCTGGGGCTTTGAACTCCAAGAGAGAGTGAGCCAGAACTCTGGTAACAAATGCCAGTCACTATCCACCCCTCAGTATAAAAGAACTTCTATGGATCAATTTGCTAAGTACATGCAAAATTTGAAGAGCTAAAAAAAAAAGTATTAAACCTCTTTTTTAAAAATCAGACATGGCCCCCCAGACCAGGTGAGCAGTCCTGTGCCTGTGTTTCAGACCGGAGAAACAGACCCATGGGCCATCCCTGATAGGCATGTCCCTAGGTCAGCTAAGCAGCTGTGCACCCATATCCTGGGCCTGAGAACTAGCCCTGCCAACTTGCCCTAGCAGGCACCCCTCCAGGCTGACTTAGCAATTGTGCACCCATGCCCCCAGCCAGCAAAAGAGCCCCATGGCCCCAACCTGAGCAATCCAGACCCCATATTGGCCAATCCACCAACCCACACATGCCCCTAACCTAAGAAACACCAAGAAAGCCCAACCCCAGCAAATTCATGCCACCACTACCACAAACAATCTCAGCCTAGGTTACGGAGACACTCACAAACATCACTAGCATGGATTATTGCTGAAGCAACTACACAGAGACTACACTACTGTGTCCATCTACAACCAAAGCCAATGCACCCCATAAAACCAACACCCCAAGATCCATCTATATGAATGAGTATTTTCCTAAAAAATCTACTCCATACAGTTGGAAGAGGCAACTGTTCCATCAGATTCATAGAAGTCAACAGAGGAACACATCAAACATGAAAAAGCAAGGAAACATGACACCTCCAAAGGAACATAATAATTCTCCTGTAACAGACCCCAATCATAAGGAAATATACTAAATGCCAGGAAAAATTTTCAAAATAATAATCTTAAGGACACTCAGGAAAATATTAAAGAATACAGATAGATAATTGAGTGAAATAAGAAAAACAATTCATTATGTAAAAGAGAAATTCAAGAAATAAACGGACACGTTTTTAAATCAAAAATCCCAGAGCTGAAGAATTCAATAACTGAAATAAAAAATACAGTCAAGAGCTTCAACAATAGACTATACCAAGCAAAAGAAAAGGCCTCTTGAAATAACACAGGTAGAAAATAATAACAACAACAAAAAGAATAAAAAAGAAAAGAAAGCTTACAGGACTTACAGGACACCATTAAGTGAAAAAATATTTACATTACAGATGTTCCAGAAAGAGAAGAAAAGAGGAAAGCTGCAGAAAATATATTTAATGAAATGACAGCTAAAAACATTCTAAGTCTTGGGAGAGAGATGGACATCCAGATCTAGAAAGCTCAAAGAACTCAAAAAAGATTTAACCCAAACAGCTTTTCTCCAAGGCACATGATAGTCAAATTGTCAAAAATCAAAGACAAAGCATTCTTAAAACAGCAAGAGAAGTGTCAAGTTACATATAAGGAAATCCATATTAGTCTAACAGTGAATTTCTCAGTAAAAATCTTACAAGCCAGAAGATAATGGAATGATATATTAAATGTACTGAAAGAAAAAGAAAACTGTCAACCAAGAATATTATTACCCGCAAAACTACCCTTCAGAAATGAAGGAGCAGTAAAATATTTCACAGACAAGCAAAAACTATGGAATTTTTTTTTTTTTGAGCCAGAGCCTCACTTTGTCACCCAGCCTGGATTACAGTGGTGCAATCTCAGCTCACTGCAACTTCTGCCTCCCAGGTTCAAGCAATTCTCCCACCTCAGCCTCCCAAGTAGCTGGGATTACTGGCATCCGCCACCATGCCCAGCTAATTTTTGTGTCTTTTTGCAGAGATGGGGTTTCACCATGTTGGCCAGGTTGGTCTTGAACTCCTGACCTCAGGTGATCTGCCCACCTCGGCCTCCCAAAGTTCTGGGATTATAGGCAGAGCCACCACGCCTGGCCAGACTGAGGAAATTTATCACAACTAGTCTGGCCTTACAAGAAATGCTCAAAGGACTCTTACATGTGGAAGTGAAAAGATGATAACCACCATCAGGAAAACAAGTAAACTATAAAACTCACTGGTTTGTCCAATAAACAAAAAATAAAGATAAATGAATCAAAACTTATTACTATAGAAAACCATCCAACCACAAAAATAAATAATAATAGAAGAAATAAAGGAAAGAGAATATACAAAATAATCAGATACAATCAATACAATCACAGGAGTGAGTCCTCCCTTAATAGTAATAATAACTTTGAATGTAAAAGATTAAAATTTGTTTAAAAGATATAGACAACTGGGGCTGGGCATGGTGGTTCATGCCTGTAATCCCAACACTTTAGAAGGCCAAGGCAGGGCATCATTTGAGGTCAGGAGTTCAAGATCAGTCTAGCCAACATGATGGACCCTGTCTCTACTAAAAAATAAAAAAATTAGCTGGGTGTGGTGGCACACATCTGTAATCTCATCTACTCAGGAGGCTGAGGCAGGAGAATTGCTTGAGCCTGGAAGATGGAGGCTGCAGTGAGCTGAGATCACACCACTGCACACCCTGCCTGGGTGACAAAGCCAGACTCCACCTCAAAAATTAATTAATTAATTAAAATAAAAATAAAAGATATAGACAGCTGCATGAATAAAAATTCAAAACCCAACTATATGCTGTCTATAGGAAAATTGCTTCACCTGTGAAGCAGCACATCACATCACCAGTGATGTGTGAACACACATCAACTGAAAATGAAGGGATATAAAAAGATATTCCACGTAAAAGGAAACCAAAAGCAAACAAAAGTAGCTACACTTAAATCAGACAACACAGACTTTAAGTCAAAAAATAAAAGGAGACAAATAATGACATTATATAGGAATAAAGGGATAGATTCAGTGAGAGAATATAATAATTATAAATATATATCCACCCAACACTGAACCACACAGATATATAAATCAAATATTATTACATCTAAAAGGAGAGATAGACACTTGTGAAATAATATTTGGGATTTCTCATTCTCAGGATTGAACATGTTATCTGGACAGAAAATCAACAAAGAAACATCAAATTTATACTGCACCATATACCAAACGGACCTAACAGACATTTGCAGAATATTGCACCCACCAGCTGCATAATATACATTCTTTTCAGATTCTCCAGAATGAAACATATTTTAGGACACAAAACAAGTCTCAAAAGATTTTTTAAATCAAAATTATATCAAATATCTTATCTAACCACAATGGAATAAAATTAGAAATCAATAACAAGAGGAGCCTTGGAAACTACACAAACACATGGAAATTCAACATGTTCCTGACTGACCAATGGGTAAAGGAAGAAATTTAATATGAAAACTTAAAATTCCTCGAAACAAATAAAAATAGAAACACATCATACGAAAACCTATGGGACACAGCAAAAGCAGTATTAAGAGGTAAGTTTATAACAATAAATGCCTATATCAAAAAAACTATATAAAAAACTAGAAATATTTTAAATAAACAACTTAATGATACATCTGAAGGAACTAGAAAAGCAAGAACAAACCAAACTCAAAATCAGTAGAAGGAAAGAGATAATAAAGGTCAGAGCAGAAATAAATAAAATTGAGACCAAAAAATATAGATGATCAATGAAACAAAAAGTTGGTTTATTGAAAAGATAAACAAAATTGACAATACATTAGCTAGACTAAGAAAAAATAGAGAATACCCAAATAATAAAATCAGAAGCAAAAAAGGAGACATTACAATTGATACCACAGAAATAGAAAGGACATCAGAGACTACTATGAGCAAATATATGCCAATAAATTTGAAAATCTAGAGCAAATGAATAAATTTCTAAATACATATATTCTACCAAGATTAAACTAAGAAGAAATAGAGAACTTGAAAAGATCAATAACAGGCAACAAGATTGAAATAGTAATAAGAAGTTTCCCAAAAAAAAAAAAAAATCCAGGATTGGATGACTTCACCCCTGAATTCTGCCAATAACTTTAAAGAAAAAGTAATACTAATTATTCTCAAACTATTCCAAAAAATGAAGCAGAGGGACTCCCCCTCATTTTACAAGGCCAGCAAAACTCTAATACCAAAACAAAAAAAGAACACACACACACATGCACAAAAGAAAACTATAGCCCTATATGCCTGATGAACAAAGATGCAAAAATCCTCAACAAAATACTAGCAACCTGAATCCAACAATACATTAAAAGGTCATTCATCATGACCAAGTGGGGTTTATCCCAGGCATGCAAAGATGGTTCAACATATGCAAATCAATAAATGTGATACATCGCATAACCAGAATAAAGGATAAAAACCATATGATTATCTCAATAGATACAGAAAAAGCATTTGATAAAATTCAACACAGCTTCATGATAAAAATCTCTCAATAAATAAGGTATAGAAGGAAAGTACCTCAACACAATAAAGGCCATACATGACAAACTCACAGCTAACATCATGCTTGATAGGGAAAAGCTGAAAGCTTTTTCTCTAAGAATTAGAACAAGACAAGGAAGCTGATGCTCACCACTCTTATTCAACATAGTACTGGAAGTTCTAGCCAGAGGAATTAGACAACGAAAGAAAGAAAGAGCATCCAAATTGGAAAGAAGGAAGTCACATTGTCCCAGTTTGCAGATGACATAGAAAAACCTAAAGACTCTACCAAAAAAAAACTTTTAGAATTGATAAACAAATTCAGTAAAGTTGCAGGATACAAAATCAACATACAAAACTTAGTAGCATTTCTATATACTAACAATGAACCAACCGGAAAAGAAATCAAGAAGGCAATCCCATTTACAATAGCTACCAAAAAAAAAATACCTTGTATATTAGTTCATTTTCACATTGCTGATAAAGACATAGCCAAGACTGGGTAATTTATAAAGAAAAAGAGGTTTAATGGACTCACAGTTCCATGTAGCTGGGGAGGCCTCATAATCATGGCAGAAGGTGAAAGTCACATCTTACATGGCAGCAGGCAAGAGACAATGACAGCCAAGCAAAAGGAGAAGCCATATATCAGATCCCGTGAGACTTATTCACCACCACAAGAACAGTATAGAAGAAAACACCCCCATGATTCAATTATCTCCCACTGGGTCCTTCCTACAACACGTGGGAATTATGGGAGCTACAGTTTGGTTGGGGACACAGACAAACTATATCATCTTGTAATAAATATAACCAAAGAAGTGGAAAACTTCTGAAGGAAAACTACAAAACACTGATGAAATAATTGAAGAGACTATAAAAGAATGGAAAGATATGCCATGCTCATGGATTGGAAGAATTAATATTGTTAAAATGACCATATTACCCAAAATAACATACAGATTCAATACAATCCTTGTCAAAATACCAATGACATTAGTCACAAAAATAGGAGAAAAAAATCTTAGAATTTATATGGAACCACAAAAGACCCTAAATAGCCAAAACAATCCTAAGCAAAAAGAACAAAACTGGAGGCATCATACTACCAGACTTCAAAAGATACTAAAACGCTGTAGTAACCAAGACATCATGGTACTGGCATAAAAATCGACTCATAGACCAATGGAACAGAATAGAGAATCCAGAAATCAATCCGTGTATATACAGCCAACTGATTTCTTTTTATTTTAATTTCTGTACATAGTAGGTGTATATACTTATGGTGTACATGAGATGGTTTGATATAGGCATGCAATGCATAATAATCACATCATGTAAAATGGAGTATCTATCCCCTTAACTATTTATCTTTTGTGTTACAAACAATCCAGTTATACACTTTTAGTTATTTTAAAATGCACTGATTTTTTGACAAAGGAATGAAGGATATTCACTGTGGAAAGGACAATGTCTTCAACAAATAATACTGGGAAAACCAAATATCCCCTAGGTAGAAGAATGAAACTAGGCCCCCACCTCTCACCCTATACAAAAATCATCTCCAAATGGATCAAAGACCTAAATGTAAGACCCAAAACTATAAAACCACTAGAAGAAAACATAGAGGAAATACGTCAGGACATGGATCTGGAAAAAATGATTTTATGAATAAAATCTCAAAAGCACAGGCAATGGAAGCAAAAATAAACAAATGGGATAATATCAAATAAAAAAGCTTCGTCACAGCAAAGAAAACAACAGAGTGAAAAGACAATCTACAGAATGGTAGAAGATATTTAGAAACTATTCATCCAACTGGAAGTTAATATCCAGAATATACATGGAACTCAAATATCTCAACAACAACAAAAAATTTCAAATAAAAATCAGCAAATGATCTGAACAGGTGTTGCTCAAAAAAAAAGACATACAAATGGCCAACAAATATATTTTATAATGATTAAGAAACATCACTAATTATCAGGGAAATGCAAATCAAAACCACAATGAAGAATCTTCTCACCCTATTTAGAATGACTAATATCAAAAAGACATAAAAAGTGCTGGTGAAGATGTGGAGATTAGGGAACTGTGGGAATGTAAGCTAGTACAGCTACAATGGAAAACAGTAGAGAGGTTCCTCAAAAAAATTACAAATAGAACTACCATATGATCCTGTAGTTCCACTACTGGGCATTTATCCAAAGGAAATGAAATCAGTATATCAAAGAGACATCTGCATCCCCACTTTTATGGCAGCACTATTCATAAGATATGGAATCCACCAAGGTTCCCAATAATAGATGAATGGATAAAGAAAATGTGGTATATATACACAATTGAATATTATTTAGCCATTAAAAAGAATGAAATTCTTACATTCATAACATGGATGGAACTGGAGGACATTATGTTAAGCAAAATAAGCCAGGGATAGAAATTTGAACATGCATGTTTTCACTCGTATGTAGAAACTTAAAAAAAGTGGATCTCATAGAAGTAGAATGTAGAACAGAGGATACTGAAGACTGGGAAGGGTAGGGGGAAGAGGAGGATAGGGAGAGATTTGTTAAAGAATACAAAATTACAGCTAGGAAGGAGAAATAAGTTCTAGTGTTTTACACCACTGTAGGATGAGTATAGTTAATAACAATATATTATATAGTTTTAAATAACTAGAAGGAGGATATTCAGTGTTCACAGCACAAAGAAATGATAAATGTTTGAGATGATGGATCTGCTAATTATCCTGATCACTGTACCTTATATGTGTTGAAACATCACTCTTTACCCCAAAAATACATACAATTATTATATGTCAATGGTTAAATAAAATAATATATAATCAATTAATTAATAATGTTAATTGCTATTGAAGCATATTCCTAAACTTTACTCAAATGGGTGAAGTTTGAAACCATTTATACACATAATAATTTCTGCACACATCTAAATAAATTAACCTTAGTTTCTGAGAATCAGAAAAAAACTCTCTTTCTAAAATAAAAAGTTGTTTTGCATAGATTATTTTTCCTCTTTATTCAAATCCACCTGACTTTTAATCATTTTATGGAGAATTTCATGCATGTAGAGGAAGGTAGTTTGAAAACCATTTCTACACGTAATAATTTGAAGTTCAAAAACCATTTCTACACATAATAATTTCTACACACATCTAAATAAACTAACCTTAGTTTCTGAGAATCAGATAAAAACGCTTTTCTTTTTCTAAAATAAAGAGTTGTTTTGCATAGATTCTTTTTCCTCTTTGTTTATATCCAACTGACCTTTAATCATTTTATGGAGAATTTCATGCATGTAGAGGAAGGTATTTCATGCAAGAAACTGCAGCCTTTGAGTGCTGTAAGTTTGTCCATGAACTGTGATTATGCACATAAGAGAATGCACTTTTTGCATTTCAATAAGCCACAGAATAGTCCAGTTCAAAACATGCAGTTTAATGAAATGGTAATGATTTCATTAATATATCAAGCCATGTCTAATTCCTTTCAAGGGACATGAGACAATTTACATTCACTTTGAATGCATAATAATAAGTAGTTCAATTGGCAATAGTTAAATGGGTCTCTACAATCAGAGCCCTGATACAGACATTGTTGCAAAATCATTAGAAATTGTTGTAAAGGAACATGAATTGAGGTATAATGCTGAAATTGTAGAAATTTATTCTGGTTATAATTATACATGAGGTAAATAATTAAGCCAAAATTGAAGGGCTTATTCATCAAAAGTTTGGAATTCTCAACTGCCTATCTGATTCTTGTTAAAAAGTCAAAGAACTTTTTAATATCCCTTTATACATTGTTCCTTAGAGACCTCTCTGTTAGCAGGTGGAAAGAGGAAGAGGGGCTGCAGACAGAAAGAAAGAGAATCAGAATTGTGCCTAGATATGGAAGTCAGGAGGAATTTATGAGGTAATCATGTGGTCTGAGGGACCCTGTGTCAGGCAAATAATCAATATATCATCTTATTTTCACTGCATGACTATCTGTTATGAACTGAATTTTTGTGTTCCTCCAAAACTGATATGTTAAAATCTAACCACCAATGTTATAATATTTTGGAAATGGGAATTTGGGGAGTTAATTCGTTCATGAGGGTGGAGCCCTCATGAATGAGACCAGTGCCTTTATAAGAAGAGCCCAGAGAACTAGCAGGTTCTCCTTCCACCATATGATGATAGGAGAAGTCTGCAGTCTGCAACCCAGAAGCAGACACTCAACAGAAAACGACTCTGTTAGCACCTTGATCCAAGACTTCCAGCCTCCAGACCATGAGAAATAAATTTCTGTTGTTTGCAAACCACCAACTCTATAGTACTTTGTTATAGCAGCCCAACCTGACTAAGATATCTTCCTACATAGCGTTAACAGTTATCTCCCCATTTTACAAATAAGAAAATCAAGGCTGGAGGGAAAGCCATCCAAGTTCATACAGCTACTATTTTGGAACTGGAAGGTCAACTCCATTCTGTTTAACTCCCAAGTCTATACTCCTTTTCACTGTATCATGCTTTTGGAGATGCTCCAAAGGGAAGAGAGTTTCCAAAGGAAGAAAGGGCAAATAGATTTAAATATTCCAAAAAGGTTGAAGATAAAGAGGGCAAGACTTGATTTTAAAATTATGAAATTATTAATAACCTTTTTAAGAACAGGTGCATAGAATTTTTGAGTGAGAATTTATGACATCATATTGCAAAGGGTGATATGAGGAATAAATGGAAACCAATGTCATAGCTATTGTTTCAAGAAGTGTGCTGGTGAATGGTGAGCAAAGATGCAACAAGAGCTGGAGCAGGCAGAGGGCTGAAAGAAGCTTGCTTCAGGATGGATGTGTGAAGGCTGAAGGAGGGATTCACAATGGAGGCAAAGGCAGAGATCCTGAATGGCTCAAGATCCCAAAGGAAGAGCAAAGGCTGTGGAGAGATTGGCCCTGAAGACAAAAGGGGCAGGAAAGAGAAGCAAAGTGGACCAAGACGCAGAGGAAATTTGACATGGGGGGTGGGCAGTGAGAGAACTCCACTCCTGAGAGCAAGAGTGAAAGAGGAAGATTGGAAACAAAAAGAGACTGTCCTCACAGCTAAGATATGAGAGTGGCTTTTGTGGGTAAAATCTCTCCTAGGTGGTGTCTCCTTTATTTTGAGGCATCCAAAACAAAACTTGTCAATGTGGGTGTAGGAGAGAGCATTACAACTCTGCTAGCATTGGATTCTGAAACTATGGAACTCTGAAGGAGAAACTGAGTTTAAAGTCTTCAGCAGATTAAAATTAACCACCACTTACTCAGTGCTTACTCTGCACTGGGTGCTGTACAAAAAGCTGACCTGGCCAGGCATGGTGACTCATGCCTATAATCCCAGCACTTTGGTAGGCCGAGGCTGGTGGATCACTTGAGGTCAGGAGTTCGAGATCAGCCTGACCAACATGGTAAAACCTTGTCTCTACTAAAAATACAAAAATTAGCCAGGCATGTTGGCGGGCACCTGTAATCCCATCTACTCAGGGAGGCTGAGGCAGGAGAATCGCTTGAACCTGAGAGGTGGAAGTTGCAGTGAGCCGAGTTCTTGCCACTGCACCCCAGCCTGGGTGACAGACTGAGACCCTGAGACCTTGTCTAAAAAAAAAATTGTTGACCATACGGAGATAAGTAAGACAGTGACTCTGAAAGAATGCAGAGTCCAGTAGGAGAGACCAAGGTATAAATAATTATAACCTGTGATAAGTGCACTAGAAGAGGCACACTAAAGGGGGAATGAACACGGAGGAGTACGTAATCACCTCCAGAACCCGCCACTGAGGAGGAGATGCATTATCATGTGTTGTTGATGGAATTAATTAATTCTGCCTATGAGAAGGCTTTAGAGAGGAAATGACAAGTGACCTAGACCTTGAAGGATGCATAGCATACATCCAGGCACAGGTGGAGGTGTGGGCACCAGCTGTCTCCAGTCTGGTCAGGAAGGCCTTTGGGAGCTCATCCTAGAGCTAAGCATTCACCCACTTTGGCCCTGACTGAAGGGGCATGAAGACTTCTTGGAAGAGCAGATTTGGGCTCACAGGCCTAGAGAGCCACATAGTGGCTCAGCCCCTGACTGTTGGCACCCACTCTAAGGCTTCTGGACAGCACATAGCAGGTTGGAAACACCAGATTCCCAAGAACCATAGGCTTGTCTTCCAACAGAGATTATCATAAAGCTCTCTCAGGTCATGCAGAAAGAGAAAACATTCTTTATTCAGGGAAACTGGGTCTAAGTCTCGGTTTAGTCACTGGTCATCTCTGACTTTGAGGGTTCAGGTTCCCCAGCAAATAGACTCTGAAATGGAGAATTGTAGGCAGAAGGCAGAAGGAATATTCTTGGGAACATGTCTACAACTGCTCTTAGGAACTACTCTTGAAACGTCACTTGATGGAGTGAGAGAAGCAAGCCTGGGCAGGGGAAGAAGTTGAGCCACCATGCAGTGGCCTCAGCTGCGGGGTGTCAACAGCTAAGAGTCTGGCTGCCAGAAAAGGGGCGTCCTGGTCCTCAAGAGGCAGATAAGGGTGAGGCAGCCCAACGCCCACCTTAAGGGGGACAATAACAGCTTCCCCATTCAGGTGCTATGAGGATTCGATGAACTAATTTTTGTGAATGGTCTACTTTACAGTCAGGGCTTAACAAATATTAAGTTGTCTTTCTCTTCCTCTCAATGACTGACTCCTCTCTCTTCACTACTATCTAAGACGGTGATGTTGAGAGGTCATGTCAACAATCTCACTACCCAAAATGTGGCAGCAATCTTACTACCCAAAATGAGAGACAGTCATTGTCAATTCATTTAGGAGTAGGAGTCTAGGTTTTTCTACTTACTTAACCTTTTCAACTAGATTTACAATAGGGATCTGAAACTTTTAACATACCCCCTAAAGAGAACCCTTTATTTCTTCCCTCAACCAAGCCATTCATCACTCAGTCTTTTCTATCAGTAAAATGAATCCATTATCCACCCATTTTTACCTTTCAGTTCTCTCCATATCCAATCAATCAGAAGATCTGTAACTTCCAAGACATATCTATTTCTCTCATCTCTACAATTAACCCTGAGTTGCAGCCCACATCATCTTTTACCTGGATTATTGGATGGCCTTGTAACTGCCTGTCCTGCTTCTATTTGCATACTATATCCATTCTTCCAATCTTCTCATATTGTCTAGAGTGATCTTTTTAATACTTTTGGAATGTTTGATTTTTAAAAATCATTTTTATTATTTGTATATAAATACAGGTATATGATTTTATATGAATGATATTACATGTATACTTTTCCTATTTAGTTTTTTTTTATTTTTTTTTGTTTGGTTTCCCATCTTCCCCCTTCACCTACATCAACCTCCCCACTCCTCAAACACTGTAGTCCATCTTAATAAGCTATATTTCTCCTCATCTGCACCCATTATTATTTTTCTGTGTTATTTCAATTTTCTAGAGATATATATGTGCATATACATATCTGTATGCATATAGGATGCATTTTGTCAGTTTGATTTATAAAAATGGAATCCTAATATATGTATTTGATTGCATCATGCTTTTCTCATTCAATAATAATTAGTGGTAAGACCAATCAACCAAGTAGCTAACTCATTTTTAAGAACTTTATAGTATTCTATGGTATGTGCTCAAACACAGTTTATTTATGTATTCAATTATTGATAGGTACTCACTTTGCTCACTTTGTTTTTCTTTGCTTTCCCACTATGAATAATACCACATGAATCATCCTTACTTATGAGTTCTTAAATCATGGGAATTTAATAGTTACATTACGTGAGAAAGATCAGCATGAGTAGATCTGCTGGGACAAAGTATATATTTGGTTTTTATTTTAATAGATGTTGCCCATTGCTTTATAAAAAGGTTATAACTTTTGACATTTCTCCAAGCTAAAACTAAAAGTACTGTTCTCCTCTCATCCTTGCCAGCTATCAGTTTTATGTTTCTCTTTAAATCTTGCCAATCAATGGGTATAAGATTATATCTTATAGTGATTTTCATCTATTTCCTTGAGAGTTAATTTAAACATCATTTAGTAAGTTTACTGGGCACTGGTATTTGCTTTTCTCTAAGTTGAAAATGTACAACTTTTGCTCATTTTCTTAATGGTTGTTTGCCTTCTTGTCAACTTGTAAGAGATCTTTGAATATTAAAAATATTCACACTTTGTTCATTTTTATCACTAATATTTTCAAAGCAATATCTTTGGTATTTGACTTATTTGTGGGATTTTTATATACACAAAATTTTTATTTTTACATATTCAAATATATCCTCACTTTATTTTCTGGAAAATTATTTTATTTTATTTTAATATTTTAACTTTTATTTTAGGTTCAGGGATACACGTGCAGGTTTGTTATATAGGTAAACTTGTATCTCAGGGGTTTGGCATACAGATTATTTTGTCACTCGGATAGTCATAGTACCCAAGGGTTTTGTTTTTTTCTAAACCTCTCCCTCCTCCCACCCTCCTTTCTCCAGTAAGCCTCAGTGTCTGTTGTTCACCTCTTTCTATCCATGTGTCCTCATTATTTAGCTCCCACTTATAAGTAAGAACATGCAGTATTGGTTTTCTGTTTCTCCATTAGTTTGCTAAGGATGATGACCTCCAGTTCCATCAATGTTCCTGCAAAAAAAAAAACATGATCTTGTTCTTTTTTATGGCTGCATAGTATTACATGGTATATATGTACCACATTTTCTTTATCCAGTCTTCTGTCGATGGCCATTTAGGTTGATTCCATGTCTTTGTGAATAGTGCTGCAACTTAGGCATGAGTGTGTCTTTATGGTAGAATAATTTATATTCCTTTGGGTATATACCCAGTAATGGGATTGCTGGGTTGAATGGTAGTTCTGTTTTTAGTTCTTTGAGGAATGGCCACATTGCTTTCCACAAAAGCTGAACTAATTTACACTCCCATCAACAGTGTATAAGTGTTCCCTTTTCTCTATAACCTCACTAACATCTGTTATTTTTTGACTTTTTGATAATAGCCATTTTTTGACTGGTGTGAGATGGTATCTCATTGTGTTTGATTTGCATTTCTCCAATGATTAGTGATATTGAGCATTTTTAAAATGCTTTTTGGTTGCATGTATGTCTTCTTTTGAAAAGTGTCTGTTCATATCCTTTGCCCACTTTGTAATGGGCAATGCTTTTTGCTTGAATGTTCATTTAAGTTCCTGTATATTCTGGATATTAGAACTTAATCAGATGTACAGTTTGCAAATATTATCTCCCATTCTGTAGATTGACTGTTTACCCTGTTCATAGTTTCCTTTTCTGTGCAGAAGCACTTTAGTTTAATTAGGTCCCATTTGTCAATGCTTGCTTCTGTTGCAATTGCTTTTGATGTTTTCATCATAAAATCTTTGCTAGTTCCAATGTCCAAAATGGTATTTCCTAGGTTATCTTCCAAGGTTTTATAGTTTTAGATTTTGCATTTAGGTATATTTAATCCATCTTGAGTTGATTTTTGTATATGGTATAAGAAAGAGGTCCAGTTTCAATCTTCTGCGTATAGCTAGCCAGTTATCCCAACACCATTTATTGAATAAGGAATCCTTTCCCCATTGCTTGTTTTTGCCAGCTTTATCAAAGATCAGATGGTTGTAGGTGTGTGGCTTTATTTCTGGGCTCTCTATTCTGTTCCATTGGTCTATGTGTCTGTTTTTGAACCATTACCATTCTGTTTGGGTTACCATTGCCTTGCAGTACAGTTTGAAGTCGGGCAATGTGATTCTTCCAGCTTTGTTCCTTTTGCTTAGGATTGCTTTAGCTATTTGGGCTTTTTTTGTTCCATATGAATTTTAAAATAGTTTTTTCTAGTTCTGTGAAGAATGTCATTGGTAGTTCGATAGGAATAGCATTGAATCTGTAAATTGCTTTGGGTAATATGGACATTTTAACTATATTGATTCTTCTTATCCATGAGGATGGAATGTTTTTCCATTTCTTTGTGTCACATCTGATTTCCTTGAGCAGTGGTTTGTAATTCTCCTTGTAAAGATCTTTCACCTCCCTGATTATCTGTATTCCCAGGTATTTTACTCATTTTGTGACAATTCTGAAAGAGATTGCATTTCTGATTTGGCTCTCGGCTTGGGCGCTGGCAGTGTATAGGATTGCTTTTTATTTTTGCACATTGATTTTGTATCCTGAAACTTCAATAAAGTTGCTTATCAGCTCAAGTAGCGTTTGAGCAGATACTATGGGATTTTCTAGATACAGAATCATGTCATCTGCAAACAGAGATAGTTTGGCTTCCTCTCATCCTATCTGGGTGCATTTTATTTCCTTCTCTTGCCTGATTGCTCTGGCCAGGACTTGTAATACCACATTGAATAGGAGTGTTGAGAGTAGACATCCCTGTCTTGTGCCAGTTTTCAGTATGATGCTGGCTGTGGGTTTGTCATAGATGGCCCTTATTATTTTGAAGTATGTTCCTTTGATGCCTAGTTTATTGAGAGTTTTTAACATGAAGGGATGTTGAATTTTATTAAAAGTCTTTTCTGGCCGGGCACGGTGGCTCACGCCTGTAATCCCAGCACTTTGGGAGGCCGAGGCGGGTGGATCATGAGGTCAGGAGATCGAGACCATCCTGGCTAACAAGGTGAAACCCCGTCTCTACTAAAAATACAAAAAATTAGCCGGGCGCGGTGGCGGGCGCCTGTAGTCCCAGCTACTGGGGAGGCTGAGGCAGGAGAATGGCGTGAACCCGGGAAGCGGAGCTTGCAGTGAGCCGAGATTGCGCCACTGCAGTCCGCAGTCCGGCCTGGGCGACAGAGCGAGACTCCGTCTCAAAAAAAAAAAAAAAAAAAAAAAAAAAAAGTCTTTTCTGCATCTATTGAGATAATCATGTGGTTTTTGTCTTTAATTCCATTTATGTGATGAATCACATTTGTTGATTTGTGTATGTTGAACCAACCTTGCATCCCAGGGATAAAACCTACTTGATCGTGTTGGATTAGCTTTTTAATGTGCTTCTGGATTCATTTTGTTAATATTTTATCATATGCGTATATTCTTATATAGCTTTTGGGTTTGCAGTTTTAGTTAAGAAGATATTCCTAACTCCCATATTGTACATGCAGTTTTCTAGATTTTGCTGCATTTAACTCTTTAATTTATCTGAAATATATTTTATGTATGATGTAGAATAAAATATGGCTTAAGATGTGTGTCTACTTTTATTTTCTTTCAGATGAATAGCTGGTTGTGCCAGCTTCGTTTCTTAAATACTAGTCTCACATCTATTACGACATATTTATGAGTTCTCTATTTTGTGTCTTATTAATTTATTTTTCCATTCATAAACTAATTCTATATTCACTTGATTACAGTGGTTTTAGGGTATAATAATACCTGGTCTCTACTCCCTGTTCATTATCATACTTCTCATGGATATTTTCTCTCAGGCTTTCTTTCTTTCATATAAACTTTAGGATCATTGTCTAAATTCCCTCTCCCCAGAAAATGTGGGATTCTATTTGGCATGGCATTCACATTTAATATTAATTTAGAGTGATAGATAAGTGCATAACAAGAAGTCTTTCACTTGCAGAGATTCTTGTTCCACACATCCAAGAACAATGCATATTTTTGGCTCAGGCTGATTTTATGTCTTTAAATAAGATTGTCATAGTTTTCTTTGTGTACATTTACTGCCTTTATTATTTTATTTACTCTTAAGTATTTTATATTTTTCTTTTTCTTGTTGTTGTTATCTGTCACTGTGTATACTTTAGACTTTTCAATATTGTAAATAAATTTTTTTCCATATCAAATTAGAGAAAAGTCATTAATTTTTGTAGATAGCTCCTATATCTAGCCACTTTACCATATTCTCTTAATAATTATAGTAGCTTTACTAGAATCTCTTGGGTTTTTTAGTGTAAAATCTATTATAAGCTAAAAAATATAGTTTTACTTCTTCTTTCCCAATGTTTTCAGCAGTTATTTTATTTTGCTGTGTTCTTGCATTCACTAAAACCTTCCTAACCATATTAAATAACGAAGGGAATAGTAGGCTTCCTCTGCAGATCCTAATTTTAATGAATTTTTTTCCATTTAGGATAACGTTTACCACTGATTTTTAGTTGTTCATATTCCTGTCATTGTCATATTTAGTCTTTATCATATTTACGTAGTTTTATTTGATCCCTATTTTTTTGAGTTGGTATAGCGACTGGTGCTGAATTTTATCACATGCCTTAGCCTTTGTTACTGTGGCCATGCAGGCTTTCTCCTTCAGTTTGTCAATATAATAGATGTGTCTACATATTTCATTGATGTTGAAACTTCATTTACTGGAAAACAACTCTGCCTCATCATCACACTTTATTCTTTTGATACATCGCTGGGACTTATTGACTAATATTTAGAAATTTTTGCATTTATATTCATAAATGCACAGTTTTAAAGTTTTCTTAAATAGATAAATTGCCACAGAAAAAACCTGAAAGATAATTAAAGGTCTATCATTGAGAAAGTCATCAGGAACTGATGTGCTTATAGCTGCATTTTAACTGACTTTTAAACAACAGATAATTGCATTGCTTTCTAACCCAGTGGCTTTCGAACTCTGGTATGAATAAGAATCGTCTGGGTAAGTTAGTGGAAAAACCCGAAGGGCTAGCGCCTGCTTTACTTCAACAAATTTGGGTCTCTGTATTTTTTATTAGCATTCCAGGTGATTCTGACACGTAACAAAATTGGAGAACTATTATCTAATGTGTTTAGAAAGTGCCCAATTCATTTTTGAAGCCAAAACAACTTTAATTGCAAAATCTGATAAAGCTAGGGCATTATTATCTTTTTAAAACATAAATCAGATTGTGTCATTTTCCTGCTTAAAACTTTTGAACAATTTTACTTCATTGTACCGGAATAAAATCCAAATTCCATTCCCTGACCTATGAGGCCCTGCATAATTGAGCAATCTGTGTTCCTCTGATGTCATCTTGCTCTCTAAGCTACAGTGTCTCTGTCCTCAAACCCAAAAAGCTCCAGCTACTTTGGATCTTCGAGATTTCCCTCTCCTAGAACACCCTTCCTCCAGATGTTGACATTCTCATACCTTCCTGACATTCCAGTATCAGACTAAGGACAAGTAAGTCCCCAATCTCAGTTTTAAAGAAGGTCCTAGACTCTATCACATTACTCAGTTTTATTTTTTTAGAGCATTATCACTACATAATGTTTTCTTTTTTATATACTTCCCCATTTGTTAATTCTTTCTCTCTCCCCAGTCTAGAATGTGACTGGAATAACAGCAAGGAACTCATCGGTGTCATTCAGCACTAAATTCTCAACACCTGGAATCATACCTGGACCATTGAGTGAATGAGTTTATTCCCTTATTAGTTTGTAGGCTTCTAGAAGATACAACTTAGTCTGGTCCATATCTGTAGCCCCAGAGCCTGATGTACAGTGTGTGTTCAGGGCACATTTGCTGAATGAAGAAATGAATGCTTGTTGATTTTCAGTCAGCTCCAAAGGGATTCATAATAAAAAATTGTTGATTTTAAAATATAGCTTTTAAAGCTCGTAGAGAACTCTCTAAAAAATAGAAGGTAAGACTGGCATCAGGAAGAAGGTCCCACTAGGAGGATGCAGCTACAAATTCTAATCAAAGCACCTTCTCTCAAAAGTGAGACTATTCTCAGAACCATAATTGCATTATAAATCTTATCCTGAAATCAGCTGATACAGACTCGCTGCCTTCAGGCTGGTTCACCACTGTTACACTGACTTTATAGATGAAGCTTGTTAGTAACAAAAGAAAAGAGGAACCTTGGGATCAGAAAGGGGGGAAAATGAGGTAAAATACAGAAGTCAAACTAGAGTAATTTCAGCAAACTCTTGGGAGAGATAAAGGAATCGGAAGAAACCCATTACGGGGCCTCGGAAGAACACGCATGCGTATATCACGGTAGGAAGTATATGAGCAGGGCTGATGGTGACTGATCAAAACATTCTGATAGGTTTTCGTGTTCTTGTGTGTTCTAGTAAGGTATAATCAGGTGATGTAGCAGATGAGGAAGCCCAGAGAGGGCAAATGACCCCATCAAAGTCACAGAGCTAAGGACAGAGAGGAGGTGGCAGAGTGCAGGCCTGCCTTTCATTCCAACTTTGCCACTGACTGCCTGGGAGGCATTGTCTGGTGCCCTTCCCAATGTTACCTGTCAAATACAGGGAAGGTCAGGAGGCAGGGGAGGGGAAGAGGGAGATTCTAGGTGCTTTCAACACAGACTCTCGAATCTAATATTTGCAGTGTTTTCTCAAATAAGAGCTGAGACTTCAAGAAAGATCCAAAAGGATTCATTTTTCAAAAAATGTTAGTAATTTACTTTTCTGAAAGGCGAACTTTTTAGCATGGAAAAAAAATTCAGTCTCACAGCCTCCACAGCTCACCAGGGAGGAAACTCTTCATCATGTTGTTTCTGCTCTTAATTAATTTAAGCAGCTGTCTGTTGTCTTCAGAAAATCATCTTCTGGGAAAGTGTGGAAGGTGATGTTTTTAAGCACAATTATTTTCCCACAAAAAAAAATACACAGGAGGGCCTAGCAATGAAAAAACAGGACACATTCCGGAACAGATAGAAGTTCAGGGTGGTGGAGCATGTGATAGTCAGAGGAGAGTGCAAGGAAGGGAAAAGGTAGAAGTGGGTTGAAGTTTGGATTCTGTAGGTCACAGTAATGTATGGTTAAATTATTGGAGCTTTGTCAGCAGGAGAATGACTGGTACAGGTTTGAGCAGGGTAAATTCAACAATATAACATGCTCTTCATACTGATGAGTTTCCCAGGCACAAGAGTTTCTTTACCCAACATGGCCTTGATGGTAGGCTCCATTCCCAATGCCACTGCAAAGAAGGAAGGACAGAGCAGGTGTGGGCACCTCTCTTTCTGCCAGGATGACAGGGAAGGGGAGAGTGGCAGTGCCGTGTGTGTGAGGTTTGCAGATCTTGCTCTGGTTCATGCCCTGAATTTCTCCACCTCTGAACTGCTGATGTACAATCATTAATACAGCTTTTGGCAGTTCATGCTCTACAGCTGGGTTTCTCAGCACTATTGACATTGGGGTCACACATTCTTTGTTGTGGGGACTATCTTGTGCATGGTAGGATGTAGAGCAGCATCCCTGGCCTCTGCCCACTAGATATCAATATCACCCCCTCTCCTCCCAGTTATGACAACCAAAAATGTCTCCAGACATTGCTGATGTCCTCTCATTGAGAACCACTGCAAGAGATTGTGTGTGGCAAACTGGCCTCTCCATGTGTGATGTCAGGGTCCTAGGAATCTGACCGTGTTCTCCTTTGTCCCCGGCACTGCCTCAGAACCCTAGTTGTGAATCACAGATTGGCTGCTATGCGCCACTCCATCATTTGATTACAAATATAAAAAGAGAAAGTATAATCTCTAAGTGTTTTTACAGAATGTATAGTTCCTATAGCAATATGCCAATCATTGGCTGTCAAAAAATATAAAGCATCTCATGGTCATGAAGCAATTTATGATAATTGACATGGAGTTGGGAGCTACAAGGGTTATCAGCAACCAACAATCTCATGTTAACTGCCAACTCTACCACTAAATAGCTGTGTGAGCTTGGACAAGTTGTTTAGCATCTCTAAGCCTCAATAGTCTCATTTTTAAAGTAAAGGACTTAAGAACCATAATCTCAACATGTCCACAGTCCTGATCCAAGTCCCAGTCAAACTGCACTACATTCTTTGTGGCAGTTACACAGAGCTCTTTCAAATTTTGTTTGGTTGAGGCCTCGAGACAATGAATGCCAACTAATCCCATGGTCCACAGTGAGGCAGAAGACCCCTAGCAAACTACCCACCTCTGGTCTATAGCTGAGGTTGGATAAAAGACAAGAGAGAGAAAAAGCTGGAGAACAGATGTGGAGAGGCAGTTGGTGTGCCATCTCACCTCCTCCCTCAACTCCAGCCTAGTAAGAGGGGCTTCGGAACCATGAAGAGAGCTTTTCCCCCACATTCCCAGAGCTTGGAAAACCCAACTTATTCATGCCTGTGAAATTTGAAAGGCCTGTGGCTGACTAGCTGCTCAGGCAACACTGTTGCATGAAGACAGGCTACTGCACTGGGCGAGCAAGTGTGTGCTGAATTCCTCATGCAAATGATGTGGGGTCAGATGGGGCCCTGTGAAAGAGAACTGGCTGGAGATTATCCTGGATCTTGCCAGGGAGGGCCTCCTGAAAGCCCAAGAGACCTCAGCTGGAAGAATGTAGAAGTGTAGAAGTGTGCCTCTAGGTGGCCAGAGGTGCCAGCACAAGTCTTGAGTAACTAACCAGAGAAGGAACAGAGAGGGCAGGGCTGGCTAGCGCCACAGTGCAGATCTGAACCAGCTGCAGAGGAATGGAGTCGAGTTGTTTCCTGACCACACTCTAAAATCCCCAGGGGTTAAACTAATACTGTGTGCTCAGTCATTACTCTTCTCCTGGACTCCACCTTGCTATGGACTAGATGTTTGTGACTGAGACAGAAATTGGTACCAAGAAGTGGGGTGCCGCTGTAACAGTGCCTACAAATGTGTAAGTGGCTTTGAAATGAGGTAATGTACTGAGACTGGAAGAGTTTTGAGGTGCATGCTAGAATAAGCTGAGACTGTTATGAAGAAACTTTTAAAAGGCCATTCTGATGAGGTCTCCAGTGGAAATGAGGATTGTATAACTGAACAATAGAGAACAAGAAATTCTTGTTGTAACATGGCAAATAACTTTGCCCAATTTTATTTATGTTCCAGTGTCTTGTGAAAGGTAGAACTTGTGAGTGATGAAATTAGATAGTTGGTTGAGTAGGTTTCTAAACTGGTGTTGAAGGAGTAACTGAATTCCTCCTCATAGCTTGTAGTAAAATACAAGGAGAGGGTAATAACCTGAAGACAGAGTTATTAAGCAAGAAGGAACTAGAACTTAAATATTTAGAAAATTTTTGGCCTATCTATATTGCAAAAAATGAGAAAACATGTTCAGAAGAGAGCATCAAGGATATGGTGGAGAGATCATTTAATAAGGAGATTCCCATGGGTGTGAACCACGGACTTAACCAGCTACCCCAGTAGGAAAACTGCCAGTTCCAACTGAAAGGAAGGATCTGAGAAGGAATGAAGGAAGGTTATCATATGGGGCAGCACAGATGGCACAGCAGAGCTATTTGGCTGAAAACATGCTCTATTCTTCAAGACAAGGGAAGAATGACCCTAAAGGCAGTTCAGAGATCATCATGGCTATCTCTTTGATTTCATAGGGGAAGGAGGTCACCTAGCTTTCCTCAGGCCAACCAACCTCTGCCCAAAGCCATGAGCTACCCAAAGTCTTAAGAACTTGACTACTATCCAGCAGAACCCTGGGGGCAGGATCCCTGCCTGGCAGAGCTCTGGGGAAAGGACCACCACCCCAGTGGGTCTGGAAAGTGGAACGGCCACTCCAATGGGCATAGCATCAGACCAAAGAAGATTATTCTGAAGATGTAAGGTTTAGTGCTGTTTGCCCTGTTAGGTTTCAGACTTACTTGGGACCCTTTACTCCTTTCTTTTTCCTATTTCTCCCTTTTGAACTGGGAATAAATATCCTATGCCTGTTCCACCACTGTATTTTGGAAGCAAATTACTTGTTTTGTTTCACACATTCACAGCCAGAGAGAAATTTTTTCTCCAGATTAATCACGCCTTGAGTTTCACCCATAACTTATTTGGATGATATTTAAATAAGACTTCAAACTTTAGACTTTAGAATTGATGCCAGAATAACTTAAGACTTTTAGGGTTGTAGGGATGGAATAATTATATTTTGGACGTGAGAAGGACATAAATTTGGGGGCCTGGGGTGGAATGTTAAGGACTCATTGTCGTTTCCCAAAAAAATGCATATGTTGAACTCTAATTCACAATGTGATGGTATTTGGGGATAGGGCCTTTGGGAGATAATTAGTTCATAAGGGTGAATTCCTCATGAATGAGATGAACTCTCTTATAAGAACAGGAGGCCAGGCACAGTAGCTCACACCTATAATCTTAGCACTTTGGGAGGTGGGAAGATTGCTTGAGCCCAGGACCAGCCTGGGCAACATGGCAAAACCCCATCTTCAAAAAAAATAACAAAAATTAGCCAGGCATGGTGGCTCACTCCTGTAGTTCCAGCTACTCAGGAGGCTACAGTGTGATGACGGCTTGAACCTAGGGGGCAGAGTTTGCAGTAAACTGAGATCACACCACTCCACTCCACTCTGGACAACAGGGCAAGACCTTGTCAAAAAAGTGAAAAGAAGAAGAGGAAGAAAAGAGGAAGAGGAAGAAGAAGAAGAAGAAGAAGAAGAAGAAGAAGAAGAAGAAGAGGAGGAGGAAGGAGGAGGAGGAGGAGGAGGAGGAGGGGAAGGAGAGGAAGAAGAAGAAGAAGAGGAGGAGGAGAAGGAGAAGAAGGAGAAGGAGAAGGAAAGGAAGAGGGAGAGAAAGAGGGAGGAGGAGGAGGTGGAGGAAGAAGAAGAATGAAAGAAAGAGAAACAAAGAGAAGGAAAGGAAAGAAAGAGAGGGAAAGAAAGAAGGAAAGAAAGAAAGAAAGAAAGAAAGAAAGAAAGAAAGAAAGAGAGAAAGAAAGAAAGAAAGAAAGAAAGATGGAGAGAGGGAAGGAAGGCAGGCAGGCAGGCAAGCAAGCAAGCAAGAAAAAAGGGCGAGCAGAAAGCTTCCTGCCACCATCAACACTCTGCATCCAGAAGAGGGCCCTCACCAGAATCAAAACATGCTGGCACCCTGATCTTGGACTTCCAGCTTTCAGAACTGTGAAAAATAAATTTCTGTTGTTTTTAAGCAACACAGCCGGTGGTGCTTTGTTGTAGCAGCCTGAACTAAGACAAGCCTTGACAAAAAGCAAAGAAAAATATCCAACTACAGAGGATGTCCTGTACACTCAGCAATAACTTCCAGCTTTGAAACTATGCCCTGCTCATCTCAATAATCAGAGTATGAACTCTTAAGTGCCGGTGGACTACTCCCTAGTATTTTTTTCTTTTTAATTCATTTTTTTAATTCATGTAAAGCATGAATGCATGTACTTGCTAATAGTTGAGATGGTATTGATCAAGCAGAATACTATAGGACCTTTTCAACCACTTCTGTAATACCAGCCCTTCCTCAGGGGAAAATGCTATCAATAATTTTTGACTGTTCCAATCCAGCTTTCTCCCTGTATGTGTCCATAGACACATACAAACACTTCGTTGGGGGGTAGAAGAGAGGGTTGTTAGCAAAAATGATACCCTGTTCTATACTTTACTTTTTCACTTACTAACATTACACCAAGATATTTCCATATCAGTATGTATAGACTTCATTCATTCTCTTTTTTAAAATCGATGTACAGTATTTCATAGTATGTTGCACCACAGATTGCAATCCTCTGCTGATGAGTATTTAAGGGAGTGTGGGGTTTTTTTTTTTTTTTCCAGTTTTCACTCTTACAAACAATGCTGCAGTGAAAACCTTTGTAAATGTTTCATAATTTACACATAAATGTTTCACTAGGGTAAATACTGAGAAGTGGGATTGCTGGGTTAAAAGTGTGTGCATATAAATCAAAACCACAATGAGATACCATCTCAAGCCAGTCAGAATGGCGATTGTTAAAAAGTGAAGAAACAACAGATCCTGGAGAGGCTGCAGAGAGACAGAAATGCTTTTACACTTTTCTTCTTAGTGTTGGTGGGAACGTAAGTCAGTTCAACCATTGTGGAAGACAGTGTGGCAATTCATCAGAGGCTTAGAACCAGAAATGCCATTTGACCCAGCAATCTATTACTGGGCATATACCCAAAGGAATATAAGTCATTCTGTTATAAAGATACATGCACGTGTATGTTCATTGCAGCACTATTCACAATAGCCAAGACATGGACTCAACCCAAATGCCCATCAATGAGAGACCGGATAAAGAAAATGTGGTACATATATATCATGGAATACTATGCAGCCATAAAAAGGAACAAGATCATGTCCTTTGCAGGGACATGGATGGAGCTGGAAGCCATCATCCTCTGCAAACTAACACAGGAACAGAAAATCAAACATCACATGTTCTCACTCATCAGTGGGAGCTGAACAGTGAGAACACATGGACACAAGGAGGGGAACAACACACACTGAGGCCTGTCCGGGGTGGGAGAACGAGGCCTGTAGGGGGTGGGAGAACATCAAGAAAAATATCTAATGCATGCCAGGCTCAATACATAGGTGATGGGTTAATAGGTGCAGCAAACCACCATGGCACACATTTACCTATGTAACAAACCTGCACCTAGTGCACATGTACCCCAGAACTTAAAATAAAGTATGCACATATTTTAAATGTAAGTGAAAAGTATGAAATTGCCCTTTAAAAATCCAATTTATTCTCACGCCAACAGAAAGAAGAATTGCCCTTTTTGTATCCCTTCTAATACTTGATAGTATCAATAATTTAGATTTTTCTAATATGTTGTATTTTTTAAATGGTATCTTGTCTTAATTTGCATTTTCCTCATTACCAGTGACCTTGAATCTTATTCATGCTTGCATCCCTAGTGCCTAGCAGAGTCATTGGTATAAAACAAATACTAGTAAGTATTTTTATAAGGTCTACCAAATACAATTGCAAGGTGCTGTGCTAGAAGGTGTACTAGACATTTTATATGCATGACCTCATTAATTCCTTGAACTGGTCTCTTAAGTATTTCTTTTTCCTTCCCATTTTACAGTAGAAAGACACAATCCCTGCAAGGTTAGGTAAAGTCTTCAAGATCACATCGGTAATATGACAATGTAAAATTCCAGCCCAGGCCTGACTCCAGAAACTGAGTCACTTTCCACCTTAACACTCCCGAGTTCTGATTGAGCATGTTCTTTGTACAAGGAGCTACAGAAGGTCTCAAGATCATGAATGCTGTACCCTCGTTCCAGATATAACTGGAGGGATCTGACATAAGTACAGAGAATCAGCAGAGTGACTTTAGTACTGGAGCTTGTAACTTACAGCTTGGCCAAGCTTTCTCCCCCAGCGCACATTTGGTACTCACGCAGCTCCTCAGGTAGACAGGGCAGGTTGCTTAAACATTACTCACCCCCAGCTTGCAAATGCAGACCTTGACTCTCAGAGGGGTTATTGGCTGCCCAAGAGCACACAGCTGGCAGATGTAGAGGACACAAAGTATCCAAGGAGGGGCCTGGGCAGGATGGAAATTAGACTCCCTAGGGGATACCCTGCAGGTTAGGCAAGCCAGGAAGGTTCTAGAAAAGGCAGAACTTGACTGGGACCTTGGATATGGGCAGGCAATGGGTGGAGGTATAGGAAGGATGCACAATGAATAGATTTGATGTCTTAAATGTAAACATCAAAGGGACAGAAACAGTGTTTTTTGGAGCTTAGATTCACACGGTAAAGGCTAATCTGATGACCCACAGCAGAACTTCGTACTTTGTCTTCTCTGTGGCAAGCATGGTGATCCTGCTCCTTCCTCCATGACCCCTAAAGTTTCTGGGGCCCTGCTGTGATCTTTCACTCAGGAGCCTGCATTCTAAAAGGCTGGCCTGGGAATGCAAGGCCAAAGTGGGGCAGGCCACTAGGAGACACCCCGACTTCTAACTTCCATGGGAGTTTCCTGGAAACTCCCCATCACATCCTCACCCTGTCCCCACCCGCAAGGCAGGGGTACTACCACTGCCGACAGAAACTCCCCATCACATCCTCACCCTGGCCCCACCCGCAAGGCGGGGTACTACAACTGCCGACATGCTCAGAGCACCCCACAGTGTACAAAATTGCTCGCTGCTCAGGGGTGGATATATTTTATCTGAAACCTGAAACTTTTACACTTCCAAGGACCCACGATTAGAAAAAGAATACAAAATAACAAAATTAAAATCACATTAAATTAATAATTATTTGGAATTAAAAATAAAATTTTTGTAAATAACAAAATGTCAAAAGCAGACAAATACAGTACCATGGAATCTAGAAAACAAGCCTTTTTTATTTTTAATTATATGCCTGATAACACCTTTACAATCTTTCTTTCTACATTTTGTGTCTGCACACTCTTTGATCCTCTTTTCATATGATTTCAATGATTTGCTATACTTATTTACATAGAAACAGTAAAAAGTTAATTCAGTCTTTCTTCTAGCATGATTGATTAAAACTCAGGTTTCAGTCATACTATTTGGGATGCATAAAACATGACTTTGCACACAGACATACTTGCTAATTGTGGTGCTGTGGTACCAATGGCCCCTCCGTCTGACTGTGGCCTGGTCCCAGCCTCAAATTGGATACACTTCACAAAATACAAGTATTTTGAGAAATTCCATTTCACATGACTCCCATCAAACAACCAAAAAAAGGTGGTTTTATAATTATATAATATATATATATATATGTCACTGACTTTATTCTTTTTTTTTTTTTTTTTTGACATGTAGTCTTGCTCTGCCGCCCAAGCTGGAGTGCAGTGGTGCGATCTCAGCTCACCGCAAATCCTGCCTGCCAGGTTCAAGCAATTCTCCTGCCTCAGCTTCCTGAGTAGCTGGGACTATGGCGCGCACCACAATGCCCAGCTAATTTTCGTATTTTTAGTTTCACCATGGGGTTTCACCATTTGGCCAGGCTGGCCTTGAACTCCTGACCTTGTGATTCGCCTGCCCTGGCCTCCCAAAGTGCTGGGATTACAAGCACGAGCCACCACGCCCCGCCAACTGACTATATTCTTAACAGGAAAGAACTTCTATTTGATTATTAGATAAGAACCAAACATCTCACTTCGGTCTGCACATCTCATGATTAGAAGCTCCCGCGACTAGCTCTGGCTGTGTACTTTTCACACTTTGTTGCTCCTGCACCAGCCACAGACATCTGCTGCCTGGTGCCCTCAGACATGTCATATTGTTTTACAACCTCTGACCTTACACTTCTGTGTCGTGATGTCAGGTGGGTTTGCAGAGTGAACAGTAGGAGGACTTCTGGAAGCCCTTCCTCCCCGAGGACAAGCAGCAGTAGCCTATTTCCAAAAGTGACTGCGACCATGTGAATATCTCCCACTGAATTCACTCGAATATGTTCCCAAAGCTAATTTGGCCCGTAGCCACTCCATGCTGCCTGGCCAGAGAGGAAGTGGGATGGGGAGGAAGTCAGAATAGAAAGAGACAATTATCTTAACCAATTACAGATACAATGTCTTCTGCAAATTTTACCAAAAGATGTAATCATGTGAATTTAGACCCTGAGGCATCATCTTCGTTGGCCTAGTGGTAAATCCATCTCTGCTCTGGCTCCTGACATGGTCCTAGTTCCACCAAAACCCTAGGAATAAATATTTGTAATGGTGACTCAACTGCTTGTGAAAATAGACATAGTGGACATAAATCTGAATACACACTCTGACTCTGACTAGCCCTCTGTCTTTGGGCAAGTGGCTTATCTGCACTTGAAACTTAGTTTCCTAATCTGTAAAATGGAAACAATGACACCAATTTCCTGAGGCTGCACTGAGGATTAAACAAGATGTCATCAGTGAAAGCCAAGTACAAAGCTATTGGCGTTGCTGCGGTTGCACACTGAATGAATGAGTGGAAAATGGGGATGTCTGGAAGCCAGCCCCCAGCTTCCTGTGCTAACAACCTCTAAGGCGCCTTCAGCTCAGAAACACCCTATGATTCAAAATCCTCATAGAAAAAAGTCAGGGAAGGATTTAAAGAAATTGTTCCATATGATTTTTCACAGGCTCGTCAGTGACTCTGTGTGGGTCAAAGAAGATTAAGGGCCTCTGGAAATTCAAAGGCTGATTACATCAAATCCTATCCCAGGAGCCAAGAAGGGAGTGTGCACCACAGCTCAATATTCTATGCACAAGCCAGGAGCTTTTAGATAAGCATTTTGGGGGAGCTAACAGAAGGTGAGGGGTTTCCGTAAAGCCATGACTTTAAAACAAATCCTCCGAAGTACAGAGAGCTGAGCTCTGCTCACCACCTCCAAACCCAGCAGTTCCCTCCCTGAGGCTGTGGCCTGGCCCCAGTCTCAGCTCGGACACCCCAGCCACTGATGGAATCCAATTCCTTCCGGCAGCCTCTGAGGGCCAGAAGAACTCAGAAAGGACAGCCTGGGAGGCTGATCATCTCCTGACTTGTCTTCATTCCTGGTGCCTCCTCCAAGCTCTGCTAAAGGTGAGGGGGTGGGGATGTCTCTGCACTAAATGGGGGACAAATTAAGTGGCAGCTTAAGTCTTGTAATAGGTCAGGCAGGTGGTGATGTGAGTGATGCATCTTCAAGACGGTGATCCATCTTCCCCGTCTCCAGAGAGAATGACAGCTCAGCAGAGAGAGAGGAGCACTCTGCGAGGATGGAATCGAGAAGGCTGCCCCTGCAGCCCAACCCTGCTCAAGGCCTTCAGAAGGTCCCCTGGAGCTTGAAGTACCTGCAAAGAGCAGGATCCTAGGAGCCAAAGGAGGTCTCAAGAGCGTGGACTGTTTTTCTCCGCTGCAGAGTCATAGTCATTGTGTTCCTATTGTGTGTCAGACACACACTCATTTAACCTCGCCACAGTCCAGCAAGGTAAGGCTTATTACAGGTGGGAAAATTGAGGCTCCAAGAGGTTACAATGACTTTCCCAGGGTAACATAGAGCCTGAATTCACAAACAGGTAGGGATCTCTGATTACCGCAAGATTGTTGGTTTATTTGTTCTGATCAAAGAAGTCTTGGCTGAGTCTTAAGCACATGCGTATGGACCTGCCCAGGCACGACCACCTTGTGTTCTCTAAGACAGCAAACATTCAGGGCTCCGGAAGAAAAAAATCAAAGGAAAAGCTCCTCAGAAAATTGATCAAAAACAGCAAATAACAGCCAGGGGTGAACTTATGCTGTCTAGACTCAGCAAACAGATGTGGGGCTCAGCAGTTGGCCTGCACCAAGCTCGTGGCAATCTGCCAGTTCCAAACTGGCAAGCTAAGGGCTTTCTTGAAACCCACTGCTCATGTCAGACTCTGGGGTTTTTGTCTTTCTAAGCCCCACCCTTGCCCTTGGTCCAGGAGGTGGCCTTCACAGGGGCTGCTCTCCTTCAGACTTTGCTACCCATAAATCCCAGTGCTCGCACTTGTCCCTAAGTCATTCCGTGACAGTTAATCCAAAGGCCCCATCGTACATTGCCTAATCCCTGATGGTTGAGGTTATCTCTGCCTTCCTGTGCGGTAAAATCAGTTTACTTTTTTCCTCTTTCATCAGTTTGTTTGCATTGAGCTACTGCCTAATTAAACTTTCCTCTCCAGCTTCATCCCCTCAAATCTAACCTACACATCACTGGCAGATTAAATTCACCAAAGCTCAACTGTGATCACATCAGCCCCTACCCACAATCCTTCAATAGGAGCTCCCCTTTGCACAAGGTTACTCTCTATTCCAATATTCACATCACTCTTCATTCAAGCCAGACGGAGCTACCTTGTGTCCCCTGAGGAGAGAGCACATCTCACCACTATTGGGAGTTTTGGTCCACATTTATGGAGGCAGGGAGAGCTGAGTCCCATGGGGGAGGCTCAAGGACCACCTCAGGAATAGAAGAAGTGAGCCAGTATCCATGAGAACATCTGAGGTCTCTCTCCCAAGGGAGTCGGTAGCCACAGACCAGGGCCAACAACTGCAAATTCTGAGATTCAGGAGCATTTTGTTCACCCACATCTGTTCTCTACATTTGTGTCTTTTTCCAGAAAAACCATTACAAGAGAAACAGCTGCAGGGTGGGAGTGCCTGAAGGATGAAGTGGCAGGATCCCATTCTGTAGCATGTGGAGGAGTCCCCAAGGGGGAGAGTGGCAACTGAAAGGGAAACAAACCAGGCCAAATGCCTGGGGAGGGCCGGCAGGAAAAGTCAGCCAGGGACAGACAAATGGTCCTGTGGCTCAGATGTGGGGCAGGCTATCCAGTGCTGGGAATTATCTCAGGACAGCAGTAAGTACTCTTTGTACACCAGTTGAAAAAGCAAACAGATACTGAACAAGTGAAGAAATCTTCCGCCACTCTACCCGGCAGCTGTCCAGTGCTTGTTTCCATAGCATCTGGGCCTCTGCACCATCTGCACTGTGAGAAACGTTAGCCACCTTGCTTCCAAGGGCTCTGCCGGCTTTGGTGTTCTATTTTTTTCTTTTCTTTTTTTCCCTTTTCTCTACTACATGGAAATAAGGCCTGGGAGGATGGGGCCATTTTCAGGCTTGAGAGCACACGTTCCCAAGTAGGCTTTGGAGCAGACTTCGTCTTAGCGAGTCAAAGTGAAGTGAGAAATGAAGGTGATACGTGTTTGTGCTTCACATGTTCCTCTATTTGCTTTCAACATGGACAATATTTAATAGCACATGCAGCTTCTAAATCCTCCTGATATTTCTGGAACTGAGGATTGCTGGAGGCCTCATGTAAAAACGGAGTCCAAATTGGTTTCTTTTGTAAGAAAGGCAATGGCAAGGAAGGAGGCAAACCTAGGTGGCCAGTGGCCTTTCCCCTCCGTTCTTCTCTGCCTGTAAGTGCGTAATTGCCATCCTCAGAGCAAGAAATGCAAAGAGATGTCAAGGGTAGTTTGAACCCCAAAAGTGACAACGTCATGTGCTGGCTTGGAGCTAAGCATTGGGCAGTAATGACCATAATTTAGTCTGGTTTCTACTTATTATTACAGAGGCTGTTAACTGTAACAGAAGAATGAAAATTGCTGGGAGAAGGAAGTAGAGAAACAAAATCGATCCAGGAAATTGGAAAATAAGTGAAATGAACAACAATCAGGCTAAAATAACTACCAGGAAAGGAGAGAGAAGAAAGGGCACACCAAGGGCTTAGGTAGAAATTCACAGGAAGCCCATTGGCGAGGTCTTCTTTGCATCTCTTCTGAGGGATGACCCAGACTGAAACTAGCATATTCCCTGTGTGTTCTCAATGAGAGATGAGGATGGCAGGGCTGTGAAGACACTCTGCCCCCTTTCTTAGAGGAGAAATCATTCACTGCCAGGTCCAAGGGAAGATAGACACCCAAAAGAGCCCTGGCTGCCTGCCTAACAGGACTCAAATCCATAAATGGAGAGATTCTGGAATCTTCACACACCAATTAATAACTAAATTTGGCAAAACCACAGCCCATGACTTAAACCAGAAAGCAGCAGTCTTTTGCAGTAAAAGGCCAGCTAGTATATATTTCAGACTTCGGTCTGATGCAATGACTTTGCATGGTTCCTGATGCAACGACTTGACTCTGCCTTGTAGTAAGAAGGCAGCCATACACAACAACATTAACAAGCGGCTGTGGCTGCCAGCCAGTAAAACTTGCTTTACAAAAACAGGCAGTAGGTCACATTTGGTTCATGAGCCATAGTTCTCCAACCCCCGATTTACATAATAATAACAAATCCTACTTAACGGCACTTTACCATTTACACAGCACCCTTCCTCGCTTAGTCACTGGGTCATCTCTGTAATCTGTGAGGAGGCAGAGTAGGAGTCACTAGACTCATCTGACAGATGAGGAATTGGAGGTTACACAAGGTCACACAGCCTGTGGGCACCAAAAACCGGGACATTGCCTCCCTGTGCGTCTTGGACCCCTGCACGTTTAGCTTGGCTCCTAGTCCTGCTGCCTCCACCTTCCAAGGATCTCAGGCTGAGCTGTGCCACTTCCATTATCCCTGTCTCTGTCCTAGCCCATCTTGTCTTTCATAGGAAATTTCTAACAGTCAGGTTTGAGCATGTCACATTTCTGCTAAAAGCCCATCCATATCCATCCATGACCTGCAAGCTAAGGTCCAACCATCTTGGCCAGGACACAGGACTGTCCTGGCTCTGGCATCTGCCTGACTCTTCGCCCCTTGCTGTGATTTCCTAAACCTCAGTAATTTTAAACAGCATCACATGCCTCCAAGTGCTATGGTAAGCCTGAGCCTTTGCCTTCACTTGCTGTGCCAGAAAGTCTAATCCTGCCCTCTCCCCCTTAATCACACCAGGATTTCTTTGCTAAGGAGGCCTTGAAGGTTTAAGGGATTAAAATGTTCCCAGCAATTAGAAAACCTGGGTTCTAAGTCTAGCTCTGCCAGGAACCAGTGGGCCTCTACCAGTGAGCCCACCCTCAGCACTCAACTCAGCATCTCACCTTGGAGGGTGCCTTCTGACTCATCCCCACACTAGCCTGCCAGGGCTCCCGGGGATTGTAAAAAGCCCTGCTCTGTCTGTTGCCTGAAAACTTGATGCATTCGGGCAGAGATCCTCTTAGTAACCTTTCTATTCCCAAGCACATGGGCCAGTACCTGGTACAGAGCAGACGAATAATGAATGCTGATTGACTGGATGGATAAATGAATGAATCAATGAATGAAGTTCATAGAAGAGAAAACAAATTTTCACATGGACTTTTACTAATAAAGGGTTAGGCTGAACAGAGAGAAAACTTAAAAACTTTTTTTTTTTTGCTTAAATATACAATTTAGACAATTCCCCAGTTGTGCTTCCAATTACTTAGATTCTAAATGACAGAATTTGCATTCTGTAAGACTACCTGCTAATATGCTGATGCTGCCTGATTTGCAGGTAAGTAGCAGGGAAAGGTCTTTGCATGGCTGAGTTCTCTCACATTGATAAAGAATCAGCGACAGCTGACTTGACAATGAACTCCCAGCTCAGAAACCCCCCGGTCCAATTATTTCAGCTATACTCAAGCCTATTGACATTACACACACAGAAGAATGAACAGCAAAACCTATTAATGAGGTTTTTCATAAGATAGAAAAATAAACACAATCTGCAGGAAAGCATACTGACAAGGGGCTCAGCAGAGTATAGAATTAAGATTTCACAAAACAACTAGAATGTCAGGGTTCTTTCCTAGAGTGGCCATGGAACATGAGGAGACTCTATGAGTTGAAACTCCAAAGTCTTTGACCTGACTCAGATCTCTGCAAGTCACTTAGATAAGACTCTGTTTTCTCCTCTGCATAATGGGGGTTATAATCTATGCTCTGCTCACCTCACAGAATGGTTGTGAGGGTTAAAAGAGATGATAGTTGTGGCCTTATTTTCTAAATTGTAAACAACTATAAAGAGGTGAGGAGTTACCCTAGCTTTCATGCCTCTGATCAATCTGGCCATTATTTTTCACTGAAAGGCATCAGGATGATTCCCATATAAAGACAGTGCTTTGAACATTTAGCCTTCTGTTTGAAATAAAACATAAATACATTTGCTAGTACCAAAACATAATTGGGGTAAGGCTAGCACACAACAACGAAATGTCATATGCTAATAGAAACTCCCTAAGGGATGGTGTATCAAAATCAGATTTCAAAGGCAAGAGCCCATTCTGACCAATTAGCAAAGACTGATCAATTTCTAAATATGATTTCCTCCCAAAATAAATATCAAAATCTCTGTCATGTATTTCCCAACATTTCTGAAGCCTGCAAATCAGACAAATCAATCCAGGGAGCTATTGTTGACCACCAACGCCATGTGAGGCACTGTGCTGGGATCTAAAAATACAATGCGACATGATCCTGAGCTCACAGTCCAACAGGGCGACAGTGAAGAGAATAAGTATTCCAGAACAGTGGGAGAGGAGCTGACGCTGAGATCTGAGCAAAATGCTGAGGAAGCACAGAGATAGAAGCCATTCTTTGCACATGTTTGGGCAGTAACTTTCCAAACCACCAGTAACATGGCTGCCCATGGTGCAGTTGGAGTGGCCTTGCAGTGTTTCATTTTGTTATCAGAGAGCATGCAGAAGTGCTTCCCATTTTGCCACCCAAAATGTCTTTCCCAACTTTTTTCATTTGATTGTTTTGTTTTGTTTTTTTAATTTAAAAAAATGTGGTGTATACATATACATATATATACATCCAGTCCCATTGTATATATACATCACATTTTTTAATCAATTCATATGTCAACAAACACTTAGGTTGTTTCCATGCCTTGGCTAATTGTGAATAATGCTGCAATGAACACAGAAGTGCAGATATCTCTATGAGGTGCTGATTTAATTTCCTTCAGGTATATACCTGGAAATTGGAGCTAAATCACAAAGTAGTTCTACGCCAAATTTTTTGAGGAACCTCCATATTGTTTTCCATATGGCTATACTAATTTGCATTCCCACTAACAGTCTACAAGAGTTTCTTTTTCTCTACCTCCTTGCCAACACTTACTGCTTTTCTTTTTGAAGACAAAGGTTTGTAGACAAAGCCTGTAAGAGAGTGTGTACCCCCTAATTTCAGCAGACCCAGGGCTTCCCTGTGTCCCATCAGTCCACATTCAGCTTTCACCAATTAGTGAGCTCTTCCAGCTGAACTATTGCTACTCATGTGTCTATCTCAGGTGAATGTATGTTCATATTTTCTCTCCCATAGGCACTGTCTCTCCTTAGACTCCTCACAAGTCATTACCTTCATGACCTCAGCTCTCCAATGGTTTCAAAAGCAGTCATGCATTTGAAATAAGCCCAGTTCTTTTTCATTGCAAAGGTGGCAGTAATACTCCTTTCATCTCTCTACATCCTGGGGTGGAAGCTGGATTCAGTATGTTTTCATAGCTAATTTTTATTTTAGTTCTTAAGGCTTAATTTGAATGAGATACAAATCTATTCTAACTGGAATGTCATATTCCAATTCATATAGTCTTAAAACATTTTTAAGAATATAAAAAATCTCTCAATATATATCAACCTCCAAGAAATGTTTTTAATCATTGTACACACATAATTATAGAATTTGGGAGGATTATCACTTAGACCCAACAAACACAAACTTTGAACACTACTCTTCAGGTTCCTGAAGCAATTATAATGAGAATAATTTTAAGAAGGACAGAAAACTCCCTTTCTGGAATAACAAGAAGTGGCTGGTGCTGTGAGGAAGTGGGGAAGTCACTCTATTTTTATTTTATATATTTTTTTGCCACTTTAATACTAAGAGTGGTTTTATTTTTAGTTCACTTTTAATTAGTTGTACAGAAGAAGAAAGTTGAGTCAGTTGCAGGCAGCGGGGAAAAAGAGTTATTCTGGCCAACTGCATACTAACTAGAGTCTGGAACCTGGTGAATGGGCATGAATTTAATTAATGACTAACTCTAAGATGGGGGCCTGGTCTTAGTAAATGTTCCCCAGGTGAATACTGTGCCTTCAAGGGTCGGTTTCAGAGAGGCAGCATGGAGAAGAGAGGCAGAGGCACAGAATCACAGCAAAAGGGCTCCAGGAAGACCTATAACTGGTCCAGTCAACATCATCAGGGGAGCAGCAAGACACCACGGGCCTGCTGGTGGGACTTCTGACTGCTAGGCCAGGCAGATGGGAAGTTTACACTCTAGGTTTCTGAGCAGCAGAGATGTTTCCTAAAGATGAGTCTTTCAAGCAAGATGGATTGAAGCAAGGAGCTTGATTCAGGCAGTAGAGCCTAGAGATTAAGTGATGAGGGTCCTGCCTAACCTGCTGGCAATAGGATTGAGACAGAGGTTTGCAACACATGATGAATGCAAAGGAGAATGAATTGTTTTATTGCCTGAATATAGTGAACAAGGGAGAAGGAGGCACAGATGGTTCAGGTTCTATGCCTCAGCCTTGCCTCTGCAGAGATGTGGTGCTGACGGAGAGGCCCATTGGCTGAGGCAAACCAAGTGGCAGGTGAAGGCTGGGCCCACGCAGGAAGGCGGGGCTTATGCAGGTGAAGGCTGGACCCCTGCAGGTGAAGGCTGGGCTTATGCAGGTAAAGGCTGGGCTTATGCAAGTAAAGGCTGGGCCCATGCAGGTAAAGGCTGGCCTTATGCCAGTAAGGGCTAGGCCCATGCAAGTGAAGGCTGGGCCCGGGCAGATGAAGGCTGGACCCATGCAGGTAAAGGCTGGGCCCGTGCAAGTGAAGGCTGGGCCCATGCAGGTAAAAGCTGGACCCATGCAGATGAAGGCTGGGCCCATGCAGGTAAAGGCTGGGCCTGTGCAGATGAAGGCTGGGCTCATGCAGGTAAAAGCTGGGATTATACAGGTAAAGGCTGGGCCCGTGCAAGTGCAGGCTGGGCCCATGCAGGTGGAGCAGCCTGTGCACCATAGGAGAGAACACGAACATGTGCTCTGCAAGCAAGCAGACCTAGATTACCGTCCCATCTCTGCTAATCACTTGCTGTGTGACGTCAGGCAAGTTACCTAACTTCTCTGCCTTGGGTTCCTCAACTGTAAAATGGGGATACTGACCTCAAAGCATTTTGTGAAGTCTAAATTAGAAAACGTTCATCGGTTGCTTTGGCTGGTGCCTGGCTCACAGTATGAAATCAATAACTGAGTCACAATTGTTTAAGTTTGCGTTCAGCAAATGGCTAGTGGAGAACTCCTGCTGGGCCGAGAACTCCTGCCCAGCAGTGGGGAAACAGCAGGGAGAAAAACAGACATTGTCCCTGCACTCTCCTGGAGCTATAAAGCACCAAGCACTACTGATGGCAAGAGCAGCCCTAGAGGCAGGGAGAGGAATGAGCTGGCACATGGAATAAAATGACCCTGCAGTGGGGACAGCAAGGCTGGGGAGGCAAAAAGGCAAAGCAGGCCCTGCGTGCAGTTCCACTTCCAGTCCATCCGTGCCGGATGCTCTTTCTCTCTGCTTGCAAAGTCCAATGTGCAGGGCACACACCCAGGCCCAGGTGGGAAACAGCCGCATCTTTTCTTTCTGTCCACTTCAAAGAATGCCATGCCACCTTCTCCATCAGCTCAGCCCCCAGGCCTCCTCTCCAAGGATTGAAGTGCTAAATGGTGGCCTTGTTTCCGGTCCCAGGAAGTGGGATGGTATCAGGCTTTGCCTGGGAAGACACTGGGTCCTTCTTCTCACGCTGAGAACCACCTGTGCCTCAGTCCCAAGTCAAGTGTGTACTCCTGCTCCACCCAAGGCCAGGCTGGCAGGGACTGGGCTCAATAACCAGAGACCACCACTGAGTTGCCAGGCTGCAGCCACTGTCCTGACCTGGGACTGGGCTCTAACAAGACAGCTACTTCCTTCTTGCTGAGACTACGCTCCCCACAAGCAACTCCTTCAGTCCTGATTCCTGGCCCTGCATCAGTCTCTTCACTCAACACATATCCCCAAGTCCTGCACTGACCAGGTGCTGTCCTGCACATGCGGGCTCAGCCAAACAAGACACTGTCCCTCCATCAACAAGCTCGCTGTCTAGGCCAATCACTGGGAGTGAGGCACTGTGGTCAGTGTGTGGCAGAGAGAAGGGAGCACTGGGGCACCCAGGAGAGGCTCCCAGCCCAGTCCAGAGCAGGGGCCAGGCCAAAAAGCCATCTTAAAGGAACTAGCACCTACATTGAATCTCCAAGGAAGACCAGGAGTCAGCCAGGCGAAGGGACTTTGCAGGCAGGTGGAGAGAGGAGGTGACATTTAAGGAATTGTGAACTGCTCGCTGCCGCTGAGGCTTTTTCCAAACCTGGGGTGATGCCTCATACACCAGTTTGGTCCAGGACTCAAGGCCGGCAGCTGCGACCCTTCCACCTGCACCCCCAGCTCCCTGAAGCCAGTCACCCGCCTGCCAAGAGCTCAGGTGGCACCTGTTCCTGGACTCCCTGAGTCAGGCTTTGGCCACCTGCAAGGCCACCACTGCTGGCTCCTGCCAGGCCTCCCACATGCCACCACCTGCTGGGCTGCCTCCTCTCATTTGTCATTGTCCTCTCTGGGGCCTTGCCTTCTGGGCTTGTGCCCACCTCCTGCAGCCTGGAGGTCCCTGCTACTTGGTCAAGGCTCAGTGACTCATCACCTGTGGGACCCCAGGCCTCCTGATGTGGCCCTTCTGAGCTCTTGATAGGGAGAGGAGGGGTTTGCTGAGCAGTGGAGGCTCCTGAGGGGCTGTTAAACAACTCTCCTCCCAGGATGTCAGCAGACAGGCTAGTGAATCTAAAACAGGAAACTCAAGGCCATTTTCTTTTGGAAATGGTGTTGAATTCCCAGCCCAGAGGGGCAGGGGAGCAGCCAGAAAGAGGGCCAGATAGATCCTCGTGCTCCTTCGGGGGCTGCTGTCAGACGATGGAGACAAGTGCCCACTGTGTCCCAGCATGGGGACCACAAGGCCAGCCACGCACCCTGCCCTCAGCCACTGAGCCAGGGGAGCTTCCAGGGGGCCTTGTAAACAAGCTGGCGACAGGGCCGGGAAGCCAGGCAAGAGCCTGGGGAGTGACAGAGGCAGACAAAAGCTGGAACACAGCTTTGTCCAGGTGCGCATGTCAAGCCAGGACATGCTAGCCGCAGGTATCTGCTGGCTGCCCTCGGCCATGCAGCTGGGGACTTGGGGACCTGAGAGCCCCAAGACCTGGATTTTAGCACAACTGTAATTTGAACAAGATATGTGGCCTCAGACAAATTCCGTTTCCTCTCTGAACCTCAGTTGTGTCACCTGTGAGTTAACCAGAAATCTAGCTTTCTTCAACCACTCGAGGTCTCTGACTTCCCTCCCATTTCAGCTCAGCAACGTCATCCTGAAGCTATCCCAGCACACTCGAACCAAAAAGAAGTTCCCCTCCCATGCGCCACTACATGGTATATATCCTTTTTTTAAATTTTTTCTTTCTTTTATTTTTCTTTCTCTTTTTTTCTTTTTCTTTCCTTCTTTCTTCTTTCCTTTTTTTCATTCGCCAGATCCAATCTCTGCTATGGGTCCACAGTCCTTTATCCAAAACCCTTGTGGCTTCAAAGTTAAATATTTTCCTAATTTTAGAAGGGAATGGAGTGCCTATAATGTATATCAAACCACACCCAGCAAGGTCTCAGGCAGCATCCCACCATTAAGCACAGCAATTCTGCTGCAAAGTATTTGAATATGACACACACATGAAATGGGATACTGATGACTCGGCTCAGATGAAAGAATTGGGATTGCAATCAGGGATTGTGATACCACAGCAGACAGTGATGATCTCAGCAGCATCTTAGGGAGCATACTCCCCTCTGGAGCCCTAGAGCTGGGCTACAGGCCAGCGTGGATGAGAAGGGTTTGTGCAAATACAGCTGATGGCAGAGTGACAGCCTGACAGGCCCCAGCCCTGGGTGCCTGGAACCCGGGTTCCATCTGGGTTTCCACCTCTAATCTGCACGCTTGAGCAAGTTCTGTAACCTGAGCCTGAGTTCTTGTGTCTGTAAACAGAAATCATGATGCCTACCACAGAGCTGTAGGGATGAAATGAGACCAGGTTGAAGGAAGGAGGGAGAGAATGATAGAAATGCAAGGAAAGGGGACTGGGGGGTGACTGCCCAGCCCTGGTTTTCCTCCTCACAGTAGTGCCAAGAGTCTCCTTGTCTGAATTCTCCCCTACCCAGTAAGCTGCTCAGCATATTACTTATCCTTTTCTCTCCATTTCTCAGTACCTAGCAGAGAGTCTTGCAAATTAATGGGGTCTCAATAAATATTTGTTCAATAAGTGAATGAGAGAATCAATTATGGAGGATGCACTCAACGATTATTTGGTGGCTGAACAACGAAGACATCCCACATCTGCCTGTTCCTGAGACTGTGGCCTCTTGTTCGGCTGTCTGTTCTCTAAGCAGCCACCCCAACCTGTCATAACCACTGTGAATAACAGCCGCAGAGCCAGTACACCTCAATCAGTGACCTGAACAGAATTGTGTGCAGGGAGCTGGCCAGGTGAAATGTGTGTGGAATTTATAGCTACACTGGTATTTCATGAAGGTGCCACAGAATAGAAGGAGGCAAGCTGCAGGTGGCTGACAGAAGCACAGGATTTTAAGGTGGACACACCTGTTTGTACATTCCAGCTCTGCCATTCACCAGCTATGACCTTGGAGCAGGAGACCTAACCCTCCAAGGGCCTCAGTCTCCACTTTTATATGGACATAATAATAAAATCTGCCTCCCAGAGTTGTGGAATTAAAATCAAGAAGTAAGCAGCCAGAAGGAAGCTGTTATTATTTTACATCGCAAACCATTCCTCTTCAGAGCAAGACACAGTGTACCATCACCATAATTAGGTTAATGGCTTTAATACGTATTGCAATTAAAGCACCTATATTTGTCTCAGGCATTTTATCACATATCATTTGATGCCATTCTGTCACCGTGGGACTTCCATCAAGTCAGTGATTGATAGATGGCAGGGACCAATTAAGGAACAACCCAGAGTTATTGTGTCTTTTTTGCCTCTTGCTATAAATGTTCTTTCTCTAGTCTCAGAATGTTCAACCCCTACCTCTTTTTTTTTCAAGAGCCAGTTAAAATGAGCTCTTCCCCATGGAAGCTTTCTTTCTTTTCCCTGGTTGCAAGTGTTCTCTCTTCCTTCTATGCTGCCTGTAAAACTCTGATAACTTATTATAGTGACAATGGACTTATCTCATCTACCTTCTTGACTATGAGTATCTTGAGAGCAGAGGCCAGACTTTACTCATCTTTGTCTCTTTAGTGTTCAACATAGACAGTGACACTTAATCTAGCCCCAGCAACTAAGCAATCCCATGATAGAAAATTACAATAAAAGGAAAACTGCTTCATAATGCATTGGGAAATGAATACAGGTCATGTGGCATCCCAACAGCAGCTCTCTTTTCAGTGGGACATTTATGACTAAGACCATATCCATATATTTTCCTTGACTCTAGTGGTTTTCAAACTCAGGTGTGATGCCTCTGGAAATACCAGAAGACTTTTCCAGGAATCTCCAAGCATAGAGAATGTTGAAGGAATCAGCTCCCCACTCATGGATTTCTGAATACCCTTTCCTCAACTTGTACCCAAGAACACTCCACGGTATAGGCTGGCACGATGACCTGGTGGCTGTCGTCTCCCACCTCCCCTTTCACAGCCATCCCTTCCCCACCCTATAAAAGAAAGACATGCCCCTAACTCACCTCGAATGTTGTGGCTTTGCCTCTGCAGCATACAACAAGAAACTACATGTGTCCAGAGGCCTCATCGACTCATGACACTATAAAGCACCTAATCCAGCTAAGACTTCACTTCCAATGACATTTATGTTTTATATTTAGTTAACAGGTATAAAAATTTGCAATATGTATATTTTGCTCTGATAAGTTGCATATTAAAAATAATTGTAATAGCAATCCAATGCAGAAAACAATGTTAACACTTAATAGCCTTAATAGATAAGGGAATTTAAAAATTTAAATTTCAAATTATATGCATATTTTTGATGCAGGAATCCTCAAAGTATGATAGGGTGAATAACAAAAAGATTTTTAAGTGTAAAAATATGTTAATTTAAAATTCTGAAGGGGAAGAACAGTAGAAATTCAAAGTACAGGAGAGAAAGGAAAAACAAATTTGTAAGTGTTAAAAATAATTTATGTATTGTATTTTTTAAAGGATGATGGTGCATATAAAATAACTCTTACATTCCTGTGCATGCATTAAAAGAAGAGATGGAGCATTTTTGCTATAAAATGTCAATAGTTTACAGTAAGCCAGAAATTATGTCATTTGCAGCTCTTTATAAGCATGATTAAAATGTTTAGATATTAAAGAAGAAGGTACATTGATTTTAAAATTATTTCAGAGGTATGCCATATTCCTCTTATCTGGACAACAAACAAATGATCTGATAAAATCTGAGATAGCAAAGATAACAAGGAAAATACTAACCATGAAATAGAAAGTCAAAGAGAATAATATCGCATGCATAGAGGGCAAGGCAGGAAGGAACTCAGGGGCCCCAGATTCTAGCCCTAGCTCTATCTCCAAGTGTGTGACCTTGAACCAGGTCTAAGCCTCGGTTCACCCACAAAATGAGGGAGGTGGACAGGAAGTTCTGTAAGTCTCTTCTTTGGTTCAAAATATTCCATCACCTAATTTTGAGAAAGCAGCAACAACTCAGAGAGGTAGAATAAACCCCAAATTGACACAGTCTGAGTTAAACTTCTCAGATAAAACTCTCCAGACCTGAGTCCTCCAGAGAAAGGGAGATGAAAGAAGCCTAGTGTCCTTTCCCCTGCAGACCCGGGGGGATCTCGGGGTCCAGTTATCAAAAAGAAGCCTAGGGCACGTCCATGTGGAAAAAAAACTGTTCCATGTGGAGAAAGATTCAAGAAACATGACTGGTAGATGTACCATGTGACTCTGAACATCCGGTTATCTAAAGAAGCCTAGGGCAGCCTGCACACTTACCTCAAGACACGTTAGAGAAGGAAGGAAGGAAAAGGAGCAGAAAGAGTAGGCACCTCTTCTTTCTGAGTCACACTTCAAATCCTAGCAACAAAAGAGGCAGCTTTACTTCCCTCCTTGTGAAAAAAAAAAAATAGAAGAGGGGGACTAGCCACTAGATTTTTGAGGCATTATGGTGGGGTGAGGGAGTGGTGTTTCCAAAACCAATCGAGATCATTGCTTTGTCATGGAGGTCAACAATCCCCTCCAAACAGGACTCTTCAGTTCAATGTATGTGCGCTTTAGAAGCACTCCATGCTACATTTGCTAATTTCTCAACATGCGACAGCCACTCTGTGCTAAGCTCTTCACACACTCTCTTTCCATCATTTCAGCAACTTGAGATAGGTATTACTACCCATTTCATAGGTAAGGAAAGCCATGTGCAGAGAGGTTAGGTAAGAAGCCAAAGGCTAATCAGCTAGTAATACAAAGTCAATGCTGAGGCCACATCTGCTGGTTTCTGAAACCTAAGAGGGAGTAGACTTGAGTTTAAGCAAAGTTCTACCACTATCTACTAGTGTGGCTTGGGAGGGCACTGAAGAAGGAGAAGGTGATCACAACTGCCCACTTTACATAGCTTTCATTCTCACAGCCACCATTTTGTGTAGGATTCTTCTCATGCCCGCTTTCCAGTTGAGGAAACTGAGACTCTGGGCACCTAAATAACTTGTGTATGCAGAATAAGTGCTGTAACCTGGACTCAAACTCCATAACGTTATGGTTTATGTGCACTGTACCCAATTGAAGGGAACAGATGTTGGGAATGTTCACCATCAGCATCTCTGTATCCTTCAGACCAACATAGAAACACACTTGCACTCCTCCTTCTAAAGAACCTCCAGATCGGGCCAACTGATCAGATGTGTCACATGCTCTCCTCTTTGGAAGGCAGCCCATGATGAGGGCCTCCTGGATATGTTTCCAGGGCATCTTTTAAGCATCATTTCCAAGCAGCACTTTCCACTCTGTGCTCCACTGAACACCAGTTTTGTTGCAAGATGTTAATAGAGAGTCCAAAAAACAGAAACATTGTTTTCTGGCCAAATAAATTTGGGACTGAGATTATCACCCTCCTGAGGATTCAGAATGTCCATTAACATGTTAAAAGGCATTTTAAAGTCTTGTGGCAAGGAAAGTTGTGTAACTGTTTAACTGAGATACAGCTTCCGACTTTGGGATATGTCATCTACTATGTCTGGCACTAGAAGATAGACATTCATCCACAGCTCCCCATGTGATGTTGGACTGGATACATTCACTCGAAGCAATGGTGTAGAATGAGAAGAGAAGGAAAGCAAGGGGAAATCACGAACAAGCATCAATATTTTAGGGATGGGTAAAGGAAAATAACAGTAAAAAGCCAAGGGAACAGGAGGTTTCAAGAAAAAAAGACATGATCAACTGTGTTTTCTGCTGCTGAAGGATCTGGAAGAGGAAGACTGAGATAAGAACACCAGTGACCTCCCAGAGAGAGTACTTTGCAATACAGTGGGTGAGGTGCAACCTGACTGCAAACAAAAGTAATCATGAGCCCTTCTTCTACCTTCTCCTATTCATGCTCCTCTCCTCTACTCTTCCTGAATAATCCAGTCCTAAAGCCATTGAGTGAGGCTGACCAAGGTGGACATCTTCTCCAGCTGGGGGGCGGGGGGCTGGAAGAGCTGCAGTGTCCATATGAGGGGTATAGGAGTCAGAGAATGGTGAGGAAAGCATCCACACAGACAGGACAGGTGAGGATGTCAAGGGATGGCCAAGAACAGGAAGTAAGAACCTGAGCCTGGAGCAGCAGAGCAGCCCAATGAGGAGGTGTGTGCACGGTCTATGGCAAGGATGGGAGGTTGTTTACACATAGGGAGAGGAACAAGTTAGAAAATACAGCATGGCAATGGGAGTCGGGTTTCTCCCTTTTAGAGAGTCACAAATATGGAAAGGAAGAGATCTAGACTGGACTTCTTTGTGTTGGATTAGAACTACATATATTGTGAAAATGTATGGTTTTCAATATACAGCAGATCCCAAAATGCAGTTGTAGTTTTAAGCTTTGATACCATCATAGTATAAATTCTGCAAATTTGTACACTATTTGAAAGATGATTTACATTCCTTTTACTTGTATTTAATTTTTGTAAATTTTGAACTACACAATTTTAAGTTTTCAGTCCCTCTGAATATAATAAACATTGACTAAAAAATTAAAAATGGATTCAATTATATTATATTTTTTAGAGTCTCCTGGAAGTAAAAAAAAAAAAACTGAGAAACTGTTCCATGAGCAAAAAGATTCAAGAAACATGACTGATAGATGTACCATGTGACTCTGAAATGGATCTATTTTCTCTAAAGGCTGTTTACTGGAACTTTTGGCAAAACCTGAATGGGATAAAGGATTAGATGATAGGAAAGAATCAATGTTAATTGGATGATTTTGTGTGTATATTGTGGTTATGCGGAAGACTGTCCTTCTCTACAGGAAATATTCTCTAAAGTATTTGGGTATGATGGGGTATCAGGACAACAACCTACTGTCAAATGCTTCAAGAAAAGTTTTTTACTGCATTTGTAACGTTTCTAAAATTTGAGACTGATTTACAATTGTTTTTAGTTAAAGAGGAAATGTGGACTCATATGAGACTCCATTTTCTCATCTGTCGAATGGGAGTGTTTGTGTCTATGGAGGTCTATTAAGAAAATAATCATCTGTATTTTACCTGGGAAAATGCTATGCACACATGAGACACTCACTACAGAACATCTGGAGAAACACTGAACTTGAGCTAAGCTTTTGGCAAAGGCTGGCTGTGTCAAAGGCAGGAAGGAACTCCTTGGCTCTAAGGAAGCGGGAGCAGGGTTGAGTGTAGGGTAAGTTTTATGTCAGGTTGCTTTCTTGTGCTCTTCAAAGCAGGTTAGACATCACACTATTCAGAGGCGGGGACCAAAGACCCAGCCCTAATTTCCCTTTTCTTTTTTTTTTCTTTTTTTTTTTTTTTGACGGAGTCTCACTCTGTCTCCTAGGCTGGAGTGCAGTGGTGCGATCTCAGCTCACTGCAACTTTCGCCTCCCAGGTTCCATTGATTCTCCCACCTCAGCCTCCAGAGTAGCTGGGGTTACAGGCACTTGCCACCACGCCCGGCTAATTTTTTATATTTTTAGTAGAGATGGGGTTTCACCATGTTGGCCAGGCTGGTCTTGAACTCCTGACCTCAGGTGATCTGCCCCCCTGGGCCTCCCAAAGTGGTGGGATTACAGGTGTGAGCCACCGCACCCTGCCCTAATTTCTAATGGTCATCGACATTTGCAAAGCCAGCCTAGACCTGTGGCCTCAGCCTGGCTGTCAGGCCCCTCAGGCAGCCTTACAGAAACAGCTCATCTTTCCAGATGCAAGCACTCCGTGTTCTCAGCAATAACAATTGTGGCTTCATTGCAAAAATCCAAAACACCAAATACAGAAATTTGAAAAAAAAAAAAACTGTTGCAGGATAGCTGAGTGATTGGGCAGAAGAGAGAGAGAGACTGTTCTTGGACCTTTGATACCTTTTTTTTTTAAGTTCCAAGTTTATTCTAGGCAATTTTTAAAAATTTATTTTTCCATAAGTTATTGGGGAACAGGTGGTGTTTGGTTACATAAGTTCTTTAGTGGAGATTTGTGAGATCCTGGTGCACCCATCACCTGAGCAGTAGCCACTGCACCATATTTGTAGTCTTTTATCCCTCACCAACCTCCAGCTCTTCCCCCAAGTCCCCAAAGTCCATTGATCATTCTTATGCCTTTGCGTCCTCATAGCTGAGCTCCCACATATCAGTGAGAACATACAATGTTTGGTTTTCCATTCCTGAGTTACTTCACTTAGAATAATAGTCTCTAATCTCATTCAGATCATTGCAAATGCTGTTAATTATTCCTTTTTATGGCTGAGTAGTATTCTATCTCATATATACCAGAGTTTCTTTATCCACTCGTTGATTGACAGGCATTTGGGTTGGTTCCATGATTTTGCTATTGTGAATTGTGCTGCTATAAACATGCGTGCGAAATATCTCTTTACTCCTGTAAGAATGGCCATAATCAAATTATCAAAAAATAGTAGATGTTGGCGCGGATGCAGCAATCAGGGAACACTTCCACACTGCTGCTGGGAATGTAAACTAGTACCACCGCTATGGAAAATAGTGTGGAGATTCCTTAAAGAACTAAAAGTAGAGCTACCATTTGATCCAGCAATCCCACTACTGGGTATCTTCCCAAAGGAAAAGAAGTTATTATTCGAAAAAGATGCCTGCACACCTTTGGTATCTTTTGAGTTTAAAATCATATGAATCGATCAGTGGTTCTCAATGCAGAGCGTGGGAAGAAATTTCGCCCCCTAGAGGACAATGGGCAACATCTGGAGACATTTTTGGTAGTCACAGCTGGGGAGAGGAGTGTTACTGGCAGCTAGTGGGTAGAGGCCAAGGATGCTGCTCAATATTCTACAATGCCCAGGACAGCCCCCACAACAAAAATTGTCCAGTCCAAATTGGTGTCAACAGTGCAAAGGTTAAGAAACCCTATAATTTATTATCTAACAAGAAATATCCACAAATAAAAGTTTGGCTGCTGCTTTGAATCAAAAAGTATATTTCTACCACATGATTGAGCAGGCAGCTGTTGACATCTTAATGGGCTAAAACATGTGCACAACATAAGGTTGAAGTTCCCAGTTCTCAAGCCCAGCGTGACAATATAGAGCATTTAACACTCACCCAGCTTATTCTAATCTAGGTTATTGTACTCAGTGGGGGAAAGATAACATCCTTGAGGCAGAAATGGCATGGGGTAATAGAAAGCAGCTGGGATTATGGGGTCAGGAGGCTAGAATTTAATTTTGGTTCTATTGCTTACAACTTTCACAACTGGCCGGGAATCTCCACTTTCCCTCCTCTGTAATGTGGCGAATGTCCTCAAATTGTTATCTGTTCCACCCTTTAGCTGACTATTTGTTGACTTGTGCACTACATGCCAGGAGATAGATTAAAGCCGACCTCCAAGGCCAAATCCCTTAGGTTTCCTTCTGACCTTCTTGCTCTTTAAAATTTCTATTCCCAGAGGCCTTGCTACAAACACCAGCTTCAGTATCTGCTTCTAGCCCATCTGTTTGAGCAATGTTCTGTCTTCCCCACTGGCCTTTGAACCTCCATGTCTCAAAGGCTCTCTGTTCAGCCCCTGTTTTGGGATTCCCTCTATTTTTCTGATCCCTGGTCCTTGCAAAATCTGTCCCCAGACTGAGATCAATGCAGATTTCACTTCTATATCTTGCAGAGGAACGTGGATTCTTGTGAGATGATTGATACAGAGACAATTTGTAAACTCCAGTGGGCTCCACAAATTTAGGGAAATTGTTTTCATGAGGACAACACCTTACTGTCTCATAGCCTTAGGGCCTGGCACCAAACCTTGTACATAACTGCTGTACAGTAAATGTTCCTTGTTGATGAAGCAGCTCATTATTTGTGGATTTTTTCTTTTTTTTTATTTTTTAGATAATGAATTATAAGGTTTCTTAACCTTTGCATTGTTGACACTTTGGACTGGACCCTGCCCATTCTCATAGAGCCAACCCATACTGGGGAAGATAAGCAGATGCCCCCAGAAGGCACAGTGAGGCCTATCAGGAAATAAGCCCATGCCTGAGTGATGGACAGGGCCCCTTCAGAGACCACCTCACATAGAACCCTGGGAGCCCAACACAGCCAGCAGAGACCTCCCTCGCACTGACCTGATTAGATCCCACCTGGGGAGTTGAACTTTCATGTTTCATAGCAAGTGTACCCAGAGAAAGGCAATCATGTTGGAGAGAGGTCTAGATTCTGTCTCTCATGAGAACAGGCTGAAGAAATCAGAGATACTGGGACAAGAGAAGACTTGGGCTGAAAACTTATTCTGTGAAGCTCTGGAGGCCTGAATTATAATGAAAGAGGAGATTTCAGCTCAGCATAAAGAAAACCTTTCCAGCAATTAGAGTCAGGTGACAGCAAAAAGGCTAAACCACAGGAAAGCATGTATTTGTAGTCATGAACTAATGATGGTAGGGAAGGATAGCAGTGCTGCTAAAAAAAAAAAAAAAACAAAAAAAAAAACAAAAAAAAAAACACTCCACGTAGAAGTGTCGTCATTTAACACAGCAAGCAAATGCCTCATCAAGAGTAAGCTCACCTGGATCCTAGCTCTGCCGCCAGCATGCTGAGTGACGCTGAATGAGTCACCTAATGTTACTAGGCCTCTGCTCAGTCATCTATAAAAGGGGGATAATTGAACCCATAAGCATCAAAATGGAATAAAATCTGTAAGCTCACTTTGGAAAAGCATAAAATGAGATGTGGACGTGGATTTGTGTCTCAAATCTCCATCCCCCCTGCCATGTCCGGGGAGCACATTCCCCGCTTGGCAGCAGCTCCTCCCCACCTGCGTCCCCATGCAGCTCGAGTCTCAGGACCACCACCTGTGCATAAGTGAAAGTGTCTTTAGTGACAGCAGCATGGAGAGAGCTCTTGATTTAATGAACTCGGTGGACTGCATTGGGCTGTCTGCAGGAAGATCATATTTTATTGAAACAAGGCAGAACACAAACACAGGGCATGCTGAGCCCCTGTTTATTCCTCCCCTGATCCTGGGAGGCATCGGTGACAAGCTAGGCGCACACAGGGCAAGCCTCCTGCTCAGGACTCAGTGTTGGGGGTGGGTCCCAGGAGGCAGATGAGGGAGCACACACAGCCCTGCTGGGTCAGTGCAGGGAGGATGGGACTTCGAGTCGGGGAGGGGGAAGAAGGGGAAACTGAGGATCCTAGATCTACTACTTTCTCGTGGGTGATTTAAAACTAATATTGTAAGCTCTCTGAGCCTCAATGTTTTCAGCTGTAAAATTGGGGTGATTATCATAATCCTCCCTTCAGAGGTTGCTGGGAGGATTAAATGAGATAATGATGGACATAGCCTTAATCACAAGAGAAATAAGGGAGGCACAAGCCTCACTGCCCCGACTTCCCAGTAAACAAAATTGGTATAGCTGTCAGACACAACATAGGTGGCTCAAAAGTATGAGAAATCAGCCACATAATTTATGACATGAAAATGGGCTCAATTATTCTGTAACACGTGTAAAAAAAATTACAATGTTTTCACTTATACAGAAAATAAAAACAAAGAGAAGCCTTAAGTACTTGCTTCTGAGAGAGGCTGGAAAGGATCATTCAGGGCTCAGGATGAGATGATAAAACTTGCGTCCCAGGGAATTTGGAAGCAGAGACACAAGACTCACGCTCTTGGTATAAACGTAAGTCTTTTCCATACATGCACGTGCTCACCTGTGTGTGCACACACACATACATTCGGATGTAACTGCAACTAAGGTGTTGACTGAGATGCAGCCTGGTATGAGGAAAAGAACAAGGCTCTGGAGTTCAACCTGCATCCCAGGTTTGGGGTTTTCTTATTAGCTTCATGACTCTGGGCAAGCTGCATAATAACTAATTTTCAAAGCTATCATGAAGATTAAATTAAATCAAATATGTAAATGTCCTAATCTAATGCTTGGCACATAGTGACTATCTGATAAGTGGTAGTTTTAAATGGTAGCTGTTATCTGCATAAATGCATGTGATTTCATTAAAATGCTCCTGTGTGTTGGTAGAAATGAAGCCCATTTGAGCTGATGTCATCAAGGTCACAGGGCACATACATGGTGGTTGGGGTACTAATCCACAGTTTCTGCATCCCAGTCCTGCCCCTGAGAGAAATTCATCAAGCGGGAGTAACATTGCAAACAGCTGGCTTCGCCCAGGACCCCAATAGCATACTCCAGAAGGCTGTTCTCTGGCTCCTTTCCAGCTCTGTGAGTGGTGACAATCCAGAAAGACACCATGTCAGTGTGTTCATGGGAACCATTTGTTTGCCAAATCCCTTCTTGAATACATGGCTAAAACCCTTAGTTTATAATTCTTCACCTGTGGTTTCACAGGCGAAGATAAGCAAACCTTAAAGCAAAGCATTATATCATTGAAGCAGCAAGAGTATGTACATGTCAGGAGAGCAGGGAAGAGGAAGAAAGCCAGGGGTGCAGCATGAAGCAAGACAGTGATCCTCAGCCCTTCCAAGATGTGCAGCCGAGACCCCAAGAAGCACCTTCCAGATTCTTAAAAGGAGAGCAGCCACAGAAGGTGCCATCTGCTGGAATTCAGTTGGGCCATCCCCAGTTTCGGGCAACATTGGGGTCATCCCACATTAATAAGATAGGTCCTTCCGGGATTCTCCTTTGAAAAAGAAAGCTGTGTTACTGCTGCCTGGTTTCTGGTACCCTGTAGCATTTCTCCAAGACTCAGGCTTTACAATCTCACCTGCCACAACTTTGGATCAGAAAGCATGTCTCAGCCATTGAGCTTGAAGGTTACCTCTCTGAGCACCATCTATTATCCTGTGTTATCGCTAAACAGAAAATGTAGTCGGTCAAGCTGCACAGAGCGATGAGATGCATGCCTGAGCTGCCAATTGGGCTATTTATACTAGAGGAAGGATATTTTAAAACCCCATGTCAGTATCTAACCCAGCATGATCCTTTTATGTGCAATTATCCCCCAGTTTGGCATGAAATCCAAATAAATGTTTAGAAATGCTCGAACCTCCAGATGAAAGCTGTAATCAATGTATCAATGATTTTCTTCTAAAGGGCATGCAATCAAAAAGAGGAACCAGCATATTAGAGCAATTAATGGAAATTATAGAGAGTGGTGAGGACAATGGTTTTGCATTCTGGTTTCAAACTTTTTTAGGATTTAGACATTGTCATCTCAAAATTTGTTGTGGCTGACACCTAAACTCTGATTAACATTCATGGTTTACAAAGGACATCACACATGTAGACTGAACATTGCAAATAGTAAAATCCGAAAGACAAGAACCTGCCACATGGAACTTGAAATGTGAACAATATGTAAGCTACATGGCAGAAGGAAACTAAGCAGTCAATCAAAACAATGCAATCAGGAGAGGGACACTAGTCTTAGGCAAGGAGGAGAGATTCAGGAATCCTGGGAATAAGCCCAAGGTTATAAGCCCATGCAGTGCCCTCTGTAGCCAACTCTGTGCCTGACAGATGCATCTAGCTATGGCTTGTTGGGGATTCAGCTGTTCCCCACAAGCAACTTCAAATGGTTTGTCTATGTTGCAAACTTCCCTGTCTAACCCATTGTCAATCCTTGACTCTAAAATCATCCTTCTCGTGGAGTGTGGGCAACTCCAGTACAAATCCGTGTCTTTGTATTTTCATCCTTCAGTTCAGTGCCTGACAGAGAACAGATGCCCAGGAAATGCTTGTGCTTATACAATTATGTGCAGTTAAGAATGGACTTCTCATATCTATTTAATGTTTAGGCAGGACCTCCTTTTTGAATTTCTAGAAATGTGTGTGCATCTTTCAAGGCCCCCTGTTCATTGGCTCATCCCAGGAGCCTTCCTTAAGCTCTGTAGCTCACGGTGGTCTGACCCTCCTCTGAGCTCCAAAATCACTCATGGCCCCATCTTTCTTTAGGTATCTCCATCTAGCCTGTAAGCTCCTGGAGGATGGACAGAATGTCTTTTTGATCATCACATTTTTCACAACTGATTTTTCAATATATAACGTTTTATGGACCAAATTGTTTCCCCTTTCCCAAAATTCATATGTTGAAGCCCTAACCCCCAGCATACCTCAGAATGGGAGTGTATTTGTAGATAGGGACTTTAAGGAGGTAATTAAGGTTAAATGAAGTCTTAAAAGTGGGGCTGTAATCCGATATGACTAGTGTCATTAGAAAGGAAAGAAAGAGGCATCGAGAATGTGCACACACAGAGAACAGGCCATGTGAGGACTTCTTACAAAACATATGCAAGAAGGTGGCCATCTGAGAGCCAAGGAGAGAGGTCTCAGGAGAAACCACATGACCACTGCCTTGATCTCCAACTTTTACCCTCCAGAATCATGAGAAAATAAACTTTTGTTGCTTAAGCCACTCAGTCTGTGATGTTTTGTTATGACAGCCCTAGGAAACTAATATATAAGATATAGAGTGTGGAGCTATCTTTTATTTGTTCTATCTCCCATAAGCAGTAGAAGGGGAAGCTGGGACACAGAAGAAAGAGGGCAGTAGAATGTTCTGTATACGTCTTGCTAGGCCCATTTATTTGGTCTATAGTGTTGTGAAAGTTTGATGTTTCCTTATTGATTATCTGTCTTCGTTGTCGAAAACAGGGTATTGAAGTCTCCTACAAACTGAGCTCAAAGTTAGCAGAAGGAAGAAGATAATAAAGATTAGAACAGAAATAAATAGAAAATAGAAAAACAATAGAAAAAATTAACAAACTGAGTTGGTTTCCTGAAAAGTTAAACAAAATTGGCAAACCTTAGCTAGACTAAGAAAAAAAGAGAAAAGACTCAAAAAAAAAAAAAAAAAATCAGAAACGAGGAGACATTACAACTAATACAACTAAAATAAAGAGATCACAGGACTACTATGAACAATTAAACATCAACAAATTAGATAACCTAGGTGAAATGTATAAATTCTTAGAAACATATAATCTACCAAGACTGAATTATAAAGAAATAAATTGACCAAAGTAGTTTGACATGCAAAAATAGATAAATAAAATAAAGAAACAGAAAAATCTGGACAGACCAATAAAAATGAGAAGACCGAATCAGTAATCAAAATCTGGCCAACAAAGAAAAGTCCAAGACCGTATGGTTTCACTTAGGAATTCTACCAAATATTTAAAGAATAATTAAAATCAATTCTTCTTAAATTATTCCAAAATATCAAAGAAGAGGGAACGCTTCCTAAACTCATTTTATGAGGTCAGCATTACCCTGATACCAAAGCCAGACAAAGGCACTACCAAAAACGAAACAGAACAAAACAAAACAAAAACCCTACAGGTAAATGTCTCAGATGAACATAGATGCAAAAACCCTTAATAAAATAATACCAAATCAAACTCAACAGCACATTAAAAGGATCGTATATCAAGACCAAGTGGGAGTTGTCCCTGGCATGCAAGAATGGCTCAACATATGCAAATCAATTAATGTAACAGAACCCATTTAGAGGATAAAGCATAAATATCACATGTTCATCTCAAGAGATGCAGAAAAAAGCATTTGACAAAATTCAACACTCTTCATAATAAAAACTCTCAACAAATAGGTATAGAAAAAATTTACCTCAACAAAATAAAAATTATGTAAGATATGTTAATTAGTACAAATATGTTGATTCTTTCACGATATATACATATATCAAAACATCAAGTTGTACACCTTAAATATACAAAATTTTATGTTAATGATATCTCAATGAAGTTGAGATATATCAATTATATCAAACCAAAAATAGAAGTCACATATGAAAATCCCAGAGTTAACATTATACTCACTGATGAAAAACAAAAACCTTTTTCTCTAAGACCAGAAACAAAACAAGGATGTCCTCTCTCAGCACTTCTACTCAACATAGTTCTAGAAGTCCTAGACAGAGCAATTAGGCAAGAAAAAGAAATAAAAGGCAGCCAACTGATAAGGAAGAAGTAAGATTATCTGTCTGGAGATGACATGACCTTATAGTAGAAAACCATAAAAACTCCACACACGAAATATTGTTAGAACTAATAAACTCACTGAAGTTGCAGGATACAATATCATCATACAAAATCAGTTGTGTTTCTAACAACAAACTATCCAAAAAGGAAATTAGGAAAACAATCTTATTTATAGTAACAACAAATAGAATAAAACACTTAGAAATAAACTTAACCAAGGAGGCAAAAGTCTCCTTGGACAAAGAAAACTACAACACATTGATTTAAAAAAAAATTAAAGTATACAAATAAATGGAAAGATGCTACATGTTTATGGATTGGAAGACTTGTTACTGCTAAATTGCCCCTACTAAATAAAGCAATCTACAGATTCAACACTATCTCCATCAAAATCCCAATGACATTTTTTACAGACATAGAAAATCCTAAAATTAATATGGAACCACAAAATCCCTGAGTAGCCAAAGCAATCAAAGAAGAACAAAGTTGGAGGCCTCATACTTCCTGATTTCAAAATATATTACAAAGTTATAGTAAACAAAATTGTATGCTACTGACATGCAGACAGAAATAAAGACCAATGGAACAGAATAAATAGCCCAGAAATAAACACACACATTTACAGTCAATTGCTCTTTGACAAGGGTGCCAAGACTACACAATGAGGAAAGGACAATCTCTTCAACAAATAGTACTGGGAAAACTAGATACCTACATGCAGAAAAAAATGAAATTGTTCCTTATCTTATACCGTACATAAAAGTAAAGTCAAAATGGATTAATGATTTATACTTAAGACCTGAAATTATTTTACTAGGAAAAACCTTCATGACATTGATCTCGGCAATTATTTCTTGGATTTGACACCAAATGCATAGTCAGCAAAAACAAAACCAAGCAAATGGGACTATATCAAACCAAAAAGGATTAAGAAAAACCATCACACAGTGAAAAGGCAACCTATGAAATGGGAGAAGATATTCACAAACCATACATTTGTTAAGGGGTTAATATCCAAAACACATAGGGAAATCATATGACGCAAGAGCAAGAAAACAATCCAATTAAAAAATAAGTAAAGGATTGAACAGACATTTCTCCACAGAAGACATACATGTGAACCACAAGCACGTTTTTAAAAAATCGACATCACTAATCATCAGGGAAATGCAAATCAAAACCACAATAAGAACCTCACATCTATTACGATGGCTATTATCAAAAAACAAAAGGTAAGTGTTGGCAAATATGTGGGGAAAAGAGAACACTTGTACACTGTTAATTTTTGGTGGGAATGTAAAATGGTGCAACCACTAGGGAAAACAATATGGAACTTCTTCAAAAAATTAATAATAGAACTACCATATGATCCAGCAATCCCACTTCTAAGTATACCATCAAAGGAAATAAAATCAGAATGTTGAAGAAATATCAGCACCCCCATGTTCATTGCAGCATTGTTCACAATAGCCAAGATAAGGAATCAACCTAAGTGTCCATCAACAGATCAACCAATAAAGAAAATGTAATAATGCATACAATAGAATATTATTCAGCCTTAAAAAGGCAGAAATCCTGGTCAGGCATGCAGGTTTATGTCTGTAATCCCACCACTTTGGGAGGCCAAGGCGGGTGGATTACTTGAGTCCAGGAGTTCGAGACCAGCCTGAGCAACATAGTGAGACCTTATCTCCACAAAAAAAAAAAAAAAAAAAAAAAAAAAATCAAAAAATTAGCCAGGTGTGGTGGTGCACCCGTTTAGTCTCAACTACTCAGGAGGCTGATGGGGGAGGATCACTTAAGCCTGGGAGGTCAACGCTGCAGCAAACTGTGATTATGCCACTGCACTCCAGCCCGGGTGACAGAGTGAAACTCTGTCTCCAGAAAAGAAAAGGAAAAAAGAAAAGAGAGGAGAGGAGAGGAGGGGAGGGGAGGGGAGGGGAGGGGAGGGGAGAGGAGGGGAGAGGAGGGGAGAGGAGGGGAGAGGAGGGGAGAGGAGGGGAGAGGAGGGGAGAGGAGAAGAGAAGAAAAGAAAGAGAGTAAGAAAGGAATCCTACCACGTGCCACAACATGGATGAGCCTGAAGGACATTATGTTAAGTGACATGTTAGTTGCAGAAGGACAAGCACTGCATGATTCCACTTATATAAAGTATCTAAAATGGTCAAACTCAGAAACAGAGAGTAGAATGGTGGCTTTTAGGGGCTGTGGGGGAGGGGGAAACGTGAAGTTGCTGTTGATTGGGTATAAAGTTAAACCAGATGAGTAAGTTTAGAGATCTGCTGTCCAACACTGCGCCTATAGTTAACATACTGTGTTATGCAATCACAAATTTGTTAAGAGAGTTTACCTCATGTCAAGTGTTCTTACCACAATAAAAATATAAATATGTAAGTAAAAGTAAAATGAAGAAAGATAAAACATTCTTGAGACCCATATTAATTAATTGAGATTAACTGAGAACAATACATAACTAAAAGAGTTTCAAGGTCAAAGGAAAAAGAAAAAAGAAAAAGGGAAGTGTGCTTAGCCTCTAAGTTTTAGAGTTTAACAAACACATTGATAATTTCTCCAATTACTTCTAGAATTGTTCTAATTATGAATATAGATTTAGAACAAAGAATGATCTAAAGTTGAGGAACTTTGGGATTAAGTGAAACCTGGATTTGATTATAGCTTTGCCACTTACTGGCTGTATAGCCTCAGGCAGGTCCCCTACATTCCCTGACTTTAGTTCTCTAATACATTTTCTCAAACTTGAAACATCTACTTACCTAGTCCTACCGTAGTCTGTTGTGAGCGTTAATGAGTTTATGTGGGGGGAAACATCTGTCATGATCCATACATTCATCGATGCCGAATTCAGTGGCAGCTACAATTAAGAAGGCATCCAACGTAGGAAGGAGGATATAAATTCTGGAGACACCGAGGAAGGCAAGTGCTCAATACATGTTTTCTTGGAAGGTTCTAGGTATGAATCTCTACTGAGGACTTTGTCTAGACCAGGATGAGAGGCAAAAGCAATGAACCCCAAACCCCACTCTGCCACCCACTCACAATGCAGGCTTGAAGCTAGTCTATTTTCCTAGGCAGAGACAATGTCTTAATCATCTTTTGAATCCTGATGACTATTAATTGGCAGTTTTAATAAATTATATCCATGTAGCAGCAGTAGTTAATAGGGGTAGTAGTAATGGTAGTCATAGTGACTCCGATTTGCTTTTCTAAGCAATATGCTGACTTGCCCTGGCAGCACCATCCAAAAACCACACCTGAGAAACAGTGCAATTTCCTGGCTTCTAAAAATTCTAAACACAATCTCTTTATCTACCTGTATTAATCTGTTTTCTGTTGCTTATAACACAATACCTGAAACTTGGTAATTTATAAGAAAGGGGATTTATTCTTTACAGTTATGGAGGCTGAGAAGTCCAAGGTCAAGAGCTGCATCCAGTGAGAGCCTCCTGGTTGGTGGGAAGTCTCTACAGAGTCCCGAGGCAGCGCAGGGCCTCACATGGTTGGGGGGGCTTAGCATGTCCCTCTGATCTCTCTTCCTCTTCTTATAAAGCCACCGGTCCTACTCCCATGACAACCCACTAATCCACAAATGGATTAATGCATTCAGGAGGGCAGAGCTCTCACGACCTAATCATCTCTCAAATGCACCACCTTTCCGTGCTACCACATTATGGATTAAATTTCAACGTGACTTTTGGAGGGGACAGATATTCAAAGCATAGCACTGTCCAATTGGAAAAGAATGTGAGAACACACACACTTCGCCTCTTTAAGTCTGACTTGTCAAAACCCTTACAGCCAGATGTTCAGGGCTACCTAAAATAGCTCCTGATGACGAGCCCAGCAGTGAAGCGGCTTTGGAAATTGTCAGGTTGCCCAGCAAAGAGATTCCTTCAGTCATGGCAAAAGCCCAGTGTTGTTCTCAACCCTTCATCTTGAAATGATTACCTTCCAAGACTCCTAAGTCATGCTAATGAGTTCTTTTTCTGAACGATCTCTATCCTTCAGATCACTGAGCTCTGAAGTCAGGCTCACCCTGAGAACTGTGGATCTTATCATGGTTTCAGTGGGGCTCAAAAAAAAAAAAATGGACCTGTAAAAGAGATAGCAAAAATGGCAAATGACACTATCAAAACTACTTTTCACATTTCAAAGGATGAAAAGCCAGGAGATTTTTCTCACCTCCACATCTCTGTAAAATCTTTGGTCATGTTAAGAGAAAAAAAAAGTAATAACTTTTTAAGGATATTTTTTCTCTGTGACAGCATCTACATAAAACATTAATAACAGCATCTACTTAAAACAAAGAGCAAAGACAGATCGATGTTTGGCTTTGTCTGTGAACATTTGTTAAAAAATGCGAGTAGATCAGCATTATGATAGCGAGGCAGGAAGGCAGGCACGGATTGGGAATTGGAGTTATCTAGTTCTTGACCCAGACAAACCTGAGACCCATTTTATCAAGTCAGTGAGGCAAAGTACTCCTCACTCAGGTGTGCTACCTTTGGTCAGAACCCCCCCACCATGAGAATGTCAGAACTGCAGAGTCCCCTGGCAGTATACTTTATTTTAAAAATTGATTCATTTCTGAAAGTGGAGCTCGACTGTCTCCTGACCTGCTGTCTGTCCTGGTCCTACTTACAGTGTGGTACTAGTTGTTTCTAAAATGCTCCCATTCTAGGGCAACAAAATGACTAGGTAGAGTGGCTCTACAGTAAGGCTCTCTGGCCCCTTAAGTCCAGCCTCCAACAGGCACAGCTGTTTCTTCAGATGTCTAATGCTGATGCCCCTAATGTGGCCTTGAGGATAGACCACAGCTCTTTTTGTATACACAGGGTCCACCCTGGTCCCTCTTGTAACAAGAATAAAACTCAAATACACCCACATGGAGGCTGCAGGACCCCACAGCTCCTGCCCCTGCTGTTGGCTGCTTGCTGCTCTTCCCAGTGAAAATCAAAGTAACTGGGGTGTTGTTGGCCCCATATCTGCCTCCATTTCTCAGGAGTGGCTCACCAACAAGAGCAGAACACTCCATGGCTCCTCTGTGTCCCTAAGTCCTACCCCTTGGTCTCGGCCAGGCCAAAGGCAAGTTTCCTGCCCTACAGCTAACACTCTCCCCTAGCAACACTCATTCCCTTCCATGAAAAACTCCATGCCCCCTCACACTAGGGGGCCTATTCCCTTCCATGGAAAATTCCATCTCTTCTCACACCAGGGTGTGCACTTGTCCTCAGGACCCCACACAACCATCACAGAATTAGCATCATTAGAATATATTGCCATGCATATACATGATCACGTTGTTACAAGACTTACCTGAAAGACCAAAATGTAAAACATAAAAGTACAGTTTCTTTGGAAGAAGAAAGAGGGGTGTCCTCCTCCCTGAGCCCTTTATCTCACAGCAGCACCTACATGGGCCATGACATGCTTCTTAAAAACCACTGATTTGAGCTCAAATTCTTCATTTTGCTGGTGGAGAAACTGAGACCCAGAGAGGAAAAGGACACCCCAAGAATGCACAGTGGGTTAGTGACAAAGCTGGTGTGGCAGATGGATAGCATTTTCCAAAGCCAGCCACTTCAATACAATCCCATCCCACACACCCTTCCTATAATGTGACATCAACACTCCTCCTCTGGAAGAAGGGCCTATGTTCCCAACCCAGGGAAACAAGAGACCTATGCTCGGTAAGACTAACGCTTGAAACCAGTGATTCTCAACAGGGAACAATGTTCCCTCTCCCTTAGGAGACTTTCAGGAATGTCCAGAGACATTTTGTCATCTACTGTCATTTAATGGGTAGAGGTCAGGGATACTATTATATGGCCTGCAGTGCCCAAGAAAGCCCCACCACAAAGGGGCCGGGCGCGGTGGCTCGCGCCTGTAATCCCAGCACTTTGGGAGGCCAAGGCGGGCAGATCACGAGGTCAGGAGTTGGAGACCAGCCCGGCCAATACGGTGAAACTCCGTCTCTACTAAAACTTCAAAAACTAGCCGGGCGTGGCAGAGGGCACCTATAGTCCCAGCTACTCGGGGGACTGAGGCAGAAGAATCGCTTGAACTCGGGAGGCGGAGGTTGCAGTGAGCTGAGATCGTGCCACTGCACTCCAGCCTGGGTGATAGAGCAAGACTCCATCTCCAAAAAAAAAAAAAAAAAGGGAATTGCCCAGCTCCAGTATTAATCGTGCCGAGGCTGAGAAGCCCTGCTTTATATGGTAGCAAAGGATGGGAGAAAACCTCAAGCAGAAGCACGAGGATTCAGGAAGAACATGGATTTCTCCCGGGTGGTTAAGGGACTCATGTTTTTTTCCCAAGCAACAAATGAGCATGTCTCATCCTCCTGCTTCTGAAGGTGAGAACAATGTATCTACACAGCGGCTTTTCCACTAGAAGTGGGGATTTAGAGCAACAAAGATGTCATGAAAACATAATCAAGAAAAAAGTCAAGTGTATTGATTACATCTTTGTCCCTGAAGACTTCGTGGAGTAAATAAACAGGCAAACTTGGATGAATATTCACACAAATTAATATTTGACTGAATTTTTCTGTCTACTTGCTCAGGATGGCTCTCTAAAATGAATTTCCACTTTGAAGAATTATCTATTTTAAGGCTCTGGAGATATTTTCTCATTACTTTCCAAAACTTTTAGCAGATGAAACCCCCTCTAGCAGTCTGTGAGAGTACCAGCCTCATGGCTTTTGCCAGTATTTTTATATTATCTTTAATCTTTGCTTATTTACCAAGAAAAATACTCGCCTTGCTGTTTTAATTGACTTTAATAAGATTAAGCTTGCTTTATTTATTGGCCATTTGTATTTATTCTTCAGTGAAGTTCCTGTTCAGGTCTTTTGCTCATTACTTATTGGAGTTTTAATGTTTTCTTATTGATTGGTGTGAACATTTTGACATATTAAGTACATGACTCCTTTACCATATCACTATAAATATTTTCTAATTTCGCATTTCTTTTGAATTTTTTATGATGTTTCTGTAGTATTGAAGATTTTTAAAAAAATTTTATCTAGTCAAATCCATTTAATTCTTTGAAATTTCTCCAATAGAGAGGGAGCTGCTCCTTAAATCATCAGGCATTTTCCTATTTTAACCTCGGTTTTGTGTTTATAGTTTTATAAAAATATAATCACAGAAATATTTAAACAGTCTCAATACAACGTGTTAAGGGAAATAATAAATATACTGGGAGTCATGGAGAATTGAAAATATTATGATAGTGACATTCCTCATCTGCGAATAAGTATATTTTCCCATTTTATGTTTATCTTATGTACTCAGTAGAACTTTTAAATTAAAAACAATTATCAACATCAAAGGCATACAAAAGAGCTTAAAGAATAACACAGGCCAGGCGCAGAGGCTCATGCCTGTAACCCCAACACTTTGAGAGGCTGAGGCAAGTGGATCACTTCGAGCTCAGGAGTTCGAGACCAGCCTGGGAACATGCAGAAACCCTGTCTCTACAAAAATACAAAAATCAGCCAGGCATTGGTGGCTCGCACCTGTAGTTCAAGCTACTTGGGAGGCTGGAGAACTGCTTAAGCCTGGGAAAATGGAGGCCACAGTGAGCTGAGATCGCACTGCTGCACTCCAGCCTGGGCAACAGCTGGAAACCCTGACTCAAAACAAACAACAACAACAAAAAAGAATAACACAGAAAATTCTTCTGTATCTTAGCTTTAAGAAGTAAAATAAGGATGGGCGTGGTGGCTCACACCTGTAATCCCAACACTTTGGGAAGCCAAGGTGAGCAGATCACCTGAGATCAGGAGTTTGAGACCAGCCTGGCCAACATGGTGAAACACTGTCTCTACTAAAAATACAAAAATTAGCTGGGCGTGGTGGCAGGTGCCTGTAATCCCAGCTACTGGGGAAGCTGAGGCAGAATCACTTGAACCTGGGAGGCAGAGGTTGCAGTGAGCCAAGACAACACTATTGCACTCCAGCCTGGGCAACAAGAGTGAAACTCCTTCTCAAAAAAAAAAAAAAATAAAAAATAAAACAATACCAGTACAGGGGAAGGCATCTGTTTCTATTTTTTGGCTGTATCCCCCGCATCCTATCATGAGTAACCACAATCTTGAATTTGTGCTTATCACTTCCATGCATTTTTTTTCTTTTACTACTTAAATATATATTACTAAGCAAAATGTACTTTCTCATGTTATACACAGAAATATACATACACGTGCACATATATAGACACATACATATAACATTGTCTTCCTTTGTGACTTACTCTTTTTTACCTAATATTAAGTTTGTGAGAGTCATCCATTTGATGCAGATAACACCAATACATTCTTTCTCACTGACTCATTTTATGTGTTTTGATATATCATCGTGTTAATCGGCATTCAGGCTTTGCACACAATGCTGCTGTTAATATTCTTGGACCTATCTCTCTAAAATATTTTGCAAGCATTAGTCAAAATGTCAAGAAGTTATGTTTAGAACCAGACCTCAATGATTTTATAGTTCATTGTGGATAAAACACTAGGAAAATTGGAAAAAATCTTATGAATAATGAGGAAGACTAACACCAGATATGAAAATATGTTATAAAGTTACAATGATCAGAACAACTTGATGTTGGTTCAGGAATAGACAGAGCAACAGAATAGCTCCAAAAACTCAAACATACATTCAAGTCCATATGAAAATTTAAGCAATGTTAAAGGAAATGTTTTAAACCAATACAAAAAAGATAATGTAATCAACAGTGTTGTGACAATAGGCCAGACATTTGATAAAACTAAACTGGATTACTACCTTATTCCTGTATAAAAATTAATTAAAACTAGATTGAAGATAAAAACACATGGAAAGAAGAAGGGAGGGAGGGAAGGAAGGAAGGATGGAAGGAAGGATGGAAAGAAGGAAGGATGGAAGGAGGGGGGGAGGGAAGGAAAGAAGGAGGGAAGGAAGGAAGGAAGGATGGGAGGGAGGAAATATCAAGGAAAAAATAATGTATTTATAATCACACAATGAGGAAAAAATTTTAAGCAACTTATATAGACAAGAAGTCACAAAGAAATACAGCAACAAATTACATTTGATAAAAATGAATAACTATAATATAGGGGAACTATAACATGTTATATATTATATAATAGGAGAAAAATAAATATAGTTCTATATAATATAACTATAATAGGGGAAAAACATAAACAAAACCAAAAGACAAATAAAGATCTGTGTGGGAAAAGATTTACAAGTCATATCACAGACACAAGGATAATTTCCTTAATAGACAAATAGCTCTTACAAATATGGAAAACCTTATATCCACATGAGAAAGCCAAGTAATAGATCTCAAGCACCACATATGGATAGAATTAAATGTTCAATAACCATGTAAAGATGCTCAACTGAACTCAGAGTGAAAAAATCCCAATAAATCCTTTCTCACTTGTCAGAATGGCAAGGATTTCATGATGAACAATACCCAGTGTTGGTTGAGGGGATATCAGAAAGCTACTGGTAGAATGTAATTTGACAGAAACTATCTACATTAAAATGCACACACTCTTCAAATCGGCAATTCTACTTTAAGCAATTTATTGTATTGGTGAACTGGACAACCACACAAAATTATTTCTACAAAAATGTTCATAGTGCCTTTTTGGTAATAGCAAAAACCCTGAAATAACCTAAATTATTTTTGGTAAGTGATGAGATGAACAGTACAACTGAATACTATGGAGTATTCTTTTAAATGACAATACAACAATGATCTATTGTTAAATGTAAAAAGCAAGCTGAGATCAACACATGTGCTGCAGATCCATTCTCCACTCTGGTACCCTGCCCCCTGCCCTGCATCTTAGAGACAGGTCTGTGTCAACCTGCCCTCTGGCCTCCTGTTGGAATCAGCCGCTTGGATGCCCCAGAAGCACATCAGAGAAAGTGAAGGAAAGAGATCCAAGTGTTTATTTCACTGGCTCCCTCACTGCAAGGCTGTCTCATGCTGGCTGTGTGCCCCCAACCAAAAAGCAACATTCATCTCTGCAGAACATTCTCCTTATCATTCCAGTAACTATTCCTTCCTCTCATTCCTTCAGACTTAGGGCTACACACAGCTCTGCTGCCACAAGCCCCAATTTCCTACTCAATCTTTTGTGAGTCCCCAAAATCCCTTGTAACCAACTAAACTGCCTTTAAATTATCCTAATTCCAACATGCCATTTGTTTCCTATTGGGATCCTGATATATTATGTGTAGTATGATGCCATTTATGTGATCCCCCCAAAATTTATACACACACACACACACACACACATATACACACAGAAAAAGCCCAGAAGGATACACAGAAAACGGTATCCTTACATAGTCCTTGCCTCTAGGAATGAAGTTGGTTGGTAAAAATTGGAAACAATGAATGTTTTACATTTTACTTTGTATGAATTTGTGCTAATTGAAGTTTTTCAAACAAAATGAACACGTTTTTACTTTTAAAATACAGAGAGATATTTAAAGATAGAGAATTACAAATCTGCCCCTCCACCTTTAGTCTCCAAACAATTATTTGAGGCAGAGTGACTTTGAAGAGCCATACCTTTTCAAAATAAGCACCTCTATTTGAACAACTCCTGCTCTAATAACTACCTCTATTAGGCACACGAGCCCTTGAGCCTTGTAGCCTGTTCCAGCTGCTCTCCTCCACTCCACACAGACAGTAGAAGTTGAAAAGATAGGAGTGTTTGCTTTGTCTTATCTGATACAAAAGTTTTGAAGTTTGGCATTGAAAACCCAGAAGTCTGATCATGGAATATCTAACATATCCACAACAACAAAAAAGTCCGTTGAGCAGAATAGGACCTAGTGTTTCTCAGAATCAATGGCAAACCATGCAAACCAGTGTGCCCTTTCTGCTGATAACGTGCCGTTTTAGTCATGCTAATTTGAAGGAGGCTGAAATCTAAAGGATATAAGGGAAATCCGCCTATATAAAATTTTTGTGAAGGTGTCTCTCCCAGGGTTTGACTTGGACTGGGACTTGGCGACAGAAATACAAGTTGTGTTCCAATAACATCAGAGGCTGATTCTTGGCTGTCTAGTAAGCCCAAGTCCCATCTGAAGTCTGAGGTGATTTCCATGTCACTGCGGCATTGAGCTATCAGCTACCTTCATCATTGCTGACTGAGCCCATAGTCGAGTGCCTGGAGACCTTCCTTCAAAATGCCCCTCACCATAAAGTGGGCTGGCAGAATATCTCTGGCTGCCAGTACAATACTGATGTTCAAGGCCAACAGCTGTGCAGGCACTGTCTGTCTGAATGCCTCTCTTGCAACTTCATTTCTTCTCAGTCTGTTTCATGGAGGAATGGAGCAATATTTCACAACAGCTCAGAGTTTTCAACTGGAGCAGCTAGGATTGTTGCATCATAATTCAAACAAGCAAGAATGACACTAAACAATCATATTTATGGTATATGACCAAATTATACAGACACACTTCTATGTTTGTCCATCAAGATGTTTCTCTCTTCTATATGTTGTTTCAAGGCTTACACCACTGGGATCCTGTATTAGTCCATTTTCACACTGCTATAAAGAACTACCTGAGACTGGGTCATTTTTAAAGAAAAGAGGTTAAATTGACTCACAGTTCCATATGGCTGGGGAGGCCTCAGGAAACTTACAATCATGGCGGAAGGTGAAGAGGAAGCAAGGCACGTCTTACATGGCAGCAGGAAAGAGTGGGGAACTGCTACATACTTTTAAACCATCAGATCTTGTGAGAACTCACTCACTATCACAAGAACAGCATGGGGGAAACTGCCCCCATAATCCAATCACCTCCCACCAGGTCCCTCCCTCAACTCGTGGGGATTATAATTCAAGATGAGATGGGGGCACAGAGACAAACTATATCAGATCCTGATATTCCACTCATATACAGTTCAACAGTTCAGTTCAACAAATTTCCTTGGAATGAATCCTCTGTGTCAGTCATTTGCTGGGCACTGAGAATAGAGTGACAAATGAGACACCATGCTTTCCATCGAAGAGATTATTGTTCAGTTGGGAACACAGAAAAGCAAGCAAGTAAATGCAGCCTATTGTGTTTCATGTAATATAGGGAGATGTGAACTACTGATGTAATAATGAAGCATGGGATTCATTTAGGATGGGAAGGGAAACCCAAGAAGGCTTCTTTCTTTTCTTTCTTTCTTTTTTTTTCTTTTTTTTTTTGAGATGGGGTCTCGCTCTGTTGCCTAGGCTAGAGTGCAGTGGCACAATCTCAGCTCACTGCAACCTCCACCTCAAGGGTTCAAGTGATTCTCCTGCCTCAGCCTCCTGAGTAGCTGGGGTTATAGGCACGCACCACCACACCTGGCTAATTTTTGTATTTTTAGTAGAGACGGGGTTTCACCATATTGGTCAGGCTGGTCTCGAACTCCTGACCTTGTGATCTGCCCGCCTCAGCCTCCCAAAATGCTGGGATTACAGGCATGAGCCACCACGCCTGGCCCAAGAAGGCTTCTTCTAAGAAGGAGGTCTCTGAATCATGATTTTGAAGGTTACACAGGCGTTTTCAAAGTATACTAGAGGAGAAAAGGCATTTTGGATGTAGGGCCAAGCATATGCAAAGCCCCAAGGTGTGGTAGGACTTGCTGAGGTTTAATGCTCAGAGCACAGGGTGTCAGTAGATAATTTGTGTTCCATAACACAGAGTTGAATTTTATCCTGCAGGCAATGGGAAGTCCTAGAAAGGTTTCAAGCAAGGAAGTAACAAGGTCAAATGTCAGTTTCCCTATGGTGGCTGGTATGGGAATTGACTTAATGGGGGTATCAGTATTACTATTATAAACATAATGGGCATATCAATAAAGCTAGCACAACAGAGGTCTCCCTAGTAGCTCCTTCTTTTACTGCTAGAAATAAATAACATTTTGTCCTGCATCCATCCTTTCTTCGAGAAAGTTCAAAGAAACTTGTTGACTTTGTCACTTTAATCTTTTTCAACATCTCTGAGAGAGAAGGTGAGAAAGGAAGCGCTTCCATTTGGCACTCGCAAAGACTTTTCAGCCTGGTGTGCATGGATTAAGCACAAAGACGACTTTGATCTCCGTCAGTTTCACCCACTGTCTTCTGGGGAAAAGGACCCTATCTCTGAACCTCCTGGATTGAGATAGAATTTGAAGATCTAGATCTGAGATGCAGACTGCCAGTCTGTAGTGAAACACTTCCACATAATGTGCTTGGCACTGTAAAAAAATTTCGACTGTACAGAAGAAAATATAAAAACAGACATAAAAATCAGTAGTTGGTCCATAACACAGATGACGACTTTTATCATTTGGATGTATTTCTTTCTGGTCTTCTTGATCACATAACAAAATCGGGATCAAAGACAATATACAATTTTATATACCAGTAAATTTCAATCCTCCTGGAGGTGAAGTGAGACATGAGAAAATGTGCATCACGTAAGGGGTAAAAAAAGCAGAATGAACTGCAATTTGATATGATGATCAAGCTCTGCAAAATAGAAAACTGAGTGAAGGTCATCTCCACCATCACTTTTCTAATCTCCCCTCAAGTAGGAAAAGTGCAATGCAGTTTTAAGTTGCTGGACTGACTAGGTGACCTCAGAATCCTCTCCAAATCCTGGAAAATCTGACTATAAAACTCTGTAAAATGATAAAGTACCAGATTAATCTCAAAGGCTTTAACTCTGACCAAGCTTGGTTCTTCTGAAAAGTAGGAGTATGAAATTTCATCCCAGACTGGGATGAAATAAGAAACCTATCTGAGCCACTAACTAGTCGTGTGGGCTTCATCCAAACAATTAACTATTCTCAGCCTCAGTTTCACCACCTACAAAGCAGGATATGATATTTCCTTTCTCATAAATATTGGGGAATTTAAAAGAGATCATAAGTAAGAATGTCACCATCATCACTATCACTTTCAGGTCCCTAAGAGCCAAGCAGAAGCCACCACTCCTTTCTGAGGTCTCAGCTGGGATCTGCCAGGGCCACCTTTCCTCCTCCTTTCCAAGGACACAGGACCTCATGGTGCTCACTGCTAACCCAAACCTCTTGCCATCACCCCTGCTGTTACTTCTGAAGTAGCAGAGCCTGAGTTATGACACACTCAATTCCTGAAGCTCTTCTCTTTATGAAAGAGCTCTAGGTTCCATTTTATCTGATCTGTCCAACCCATTCCCACGATGTTCTTGGAAGATGTCCCCTTTCCTCCCCTGGGTTTCTGCAGCCCGTGGATTGGTCCTCCTTGTGCCACTCACCATCCTGTGTTGCAACCTTCTAGCAGGCGGTTAGCACTTTAAGGGCAGGACTGTGTCTTCGTTGTCTCCGTGGAGCTAGTTTCTAGCTCCAAAGGCCAGGCACAGAGTACATAACTAATAAGTACTTACAAATAAAATGATGTTTACAGTAATTCAAACTTATTTGGCATGATTTTTTACAACCATTATATTGACAAATAAGCCGTGCTTTTCTTACTATTGTTTGACTTTGATATAGAATAAAGAATAGCAGCCTACAATCTGACCTTATAGGTTCAAAAATATGAGAAGGCAAAGGAGAACAAGCCCCACCCTCATCCCATGAGCCAGACCACCTTCCCCAGAAGCAAGTCCCATCATACCATGAACACCACAGCCATGTTCCATCCAAGAAAGAGAACAGGGATTCCTCCTTCAACATTAGTAGAAGACTCATGGCTGAAAGAAGACAGTCCTTTCTCCTCCAGAACTCCAGAATCATGATGGTCAATTGTGCCCCTTTAAGCCCAAGAGTTCACATGCACCTAGAGATAAGGTATTAAATCTGAACTGAAGAAGACAAGGTCTCAGTCCTAGAGATTCAACTTCAGAGCCACAGCCATCCCTAAATACTTTCACGTGCCAGTTATACTCCTGTATCTCTCCAGAAACATTGTCCTTGTTTGACCAACACTTGAAGCTCTCCCCAGTCTGGGCAAGAAAGAGGGCTGAAAGATGATTATTCTGGTTATCTATTACTGAATAACAAATCACTCCAAAACTCAGTGACTTTTTAAAAAACAACCATTTGACTATATCTCACAATTTATGGATCAAGAACTTGAGCAAGGCTCAGCTGGGTAAGTTTTCTGCTTCATAAGCCATCAACTGAAATCACTCAGGGAAATTCAGCTGGTGGATGGGTTAGTTCAGAAGACCCGACAGCTTCACTCCCATGTCTGGCACCCTGGTGGGGGTGGCTGGAAGCTTGGGCTCAGCTGAACTGTTGGACTGAGGAGTCCACCTGTGACCTTTCAGCATGACAGTTTCAGGATAGTCACACTTCCACCTGGGGGGATGGAGCTCTCAGAAAGAAAATTCAAATATCCGGGAAGTACAAGCTTTCAATTTCTTAGGAGCCATAACAGCATCCCTTCCAAACATTCTTCTGTTGGTCACAAAGCCCACCCTTATCCAAATGGTTGAGAAACAAACCCAGCCCTTGATGGACAGCTGCCAAGGAATTTACAGCCGCTTTTCAACCTCTAGATAAAAACGGGCCACCATGCAGAGGCAGCTGACTCTTTTTCCTGAATTATTTCTGTCTCTTGGTGGTCTTCTCACACATATGCCCAAGATCCCTCAATCAACCAGTTACCTCTGGCTCAAGCAAAGCAAAAACCTTTTTCCTTGTGACCCAAACAATCCCTGGTCTCACCAGACTGAAGGTTGCAATGGGGTCCTATTAACTTTAATTTAGGATTTTGACTTGGTGCTATCCCTACCCATATCATTGTTAACTCCTCACTCTTCACTATAAGTCTCCCTAAGCTACTTCTGGGGGTTTCAGGAGGCAACTCCAAGGAGGTATGCCCAAGACGGTGTGCTCAGGAGAAACTAAACTCAGGTCGTTTATGGATCTCCTCACTCTTCATGAGATCCTCCACCTAGATATAAATATAGAGATGTCTCATATACCATACTTATACATTTACTTACTATGATTTTATAAGAACAGTCCAGTGTATCCAGCCAGAGCCTCCAACTCAACAGTCAACAGTCCACTGGCTATCCCAATGCCCACGACCTCTTCATCCAAAGGCATTGCGCAAGAATACCATTCTGGAAAGAGCTGCTCACAAGGCAGCCACATCCTTCTCCAGACTTTTTTCACTAGAAAGAGATGCCCCAGCGTCCCAGGAACCTCTCCCTCTTCCCTATCGTGTGTAATTATGGTCAGGGGTCTCTCCCTCTTAAACCCAGAGCCTGTAAGATGACTGCCCTTAGTTCGCTGGTCAACCCAGGTGTGACTCAGATTAGATGGATCACACAGCCCCAGTTGTTTGACACTTTGGCTGCTGCCTGGAAGGATGGCCTTTTGGTCCACAAAGAGAGGGTGCATATTTGGCAGACATTATAACATTGGCTGGAGTCAGGCACATGTGGGTTAGAATCACAACTTTTCCACTCACTGACTATGTCACCCTCAGAAAGGTGTTTAATCTTTTGGCCTCAGTTTCCACATCTGTGAAATGAGAATAATGATATCTATCTACCAGGGAAATTGTAATAATTAAATAAAGCAAGACAACTTAAAACAGACTCTGCTCCCCAACAAAAATGTGTGTAAAAATGGTAGCTATTAATAAGATAAGGATGGTGGTATTGGTGGTGGTGGTATTATTGGACCAATTTACCTGGTTTTGTGCATGAGTACCCTGTCATGCCCAGGACCTTGTAACACCCATGACTCCACGTTACACAGCTCCTTACTTATGCCCCAGTTAGTTTACTCTCACAATGCCCATGTCATTCATCCATGAATTCATGTATTCAACAGGTGTTTATGGAGTCACTATAATGAGCTGAGCATTGTGCCAGGAGCCAGGGATGCAGCAGTGAAGAGGAAAGATGTGGTCTCTACCCTAACGACTCCTCTAACATCACTTGCTCATTTCATGTTCTGAGTCACGTGACAGCAGACCATCTAGACTCACAAATATCAGAGCTGGAAGGTCACTTTCACTCTCTCTGGGCCTTTAATTCGGCTCCATGCTGCACCCCAGCTCCTGACCCAGTTTGGCTCCCAGCACTCCTACTTGGTTATGCTCTTACATTCTCTCTCTTGCTCCCTCCTTTACCAGATTCCCTGAGCAAACAGCCCTACAGAATCATTCCCAGAGCCCCCAAGGAGGCAGGGTTTGCATCAGCCTGCCCAGCCAGCACCCTGGACCCAACAGCTCACTTCCCCAAACTTAGAGAGCTACAAAGATCATAAGAACTATCTTTTCCTAGGTACTGCCAAAGCACATGGCATGCATTCTCCCATTTACTCCTCCTGGTATCTGTGTTGGGAGCCATGGTCTCCAGTTTACCGAAGAGGGAACTGAGACTTTGAGGAGTCACAAGACATGCCCACAGTCAGCTGACATGTAGTAGAGCCAGGGCTCAAACCCAGCTTTGTGTAAAAGTTGAAGATGGGACACTGGATATAACTGAAGCTACACAGAAAGTTAATGGGCAATTCCCCCCCACCATGTTTTGGGGGGTTATTCATCCTTTGGAATATTTCCATTTGCATGAGTCTCCCTGTAGTGGGCCTGGCAGTTAATTAGGAGGAAAGCAGCTATGTGCAGGATGGAGCAAAAGTGTGGGACACCATGGAGCTCATCTTAAGTGGAGGGACAGCAACTTGCCCAGTACCCCTCTCCCACCCCTGGGTACCTGGCTGGACTGTGCTTTCCTTCAATACCCCATTATCCTGGAGCTGAGCTGAGTGGGTTTCCACTTTCGCAACAGTGCTCCTGAACTAAATCATCTGCCCACCAGGCAAAGCCTGCCTTCTTCCCTCTCCATCTCCACAGTGTGTAGCCATGTGGGTGCCCAAAGCTGTGACTGAGTACACAGCAGCAGCCTTTTAATGCTTTTAAAATAAAACTTGGATTTTCTTTCTTTTTCTCCCCAGGTTTGTTCAGAAGGAACAAAATGTCCTAGTCTATTCCACATGGAATAGGTACCTCCTTCAGCACCATTTGCAAAACCATTCTAAAACTGAAAATTGTTGTGGGATGAAATTATCTGCCCTCTTCTGCATTTTTATTCCATCTCAGAATAATGTTGTCATCCAGAAAGAACAGATGTTTCTTACAGGTAAAGCCTGCTTGTACCAACATAATATACAGAATCATCAAATCCTTTTCAATTATCACAACAAAATCACAGTTGTTCCAAATTGGTATGGATACATCCAGAGGAGGAGAGGGATTCCACTAAAAGGTCTTTGGGAATGACTGACCAGCCTGTGTAACAAGAGGCTTGTTCTTGCAGTGTAGACAATTGTGGAGGTAGCAGACCATGAGCTTTGGGGTGAGAAGACCAGCATGTCATTCTCAGCTCTTCACTTACCCGATCTGCAACCTGGAACAAGTAGCTTAATGTCTCTGAGTTTCTGTTTTGACATCTGTGAAATGGAAACAAAAATGCAGACTAGGTTTGTTTGCTGGTTAGATCGAATAAAAAAAACTATAGAAAACATTTAGCATCGTAAATAGTACTGTACTTGGGAAGCACTGAACAATTGCTTTTTTTTTTTCAATTTATTTTATTTTTTGAGACAGGGTCTCACTCTGTTGCCCAGGCTGCAGTGTAGTGGCATGATCAAGGTTAACTGCAGCCTTGACCTGGGCTCAAGTAATCCTCCCGCCTCAGCCTCCAGAGTAGCTGGAACTACAGGTGTCCACCACCACCTATAGTGTATGCCTGCCTAATTTTTTGCATTTTTTTCTAGAGACAGGGTTTTTGCCATGTTGCCCAGGCTGGTCTCGAACTCCTGGACCCAAGTGATCAACCTGACTCAGCCTCCCAAAGTGCTGGTATTACAGGCGTAAGCCACAGCACCTGGCCCAGTTGCTTTTATTTATATGATCACAGAAGTAATGTAAAAACAAAAACAAAACAAAAACTATAGCTATCATTTGTTAATTAATCTGTCATTCAAGTGGTTTATTCCCAGAAAAATCAGTGTTAGAAATACCTCAGAGTGCCTGGGATGGACTCTATTTTCCTGCCTCTGAATTATCCACTGGGAGTCCCACTGTACTTCAACTGTGGCTCCATAAGGTGAAACACTGATTCCAGAAGCTCTGCTTAAACCAGTGAGCCTTCCATCTTCCACTTCTGGAGGCAGGAAAAGCTGTGCTCACACTCTCACACACCATATCGGCGGGGCGGGGGGGGTTCCTTATGGAGGAATTCACGCTTGCCACTCCTCCTCATCTCTCTTCCCTCCCCCTTTTCAAAGGTCTGAGAAGTTGGTTCACTCAGGGTGTAGACCAAACTGCAGAACATTTAGGCAACGTGAAGCAAAACAAATTATCCTCGAAGACTCTAACCACTTGAAAGGTATTCATTATGTTAAAATCTCTTGTTTTGGTTACCGTGATAGTTAATTTTACATGTCAACTTGATGAGGTCAAGGTAATGGCAGTAGCGGGCCATCTGGAGTGGCCGCTGTCATCATGCTGGCCGCTGCAGGGAGCATGCAGGGAGGAGGCGGACAGCGCCCCACCTCCTCTCCGCAGCTTTCCGCCCTGGGGGCTGCTGTGACGGGCCGGGCCAAGTAGCCCGTCGGTGAGGAAGCAATACAGCGGAGGAGCAACGCAGTTGGGCAGAGGGACCCGAGGCAGAGCTGGGCCCGGGGTGGTGCCACACTTGCACACGGAGTGCGGGGGCCGGTTCCGGACACAGAGATGGGGCTGCACTTTGGAGGCCCGGGGTGCAAGTGAGAGCGGCACCCACTTCAGGGACCCGACCAGTGGTGCAGCCACTGGGCCCACCCCACCAAGGGTGCCGTGTTCCTGCGCCTCAGGAGGAGGCTCTGCACAGGGCCACCTGGGGCTGCGTCTCGGGGTCTGCCCTGCGTGGAAGTGACCGCCGAGCCTGACACTCCCTACAGTCAGGCCTGGGGCCCGATCCCCTCAGCCCAGGGCCACCTCTCAGTGCTGGGGCAATGTGGGGAGCTCATGGCGGTATCACCCCTGCCCCAGATGCAGGCCCAGGCCCAGCAAGGACCTGGAGCCCCTGCTCCAGGCTGTGAGGGGGCATGGCCATGGCTGCATGCTCCACAGAGCCAGTGGGAACTGGGAGCAGGCAGCAGCCCTGCCCTCCTGAGCACAGCTGCAGCCACCCAAGTCAGGATAATGGATCCGGGCCTCTGTGTGCTCTTGGGGGCCTACGAAGGCCCCCCATGCTCTTGTATGCTCAGAAGTGCCTGCTCCCACTACCTGGCTTCTCCCCACTGTGGGCACCAGCTCCGATCTCAGAGAAACGTGGAGCAGGGGTGCACACGCTGGGGGCAGTGCTGACATGCCAGCCCCCTGCCACCTCAGGCCCTGGACTTTGGGTGCCCAGAAGTGTGGGGGAGGGTGAGGGGGTAATCTGAGGAGGTGCTTCGGGCAGGTCAGTGATGGCCTGCAGGCGCCCATGGCATGAGCATCCTGGGCACCAGGGATGGAGGCAGGAGGCAGATGGCTCCTGGAGGGAAGGGGTGGGGTCCCCAGTGAGGCCCCACCTTCAGGCTAGGTAGGGCCTGAAACCTGGGGGACAGGTTTCCAGTCCCACAGACCAGAGTGGGGACTTGTGTTGCCTTTTCTGGGCCCCTGCATGGCTGCCCATGGACCAATCCCCATGCACTTCCTCCCCTCCAAGACTCATAAAAGCCCCAGGCTGAGCTAGAGCAGGGCAGACATCAGGAAGACCAGTTGCAGAGAGGAGCAACCTATCCCAGGGTCTCCCCTCTGAGAGGAGCTTCCCACTCCAGGGTCTCCTCTCTGCTAGAAGCTGAACACTCGGGATACCCTGGCTGTGGGAAGGAGCTACCCCCTATTGGTCCCCTCTATCACTCAATAAAGCTCCTTTTCCTCTTGCTTATCCTCCACTTGTCTGCATACCTCATTCTTCCTGGTCGCAGGACAAGAACTCAGGACCCACCAAACGGTGAGGCTAAAAGAGCTATAACACAAACAGGGCTGAGACATGCCCCTTGCTTGCCATATTGCAGACAGAGAGAAGAGCTGTGGCCCCTTGGGGAGCCCAGACCTGTGAGCTTCCCAAGTTAGGGATGTCACTCCTTCCTTAGGGCCCTGAGGTTTCCTGGCATCTCCAAGCTTCCGGTGCCACCACATTCCCCAGTGCCAGCTGAGGAAGCTGCTTGCAGTGCTCCTGGTCCAGCTGTAATCTCACAGAGAGCTGGCGCCCATGCTGGCACCTGCAGCTGCCCACCCTACTGCAACAGCTGCACAGAGGTTTCCAGCCAGAAAAGTGACACCCCAAAGATCCTGTAACAAAGGAGTGCCTAGATATTTGGTCAAATATTATTCTGGATGTTTCTATGAGAGTGTTTTGAGATGAGATTAACATAAATCAGTAGACAGGGTAAAGTAAATTGCCCTTCCTAATGTGGGTGGGCCTTATCCAATCAGTTGGAGACCTGAACAGAACAAAAGGCTGATACTCCCCAACACGCACACACACACCACACCCCTGGAGAAGACAGAATTCTTCCTGCCTGACAGCCTTCAAACTGGAACATCATTTTTTTCCCCTGATTTCAGACTTGAACTGAAACACCAATTCTTCCCGGTCTCAAGCCTGCCAGCCTTTGGACTAGAACCACACCATCAGCTCTCCTAGGTCTCACCCTGCAGATCTTGGGACTAGCCAGCCTCCATATCATGTGGGCCAATTCCTTAAATCTTTTTATACAAACACACACACACACACACACACACACACACACACCCCATATTGGTTCTGTTTCTCTGAAGAATTCTAATACAGTTATTATATGTTGTTCTCATCCATTTATTAAAATAGGTACCTGAGTAACTTCTGGGCAGTATCAGTCACATAGTAAGAAGTAGTTAGAGAAGACAAACTGTGGGTTCCTTGAGCATGATGTCTATGGTCAGGCTTTCTCCTTCCTTGGTCTGTCCTTCATCCCTAACTGGTCAGACTAATGACATTTGGCTGCAGTATCACAGATAAGGAAGATAAAGTGGCCAGCCTAGCCCTTTTCTCCAGGGCAGAGGAAGAAAAATAGTAAATGTTCTCAGAGAACTCGTCAGCTGGTCAACCTCTGAAGCACCAAGAAAAGACAACCTTGAAAATGAGATCCTTTTTAGCCTGGGAAGGACACTGGCCAGGCCTGAGTGCCTGTGTGCACCAATGGCAAGATACAGGAAATGTCAGCCGGTGAGAAATTGATGAAAGCAAGGAGAGAAGCTGTGCCATTTGAGAGGCGGTGTACCATTCACATGGATAACATTTGTTCCTTTTAGCTTTTCCTTCATTGACTCACTCAGTCATTTGTTCACTTAACAAATATTTACTCAGCCTTTACTGTGTCTAAATTCCCTGTGGCAGGAACTCAAAGCACAAACTCTGGGGTGAAGTAGGTTGCATTACGGTTGCAGAGACAAAACACGCGGAGAGTGAAAATCGTTAAGAACAGGCAGCATGGGCCAGAACAATGAGTGAGCCAGTGCAAGAGAATTGAGAAGAGACGGGAATGTGCTCAGAGGAGATACCCGTAGGGTGAGCTGCACCACATAAATGGGGCCCTGGAGGTACTCCTGGATTTGTAGAGAAGGAGAGGCTGGGTGGGCAGGTCGAGCAGGAATAAGGGATGCTTGTTTGGGGAGGACATGAGCAGAGGGTCATGGTTTCTCTCACTGGTGAAGAGCAAAAGGTAGTCATGCTGGTTGTTTGGAGCCAAAAGAGAAAGAATCTATGAAGGAATTTGAACTCCATACAAGACTTTACAAGGACAGAGCATTCTCAGAGTATGTCATAGGAGCTGTGTTTTAGAAAAATCAATCTGACAAGAGACAATTTTTAATCTAATTTTTATATTTTTCTGCTCTTCTTTTCAAATTATTTCTTTCTGTTTCTCTGCAAAGGCTCAGATGTTGAACATGAATGACCCTTGAAAGTGGAGAAAAAGGAGACAAATGGCACTTATTTCCTCTTCTGTGATAGAGTCTTAAGTATATTTTCTCTCTTTCCCACTAGATATAAAGTTTCTCAGGGCCAGAGAGCATGGCTTATTGATTCACTCCTGCTGGGTCTGTATACTGTCCTCAACACACTGCAAGTGGTTTGCAGGAAGGGGACCCAGCGATTTCCTCTGTAGGCTTTCCCTCGGTGCTTCCTAGAGGACCATCAGATGAACCTTAGGAGCATAGGATGTTAGAGCTTGAAGAAATTTCTTTCATTCTCACAGAGGTGGAAAGTGATAAGGGACATGAGCAGGACCATGCAGTAAAACCAAGATAGATCCAAGGCAAGAATCTAGAGCGGCCAGCTCCTGGCCCAGTGTTCTTCTCATGCCCAGAAACCGATTTGGATGGGAGAGAAGATGTGAGGATTCAGGCCAATAGACGGGCCTGTAATTCAGACAGGGCTGTCTAGAGCTAGGCTGGATTTACACAGTAAGCACCAGGCACAAAGCAAAGGTGTCCCTCTGTTGATACCCCATCCCTGCAGCCTCCTGGCCTGCTTGAAAGGTGGAGACAAACCCCACAGCTAAACCACACCTTCGGTTCTCCCACAAATCCTTCAAACTAGTAGTAGAAGCCTTGGTCTCCCAATGACAAAATACAAATGGTTTTGTAACACTTCATGAATTTTATTTTTCAGTTTTTTGTAGAGATAGGGGCTCACCATGTTGCCCAGGCTGGTCATGAACTCCTGATCTCAAGCAATCCTCCTGCTTCGGCCTCCCAGAGTGCAAGGATTACAGCATGAGCCACCGCACCTAGCCCCCTTCAGGAATTTTAGAATTCTTCAAGGTCAAAGAAGTGTAACTGCTTCTCAATATGTGCCCGAAGTATTTTAAAATTCATAATCACCCCAAAATCATGAAATCTGAGAATTGGGAGAGACTTGGGGCCCTATCCAATCCAATTCCTCATTTTACAAATGGAAAAACTGAGACCTAGGGAAGATTAAAAACTTGCCCAGACTGGTGTTTACATTAGTTTAGAGCTAGGGCCACAGGCTCGGATACTCCCAGTCCAGGCAGGTAATGAAACCAGCAAAACAGGGGTGGAGGCGGGGAGGGACCCAGTACAGTGACAGGGTGGGAGAGTGGAATGAGAGCAGCTCCCACCCAGCTCCAGAAATACCTGCCCAGTGTTGTCAGGAATTCTTTTTCAAAAGAAGCTGAAAATCAAATTTTTAAGTGAAATCATTGCCTTTTAAAGGTTGACAATTGGGTCAGGACTTTTTTTTTTTTTTTTTTTTTTTTGAGACAGAGTCTCGCTCTGTCACCCAGGCTGGAGTGCAGTGGCACAATCTCAGTTCACTGCAACCTCTGCCTCCCAGGTTCCAGCGATTCTCCTGCCTCAGCCTCCTGAGTACCTGAGATTACAGGCATGTGCCATCACACCTGGCTAATTTTTGTATTTTTTAGTAGAGACGGGGTTTCACCATGTTGGCCAGGCTGGTCTTGAACTCCTGACCTCATGATCCGCCCACCCCAGCCTCCCAAAGTGCTGGGATTGCAGGTGTGAGCCACCGTGCCCGGCCTGGTCAAGGTTTTTAAACATTCTGCAGGCCAAAAGCATAGATAGGACTCTGAATTGTTCCCAAAAGATGTCAGCTCAGCACGTCAAGTCCCTGCCCCTACTATGGCCTCTGCCATTTGCTACGTGTGTGTCTGTTTCTTTAAGCCTGTTCAAGGTGTGAACTGGAACAAAAAGGTTGTGAGAGTCACTCATTTCAGCTCTCTCCATTGCAGCCCACTCACCTAGAGACAAGTCACTCTGTCCTCCATGTGTGAATCACATCAACTCCAAGATTTCTCCAGCTCAGCTGTGGCTTTCATTGATGTAAAATATTAAATAACCTTGACATAAGACATACGTATCTGGGTCAACCAGCGTTCATATTCTGGTATCTGTATAGGGGCCAGGTGTTTTCAAGGCAACAGCTGCAGGACTGTCATCTGGCTTGAGCAAGCTATAAAAATCCAGAGAAATGGAGAGGACATCCCTTTACATTTACCCCCAAACCTCACTGTGGAAAATTAAGAACACATCTCTGAAATTACACTCCAAATAGAAAAGTAATTAAAACAGAAAAGCACAGCCTGATCTTGTTACCTTTCCAGCCTCAGAGAGAATCCACCTGAGGCTGTAAAAATCCTTATAGGTAGGTAGCTAACGTGGCCAACACTCAGATGCATATTTATACTGACATTTACACGGACAAAATCCCCATTCCTTATTTGGAAAAGCCATAGGAAGCAAGAGGTCTTTATTTGAAAGCTCTGCAGCATTGATAAAAGCATTTGGAACGGCTTTCACACGCTAGCCTTACATAGCCTAAACCGCTTGACTTTCAGAAGTCCTAATTAGCAGTCTTATCGTGAAGAGAATGCTTAGGTTGACATGGGGTTCAGCTAAGTCCTGAGAGGTCCTGAACGCCGAAAAGATTACAGTACTCACCCTCGTACCTTACCTACAACTATAATTCAAAACATACCCCAAGCCCTAACACAAACAAGACAAACTATAATAAAGCCAAAATAGCCTTTTTCTAGGCATCTCTGGTTGAAAAATTCTAGATAAGTCAATGAAAGTGGAATTTCCTCCATTTTTTGTGGTGTCTCAAACCCAAGTCCAGGCTGTCTGTCGGTTAATACGTTATTGGCCTTGCAGAAACAAGAACTCGATGGGAAACTTAAGTCCAGGCCACCTTGTGACACAGCATGCATGCCTTGGGAGCTCTCTCAGAGACCATCTAATTCAATGACCTCCTCCCACTTCATACAGTTTGAACTGCATGGGTCCACTGATATGTGGATTTTCTTCCGCCTCTGCCACTCCTGAGACAGTAACCCCTCCTCTTTTTCCTCCTTCTCAGCCTACTCAATGTGAAAATGATGAGGATAAAGACCTTTATGAAGATCCACTTCCACCTAATGAATGGGAAATATATTTTCTCTTCCTTGTGGTTTTTTTGGCTTGCTTTGCTTTGTTGTTTTTTCTTTTCTTTTCTATTTTCTTTTTTCTTTTTCTTTTTTTTTTTGAGTTGGAGTCTTGCTCTGTTGCCCAGGCTGGAGTGCAGTGGCACTATCTAGGATCACTGCAACCTCCACTTCCCGGGTTCAAGCAATTCTTGTGCCTCAGCCTACAGAGTAGCTGGGATTACAGGCGCCTGCCACCATACCTGGCTAATTTTTGTATTTTTAGGAGAGATGGGGCTTCGCCATATTGGCCAGGCTGGTCTCAAACTCCTGACCTCAAATGATCTGCCAGCCTCGGCCTCCCGAAGGGCTGGAATTACAGGTATGAGCTACCGCACCCAGCCTCCTTGTGTTTTTTTAAAATAATATCATGTTTTCTCCAGCTTACTTGCTGTAAGGATACGGTATATAATACATGTAACATACAACATACGTGTTAAAAGACTGCTTATGTTATCAGTAAAGCTTCTGGTTAACAATAGGCTATTAGCTAAGTTTGGGGAAGCCAAAAGTTATACATGATTTTTTGACTGCCAGAAGGTCAATGTGCCAATTCCTATGTTGTTCAAGGGTCAACTGTAAATGGGGAAACTGAGGCCCTGGTCACAGTAGCACACACAGGATGAACTGGAGATGAGAAATTTGAAATACACCACACTACTTCTCCACTTCAATTGTCTATTAGTAAAATGACCTCCCACCCCTTGGTTTTAAAGATCCCAAGTAAGGAAAAGAAGGTACACTTTCAAGGGTTCCCATAGGAACACCCAGTTTCCATTGTTGAACTGCAGAGCTGGTGGTGAGTCAATTTGCATACATTTCAAAAAATCTACCTAAGATGGTTTCAAGAGCCCAGCATGATAAATTATGCACCTTTGGCAAAGTAAGGCAATGTATGTTCTAATTAATTAGGTATGTGAATCACAAGGAGTATTGGACCTGAAACAAAGGAAGGGACTTGGAGAGTTCAGAGTAAAGATTCATAAATTAGCTCCGAAAGAAATGAATTAATTGCTTCTGAATTTTGCACTCCTCCCCCCACCCCCAACTCCACATTTTGTACTGCAAATATGTTACAAGTCTTTGTTTTCCTTCTGGCTTTTCAGCTGTGTCTTTGAAGTTCCCTAGTTCTGCAGTAACAGGCTTCCCTTGCCTGGCTCCATGTTCCTGTCTATGGACCCAGCCAGAACTTCCTCCAGTATGTCCAATTCACGGATAATTAGTCCGAACTAAAAACATAATCTGCTCAGGATAATTGACTCTATATGAAGTCGGCTTTAAAAAATGTCTACTTTGGGTTTCAGGGATTTGCATATGACATGATTATTGCTTAAGTCAAATTGAAATCATAGGAGGTCTAATCCCCTTTCAGAGCTGGTGAGTCACCGCTGATCCTTCTGGTGGTGGAAGAAGAAGCAAGACAAATTCCATAAGCATAGCACTGTGTTTTTACCCAAAGCACAAAATGTAAATGGAATTTTTCTAAAATGTTCCTGGGGGTTAAAGTTACTTAAACCCTGCAGGGTGTCTGTCCCTGGCACTAGCGGTTGTTCAAGGGCCTCCGTGAGCCTGCTCTGGCACCTCTGCAATCTCAATGACTGCTTAGTAATCAAAGACGTGAAACTAAAATAAAAAGGCATTATTGGGCCGAGTGCAGTGGCTCACATCTGTAATTCCAGCACTTTGGGAGGCGGAGGCGGGCAGATCACTTGAGCTCAGGAGTTTGAGACAAGCCTGGCCAACATGGTAAAACCCCGTCTCTACTAAAAATACAAAAATTAGTGGGTTGTGGTGGCACGTGCCGGTAATCTCAGCTACTCGGGAGACTGAGGCAGGAAAATCGCTTGAACCCGGGAGGCGGTGGTTGCAGTGAGCCGAGATCATGCCACTATACTCCAGCCTGAGCAACAGAGCAACACTCCATTTCAAAATAAAAAATAAAAAGGGCACTATTGTATTGCTGCCTCACAAATGTTGATAACCATGTTCAACATATATTTTATGTGATCATATGTGAAGTATTAATTGGTGCAGATTCTGCAAAGCTAATTGGCAATATGTTTACACACTTTGACCCAGTAATTCTATTTCCAGAGATGATTCTAGGAAATTCGCCAGCAATGTGGACAAAGATTTTCTATAAGGAACTTTATCAGTGTTATTTACACAAATGAAAAACTTGAAAAAAGTAAATTATGTCCAACACTGGTTAAATAATGTTACAACCAAAGGTAAAATAATATGAAGTCATTTAAAATGGTGTTTGAAACAATAATTAAAGACATAGAGAAAATGCTCATAATATGAATAATCAAGCCTGGCTATTTTTTTAAGCATAGAAAAAGACTATGTTTAAGCATAGAAAAAAATGTTATTCCAGTTTATTACAATGAAAATACACTGCTCCTATAATACAAAATATTTTTAATGGGTGATTCTCATAATACTTCACAGATGTAAAGTGTTATCTCATTATAATGGATTTTTAAAAGTAAGCCTAGTTTCTTGTTACTAAGAGACTCAGAAAGTGAGTTGTATTCATTGTTAATAATAGTTTCAGAAAGACATACAACCTGTGGAGCCTTCGTTTCTAGCCAAACTGAAGAATCGGCTTCACATTTGATGGCTCTCCTTTGAAACATGCAAAAGGAAGCTGCTATAAAGTCAGGCCCATAAAAAAGTCATTTGCCTAGACCTCCCATTCCAGTCCAGTCCAGCCCTCACTGGCTATTAAGGTAACTGTTTGGAAAGAACATATTTCCCTCTCTAGTAATCAAAATGCATCTTCTCCTCCATCTGCCTCATAATGAGAAGTCATAATCTTCTTTTTATGACATCTCCATAAAAGACATCAATAGAACAAAAAAATACATTGCTCCTGGTAATAATAGTGTTTGTTATGGAAATTGTAAAATGTTCCCATATAGGTACAATCCACTTTAATTAAGCCTTGTCAAAGAATACATTTTCAAATCATCTAAATTAGATATTGTAGAGCCATAAGCTTGCTATCATGGGGGAAAAAATATAACTCCGGGATTAAGCCTGGGGCTGAATCAATTTTCTTATTAAGAGCCTGCATGGCTCAGGACATTTGTAATGGAAGCTAAGCCAAGCCTCTGGCTTTAAGTTCCAGCCTGGCAGTCAAAGACTGAGAGCTTTTTGTGCTGAGAATATGCGGACTGATGGGCTACAAGACTGTGCCCAGCTTCCCTCAGCCGGCTGAACCCTGCAGTGCTCCAGGTTCTAAAATGCTCCCGCCGGCCCTTTGCAGTCTGTCCTCCAGGATGGGCCTGAACCAGAAGCAGAAAGATGCAGCAGGAAGCCGACGGGGTCTCAGCAGAGATTCCAGGTTCCAGAAAGCTCCCAGGCATAGGGAGATGAGGCAAGGGTGGACCTGGCCAAATTTGAAAGAGCAAACCACAACTTTCTTTTTATATTATATAACCCTTTTGTTAAATTCCTTATCAAAAATTATAAAAGTAACATGTATGCCCCATATTTGTTTAAAAATTAAGAAAATGTATAGTAAAATATAATCTTCTCTACAATCTTTGCCATGTCTCCGCCTCTTAGGTTCAATGGAGACAGCCTGGTGTGTGTCTTTCCACCATAAAACATGCATAGGAGGTGGCCCTGCTTATTTTTATTAAAGAACGGCCATTGCATACACATTATTCTGCAACTTGTTTTTCTCATATAACAGCCCTGCAGGCCCACAGCTATAGATGTAGTGTTTTAGCTCATTTTCATGCTGCTGATAAAGACATACCCAAGACTGGGTAATTTACAAAAGAAAGAGGTTTAATGGACTCACAGTTCCACGTGCCTGGGGAGGCCTCACAATCATGGTGGAAGGAGAAAGGCAGGCTTTACATCACAGCAGGCAAGAGAGAGAGAATGAGAATCAAGCCAAACAAGTTTCACCTTATCGAACCATCAGATCTCGTGAGACTTATTCACTACCACGAGAACAGTATGGAAGAAATCACTCCCATGATTCAATTATCTCCCACCAGTTCCCTCCCACCACACGTGGGAATTATGGGAGTAAAGTTCAAGATGAGATTTGGGTGGGGACACAGCCAAACTATATCATGCAGGAAAACAGCATTTTCAGCTGTTCAGCTGTGATTTTCTGGGTGCTCTTTCTGCCTTCCCCCACAGTGTGGAGGCACGGACCCAGCTCCCATGAACCTTCCCTGGTAAGCACCAACGCCCCTCTTACTCCCACATTAAACATGTCCCATTGTCAAGTTGGTGGCCATATGGTCACCTTTCCCCAGGCCCTGACATGGGAGCTCAAGCTTCTCCTGCAAGCTTGGCCTTAGTCAGTGGTTGATTCCTCCAGTCCAACTGTTGTTCTCCATCCCACTGCCATCAGAAGGCAGAAACGGCACAGTATCTGACAGTGTCTTGGAGACACTCATGGGGCTGCTCATGGCCTGGAGGAAGGGTAGTGAGTGACTGCCCAGCTTCCCTGGTGCCAGAGCCACCCCCAGCCCAGGCGCAAGCTCCCTTCGGGAACTCCTCATGTCTGGGCTTGAAGCACAAGGCCAGGATGTTAAGAGGCCTATCAAGACCATGTCTTGGGTCCTATTCTTTAGATGTATCAGTTCCATCAACCCAGTCTTTCCTGGAAGCCTTTGTTTAAAACAACAACAGCTCAGCTCAGACACAAGGCTGAACAGTTGTCCTTCACCTAAGGGTTTTCAAAGCCCCACATTCATAACTTTGCTTTTTCAAGACCAGCTGGCTGGCCCTTTAAAACAAGATGCAATATTGCTCCCCCATTTACCAACTGGTCAAAGAGAGACAGAGACAAATTAGGTAATTAATTGCTCTTCCTGCTGTGAGTCAGGGCCACAACTGACATCAAGACCCAGCCTCTCTGGGGCTCACAATGCCATCATTACTGACCCTCACTGAAGCCATTCTGTGAGGTGCAGAAAAGCTTTCTATGCAAAACAAATTAAAAATGAGAAAACACAGCAAGACCTTTGGTGTTTCTGGATGCTCAGAAAAAGTCCTTCAGTCCTTCATTAGATGAGCCCTTCCTCCTAAGGCCCTCAGGGCACTTCCCAAATGCAACAACTCTCCTTATGCAGTCTCGGACAAATGGGTTCAAAGGCTGTTCTCCTGCCACCCACAGACAGGGAGGTGCCATGTTACCAAGCACCTATGACACCAAGGAGCAGGCAACTGAGATGGAAGATGCAAAGGGGCCGCCTCTGCCTCAGTGGGTTTGTGGCTTACGCTGAGGGTTTGTTCCCTGAGTCTCTGTTCTAGTTCCTGAAAGAGATCAGTCACTTCACCCACAAAAAAAATATATTGGTTGTGACCTGCTAATGTCCCAGCACAGTGGAAAACAATAAAGTTACAGAGGAGCAAAACAGGGAGAAAGTTTATGCAAGAGAGGAAACAGGAGCTTATAGACTCAGGGACTGAAGCAAGAATGTGGATGTGAGGAAATTGCTTGGGAGGGGAGCCCAAGAGACACCAAAAGAGAAATGCAGGAATGTGGTGGGCAGACAGAGAAGAGAAGGATGCAAGCTGCCAAGCTGAGCAAAGTTGAATCTCCTGGGTGACTCTGGGAACCAGGGTAGAGTTAGCCTGTCCAAGGCAGGGGAGGGAGCTGAGGTATTTATGTAGCACCTTCTGTCAGTCACTGATTGAGGGCTGCTGAGGGGAGGGGTGACTTGTTAATTGTCTGGGACTTCCTGCCAGCCCTGAGAATGCCCTCAGTCATAAGAACAGCTGCTGGGGTGGGGGACAAGGTGTCAAAGAAAGTTCTATGTGCAAGACACTGGTCAGACCCCTGAGGGGTAAGTCAGGGCGCAGAATCCCAGGCCACAGTGGAGGCTGAGAGGGGGCTCTGCTCAGAAGTATAAAGTCATGAGGAGTGAAGAATGATGATTCTACACAACAGGCGAACTTCTTCTGTAAAGGGCAAATGTCTTCGTTCATTTGTGCTGGATGGCTTATACCATAGGTTGAGAGGCTGATAAACCACAGAAATTTGTTCCTCACAGTTTTGATGCTGGAAGTCTGAGATCAGGGAGCCAGCATGATGGGGTTCTGGTAAGGACCCTTTTCTGAGTTGCATATGGAAAGCTGTCCTCTCACTGTGTCCTCAGGTGGTACAAAAGAGAGCAGGCGAGCTTTCTGGGGCCCCTTTTATGAGGACACTAATCCCACTCAGGAGGGCTCCAGGCTCATGGCCTAATCATCCCCAAAGGCCCCACCACCTAACACCATCATCCTGGGGGCTAGAAGTTTGACAAATGAATTTGAGGGGGACACCCCAGATTACTCTTTTGGGAAATAAGAGTAAGAATATTTAGAGATTAAGTCAGATAATATATGTAAAGCACCTAACACATGGTAAGTGTCCATTAAATGGTTATTATTATATTATATACAATATTATATATTATATATATTACATATATATTATATTGTATATAATATATATATTATATTGTATATAATATATATATTATATTGTATATAATATATATATTATATTGTATATAATATATATATTATATTGTATATAATATATTATATTGTATATATTATATTGTATATATTATATTGTATACAATATATATTATATTGTATACAATATATATTATATTGTATATAATATATTATATTGTATATAATATATTATATTGTATATATTATATTGTATATAATATATTATATTGTATATAATATATTATATTGTATATATTATATTGTATATAATATATTATATGTATATAATATAGTGTATACTATATTATATAATATATATTATATACAATATATAATATATTGTATATCATATATGATATATTGTATATAATATATAATATATGATATATTGTATATAATATATTATATATGATATATTGTATATTATATATTATATATGATATATTGTATATTATATATTATATATTGTATATTGTATATTATATATTATATATTGTATATAATATGTTATATATTGTATATAATATGTTATATATTATATATTGTATATATGTTATATATTATGTATTGTATATAATATGTTATATATTATATATTGTATATAATGTATTATATATTATATATATTATATATTGTATATAATGTATTATATATTGTATATTATATATTATATATTGTATATAATATATTATATACATTATATTATATATTATATATTGTATATAATATATTATATACATTATATTATATATATTATATATTAGGAGTCAACAAACTATGACCTACAGGGCAAATCTAGCTTGCTGCTTGCTTTTGTAAATAAAGTTTTATTGAAATATAGCATCACTCATTCATTTACATATTGTCTGTGGCTGCTCTCGTATAAAAAAACAGAGTTAAATAGTGATGACACAGATCCTGGGATCCACAAAGCCTAAAATATTCATTACTTGACTGCAGTGGACTGAATGTTGGTGTCCCCCTCACACACACATATATATATACACACACACACACATATATACACACACATATATCTATATCAAGATTTTAGGTCGGGGACCATGGCTCACGCCTGTAATCCCAGCACTTTGGGAGGCTGCGGCAGGCCTCCCGAAGTCAGGAGTTTGAGACCAGCCTGGCCAACATGGTGAAACACCATCTCTACTAAAAATACAAAAATTAGCCAGGCATGATGGTGCATGCCTGTTGTCCCAGCTACTCAGAAGGCTGAGGCAGGAGAATGGCTTGAATGCAAAGGTTGCAGTGAGCCTAGATTGCTCCACTGCACTCCAGCCTGGGCGACAGAGCAAGACTCTGTCTCCTCCCCGCCGACCCCCAAAAAAAAGTTTTAGGTGACCATTTCTGAGAGGATATGATTACAGATTATTTTTATATTTATATGCTTCTCTCTACCTTTCAAATATCCTACAATGGACATATGTAATTTTTATGAAAAGAACATTGTAATTTTTTTAAGTATAGGGACCAGTGGGAGCACAGAGGAAGAAGTTATTTAATTTCAGGGATTTCTGAGATGGGATATAGTCAATCCTATGATGCCAAGAGAGGAAAATACAAAACTTCTATCCATATTTATTTACCTTAAAAAAATAAGACAGAATTTACATTGGGCTAACTCAATACTCACAATGACCCTGGCACGCTCCCTCAATCCACATGTCATGGCCACATGTCTAGTGCACACGGGATCCTGTTGGGAAAGCAATAGTTCTCACCAAGATGGCTTGACCACCGAGTCCATAGACCCTAAGCAGACATACATTGGACTTTACGAGTGCAAAGCATCCAGCATAAGGGATTTTTAATAATCTCTCATTTTTCCTGCCACAGTAATATGGCTGAATTACACATAGCTACAATATGGCAAAATTGCAATAAATCAAAATGCATTCTTTGTCAGAAATACATTTGAAAGACACACACAAAAATTTCAGTGGGGAAATCTAGGGGGAAAATGACTATTAGAACACATGTAGTACCAATGTTTTGCCAGGCAGCTGGATTAAAGTGCAGATGTTTCCAGCATATTCAATTTTATGGATTTGAAGTATTTCATTCCAATGCCTCAGATAGTTGTGCAGTTTGAACATTACATTCTCCAAAGGCATCATTCACACTGTATTCTATGCAACAGGTGCCCATGACGTTCTGCAGTGCACATTCTGGGGGCCCTGATGTAATGACCCCGAATGATGATACTTATAAAGAACTACTTTCATGTGAGCCATGAAAGAAAAGTTTTATTGAAGAAGACACAGTCTTAATAGTCTATAATAGTAACTGTTCTACAGGATCACTGTAGAACCACAACCACTGGAACTTTAAAAAGATCCAAGAGTGTGGTTATAAAGATAGCTCACACGTGAAATTCATTCACAGGGTCAGTTGTAGGCAGGCTGTCATGGCAAAGAAACATAAGCTGCGGGTGCACATAGTATCACAGAGTTCCATTAATGTGATTATATATAACAGGAAAAGGGAAATTTAAAATAGTAGAATTTTTACAAGACTTCATTAATGATAAGTGGTTTGATCATGAACTTCTCTGGGAACACACAATGTACCTGAATTAGTTGTTGAACTTGAAGGTGGGTTACACATTTTTCTTCTACAAAGAGACAGGGTGTCGAATTTAGTGACCTTTTCTAAAATGACAAGTAGTCCTCAGCATTGAGCCACAAGTAGATATTTTTTTAAAAATAAACACATTAGATCTGACCCTTCAAGGTAAAGAGTGAGAAAGTAACTGCTTTGCTAAAGAAATTCATGTATCGAAGAGCATTTTTAAAAAACATTTCCATCACTCTGTGATATTTTGTCTGTATAGTTGGTGTGTCAACTATAATGATGCTCACACATGCACACTTAAACGGAATTCACTAGCAAGCTTAAAAATCTTCCAAATAAAGTTTCAATAGATTTTGGGTGCATTTGCTTAAAAATGGAAAAATGAAATATCTTCCAATTAGTTTGCAAGAATAACAGCCTGACATCAGGAAGATGGAAATTTACTAGCCCTATTTCAATAAAAGCCTTTGCATAATTGGTGAATGGCATTGAAAAATGAGAATCATAATTTAGGAAGCACAGCCACCAGTGCCCTGTTCCATTTGGATCGACACCTCTTTGTGAGGAATCCTTTTCAACTCTGACAGCCATTCAAACCAAACATATTTTTTAAAGCTGAACTTAGAACTATGATATCTTGCTGTATTGTCAAGTAGTAAAATTTTAAAACTAATGAAGCCTATCCAATCTTAATGCTTACTTCAAAATATTATTAATAATTCCAGGGGCAGTAAAAAAAAGTGAGAGCAAAGAAAGATTTTATAATACAAACAATTTAGGATATTATCTATGTTGTTATTATCCCAAACCTTTAAATTTTCTATTTTTGTGTATATTATACAAGATACTACATATATAAGTTATGTATAGACTTATATTTGCATAAAATACAAATATAGATTACAATATAGTAATATATAAATGCATGTAAATAACCCATATATAGTAATAGATATAAATTATAAATAAACATATAGTTTTAAAAAAAGAATTTTCATCTCCTCTGACTTTGAGTTGGGGCAGGGGCAGGTGTGAGCTTATTGAAGGGGTAAGATTTGCACTGAGACCTAGGCAAGAGTGACACCAACATAATGATTAACCGATGGATGGAGAAACATGGATTTCTTTATCCAATGTCAATATTCATTCAGTATCAGATGGGAGTGAGTTCAGAAGAAAGGGGAAGATATTGTCCTCATGACAACAGGGAGAATTCTTTTAGAAACTCATTTTCCTGCATTCTAGAGGGTGGAAGCAGAATTAGGTTCAAGAAGAACAAACCTCAGTCTTCAGTGACTAATCTGAGGGATGCTCCGCATTTCCCCACTTTCTGAAGATGGAGATCATAAGGGCAGATCCTCTGCGCTCTCAGGGGATGCCTCTCCATGGCCTTGTGGGCCATTTCTCATGCTCTTACAAGGTGAAATGACCTCCTGCCTTCAAGACCCAGCTCAAATGTCCTCTCCACAATGCTTTCTCTATATTGGAGGTTAGTTCCACTTTCCCTCAGCCTCTGTGGTTAGTAGCACATATATGTCCCAACTGCTAAGCTAGGGCAGTTCTGAGGGAGAAGCATCCTCTGTGTCCAGCCACAAGGGTCATCACCCAAGATGACCTGAGATGAGCTCAAAATCATGAGAGAAGACGCAAGGTCAAAACTAGAAAGGCAATAACAAGCACCAAGTGCAGGCGAAGTTTGGAGGACAAGTAGTGAGTTGAATGGCTGGGACTATTACAAGAAGGTGGAAAGGTGGGAGGAGCATCCTGCTGTCAGGACACACCCAGGAACTGCAGACACCCTCCACCCAGGACAGCTCTGCCTCATCCCAATTAGGCAATGTTTGAGGAATGGGGGGCAAGTTATATTCATATATTCATTTAGCAAATACTTAACAAGTGCCAGGTACTGGGCTATGCTGGGTACTTTCTACCTGACAATGTAGTTACTTCTGCTCTTATCTAAATTCCCCTACCCAATAATGAGCTCCTAAAGGCAGGCCTTTTATTCAGCTTTGCAACTCCATGGTGTCTAAAATATAGGCACTCACAGGTTTGATTAAGACAAAGAGAATCTGTGAGTCCTTTATGAAGCCAAGGTACTTGAAATGTTCTTCCACTACTCTTACCTTAAGCTCTTTCCAACACCCAAGAATAAGTTGGCTTGCCTATGGGTTATAATTACCTAAGGTTAGTTCTCCCTACACTGTCACCTAGAAAACTAATTAGTATCTTCATATCAGACTCAGACTAACTTGGAATACTTGGAGAGAGCAAAAGAATAATGCAGTGAAACCCTCCAATGTGCAGTCCTTTTATCTACCTTGGCATCTGTTCCAGCCAGGTAACTGTGGGACTTATACCAAAATTTGTCAGGGTATACAGATTTTGGAGGGCTACATGGGGAGGCATTAAGGAGGAAGGAAGGAAGGAAGGAAGGAAGGAAGGAAGGAAGGAAGGAAGGAAGGAAAGAGGGTCGGAGGGAGGGAGGGAGGGAAGGAAGGGAGGGAGGGAGGCAGGGTTTGCCTATCCAGCCAGTTAAGAAAATCACCATGTTTTTGAGGAAACAAACCAATCTCATGTGTGACTGTTCCAATACAACCATGTTTTTAAGTCTCCCTCTGCACCTTCAGTCCTGTTGTCCCTGGGTCTAGAATGTCCTTCCTATACTTCCCCACACGTCAAGCTCCTTTTTTCCCTTTGAGAAAAGCTCTGAAAATCTTTACTGATATCTCACCTAAAAGTGAAAGTCACATTCAACACCATGGTTATTACCTAGGGAACATATTAAAATCCAGATTTCCAGGCTCCCTTCCCAGACCTACTAATTCTCTAGGAGGTGATTCTGACATACATTAAAGTTACAGAAGTTTAAATTCTGTTCATTCAAAAAGTATGCATTGACTCACTGTTTGTCCTACACTGTCCTAGGTTTTTGCTAAATGCCTTCAATTTGGGTAATGGTTCTTTTGCCTTGCCCCACTACTATATTGTAAGTTTTTTGGGAAGATGGACCGTGTCTTATGTTCCTCTGTATCACTGAGATGCTTGGCACAGGGAAGCTTCTCAATAAATGTTTTTAGATTAAATGAAAAATCAAACTAATATTTCTATATCCCCATAGAAGGGGCAGTTTTGCGCCTAAGAGTTTTCTTTCAAGAGTTTAATACAGACAGCCTGGCACATATTCAAGGACTGAAGGCCCAGGAGCAGATAAGGTCTGATCAGAGTGGAACTGTCACTTCCATGGTCTGTGTAGCTTACTTCTATCACATGGCTAAAGGAAAAGTTCAGTTTTCTGAAGACTGCGTAAGTCTATTATTATTGAATTGACATTCCACTGAAGATCTTATTTTTCTTTCATGCTAAATTGTGTCTTTTCTATCTCTTCCACTGGATACTTGTGAAAATCAGACTTTTGGACAGAATAGAGGTGATATGGTTTGGCTGTGTCCCCACCCAAATCTCACGGTGAATTGTAATAATCCCCATGTGTCAAGGGTGGGACCAGGTAGAGATAATTGAATCATGGGGGCAATTTCCCCCATACTGTTTTTGTGGTAGTGAATAAGTCTCATAAGATCTGATGGTTTTATAAATGGGAGTTCCCCTGCACAAGGTCTCTTGCCTGCTCCCATGTAAGATATGTCTTTACTTCTCATTCACCTTCTGTCATGATTGTGAGGTCTCCCCAGCCATGTGGAACTGTGAGTCAATTAAGCCTCTTTCTTTTATAAATTACCTAGTCTTGGGTATGTCTTTATTAGCAGCATGAAAGAAGACTAATACAATAGGCCTTGTAACTATGCCTTCATTCAAGAACTATCTATTGTCCATATAACTTGTATTCAGCACTCTTCTAGGCTCTGGAGATACAGAAAGAAATGACAGTCTTTGCCTTCCAGGAGCAAACGGTGTTACAGGATTATTTATCTGCTACTTTTTTTTTTTTTTACCAAAATTGTGGATGTCACAGCACAGAAAAATCTTTTTGAGTATATACCCAATAATGGGATTCCTGGGTCAAAAGGTATTTCTGGTTCTAGATCCTTAAGGAATCGCCACACTGTCTTCCACAATAGTTGAACTAATTTACACTCCCGCCAACAGTGTAAAAGTGTTCCTGTTTCTCCACATCCTCTCCAGCATCTGTTGTTTCCTGACTTTTTAATGATCAGCATTGTAACTGGTGTGAGATGGTATCTTACTGTGGTTTATATTTGCATTTCTCTAATGACCAGTGACGATGAGCTTTTTTTTAATATGTTTGTTGGCCACATAAATGTCTTCTTTTGAGAAGTGTCTGTTCATATCTTTCACCCATTTTTTTGATGGGGTTGCTTTTTCTTGTAAATTTGTTTAAGTTCCTTGTAGATTCTAGATAGTAGCCCCACACATATATTTATTGCAGCACTATCCACAATAGCAAAGACTTGGAACCAACCCAAATGTCCATCAATGACAGACTGGATAAAAAAAAAATGTGACACATATACATCATGGGATACTATGCAGCCATAAAAAAGGATGAGGTCATGTCCTTTGCAGGGACATAGATGAAGCTGGAAACCATCATTCTCAGCAAACTAACACAGGAACAGAAAACCAAACACTGCATGTTCTCACTCATAATTGGGAGTTGAACAATGAGAACACATGAACACAGGGAGGGGACTATCAAACACCGGGGCCTGTCAGGGGGTGGGAGACTAGGGGAGGGATAATATTAGGAGAAATACCTAATGTAGATGACAGGTTGATGGGTGCAGTAAACCACCATGGCATGTGTATACCTATGTAACAAACCTGCACATTCTGCACATGTATTCTAGAACTTAAAGTATAATTTTTTAAAAAAAGTTGATAATTATTACGAATAAAACCAGAATGACTACTTACAAAAAAAAAAAGAAAGAAAGAAAAATATTTTTTATGTTGATTCTGTCATCCAGTGTTTTTATGGTCCCTCCTAGCTCACTATCCTTAGAAGTTCATTTCTATGGCCCCATCAAAGTCATTGTTTGACATTGTGAAGCAGTTCAGGACCAACGACAGAGCTCCCCGTGTGCCTGAGAACAAAAATGCGTTTCCAATTTAAGTGAAATATTTCCTAGGTCTCTACCTTGTGTACTAGAGGTTCAGAGATTAATTAGGCACAACCACAATTCTCTAAGAGTGTCCCAAATATGGCTGTGACAAGGACACACCACATAGGTACAGTGCAACATGGCAACGATTATCAAACATGTCCAGATCGTATTTCTCCCCTGGTCCTTCAAGATCTTTAAAGATCATGTCCAAGGCACGCACGCAGAGGAGCTAAGACTTGTTTGGAATATAGGATGGCAAACTATTTCAGAGATTACGATTCCCTTTCGCCTTGAGCTACATCTGTCCAAATTGAATTTACTTGAACAACGGGATAGCTATTACAGTGGCACTCTTTCAGCACTGTAATCTAATGAGATGGCTTTGGATACTATTAAAAGTTAAATCAGTCGATAAACGAAATATTAAAATCACTGGAGAGTTGGCCCAATGCACAAAATATTAACACTGCAAGCTCTAAATCAAATGCTGAACATGAATTTGGCCAAAGCTATTAAAACAAGAGTTTGGACTCTGTCCTGAATTTTGGAGCTGTGCCTTAGGAGAGCTTTTCAAAAGCTCAGTTTTTCCTTTTATTAGCACCTTGGGGTGAGGAAGATTCACATTGAGGGCTGTCTTAGGACACTAGACACTAGAAATCCTGCTCTGGGAACCCACAACACTTAGAGGATGAGACATTAAATCACAGAGTAATGTGACAAGTGCTTTATCTATTAATCGTTTAACTTCCCACTAAATCTTGAAGTCTTGGGTGTCTCTCTGTGCCTCTATCTCTGTCTCTGTCTCTCTCTCTCTCTCTCTCTCTCTCTCACTCTCCAGTCCCCTTTTTCTTTGGGTTCCATAGGAGTTACCTGTCAAAGTTGTATTCATCCTTCAAGGATGAAGTTCAAACTCCACCGCTTCCAAAAACCTTCTGAGATGCCTTAGTCAGAATCACTGTCTCCTTCACAATTAATCTCTTCTCCCATGGCTTGATGTATATACATTTGTTGGACTTTCTTTTTTTCAGCCTGCCTTGAACATGTGTCACTGTCTTAGTTTAGGTTCGTCCAGAATCACACTCTGACACAAGGATTCAAGGGAAAATGGTCTATCTGGCAGGTAGAGGGAGCATTAGGAGGGGTGGGCTAGTGATAGAGGGAGGTAATACAGTTGATCAAAAGTGTGATATTAATCCAGTTACCCATAGGTGATGGATGCTTTATTTCAATGGAGAACTTTGAGAATTGGTATAAAACACATCCCTCATGATTATCCTCCTGAGGGGCAAGGGAGCTGAGGTATTTGCACATCAATTTCCAAAAGTAGTTATTTGAGGGCTGCTTCCAGGGTCTGTTCCGCAATAAAACCAAACTACCACTTGCAAGCAGGGCAGCCTTCTCTGGTTCCAAAAGAAAAATATTCAGGCACAGGATATCCTTTGGACTGAATTATATACCCCAGTGTGACTGTATTTGAAGATAGGGTTCTTAGGAGACAATTAAGTTTAAATGAACTTATAGGGGTAGGATCTTACTCCAATAGGACCAGTGGCCTTATAAAAATAGGGAGAGAATTCTCTCTCTCTCTCTCCACAGGCATGCACCAGAGAAAGGCCATGTGAGGACATAGTGAGAAAGTGGCTGTCTGCAAGCCAAGAAGAAAGTCCTCATGAGAACCCGACCATGCTGGCTCCTGGATCATGGGCTTCCAGCTTCCAGACTGTGAGGAAATAAATGGCTGTTGTTTAAGCTGCCCAGTCTGTGGTATTTTTGCTAGGCAGCCCAAGCTGACTAAGACAGGGTAGCAGATATTGAAAGTTGGAAGCTGGCTAGAGGATACTAAAAGGTAACAGGAATATGAGAGAGTCATTGAGAAAATATGTTACTGTCCCACTCCTAAGACTGTGGGTTCAAGGGCAGGGACCAAGCAAACTGTCCTCCTTGGGCACAAACCAACAGAAGGAAGCAACATTCATTGACCACCTACTATGTGCCAGGCACTAAGACAGACTTCTTTTAAAAATTAACTTTATTAAGCTATCATTCATATATAATAAAATGCACACATTTTAAGTACATAATTTTGTGAATGTTGACCAACGTGTATTCTCATATAACTATCACCGCAATTCAAGATACAGAAAAAATATTTCTATCACTCAGAGATTCCTTTGTGCCCCTTCCCAATCAACCCCATCCCCACTCCTGGCCCCAAGTTATTATTGATCTACTTCTGTCACTGTTGAGTAGATTGGTCATTCCTAGCGTTTCCTATGGAATCATATAGTATCTGGTCTTTTGTGTCTGGCTTCTTTCCCTCAGCATAATGTTTCTGAGGGTCATCATGTTGAATCATGTATCAATAGTTCATTCCTTTTTATTGCTAATTAGAGTTCCATTGTATTAACATACCAAATCTGTGTATCCATTCACCTGTTGATGCACTTTGGGATTACTTCCAGTTAGGGCTATTAGCAATTAAGGCTGGTATCAACATTTGCATATAAGCTTTTGTGTGAACATATGTTTTCATTTCTCTAAGGAGTGGAATTGTGAGATCATATGGTATGTTCATGTTTAATTTTATGTGAAACTGTGTGCTGGGCACTTTTAATTTACCTAATTTAATTGTGTTGACCTCTCAACAATGGAGAATATCATTATTCTTGCTTTTTGAGTACATTGCAGCTCATAGAGGGTAAATGACTTATCTAAGATCAAACAGCCAATAAGGATGGATATGGGATATAAACCCAAGTCTCTCTCACCCCAAAACTTTTGCTCTTTCCACCATACCATCTTGCTTTCCTCTATTGACTCAAGCAGGAGAACTTGATGTTAAACCCAAGAAAAGAGGTAAAAAGTTACTTATATTCTTCAACTCTCTAAATGTATCTGGTCCAGGAAAGATTGTGACCAAGTTGTAATGAAGCAGCCCCAGAGAGGGAGGCAAGGCACCTGGCTGGGCTTACCTAGGCCACATAACAAAGATATCACTACTTACCACAAAAGCTGTGGAAAAGAAGAGCTTATATCCGCCCGTGTGAAGTTCATAGTTTTGAAATCCATAATTGATTGCCTATAGTCTGTCAGCCTGAAAAGGCAACCAATTAATAATGAGCATTAGGGAGATAGTCTTTTTTTTCAATGTCTGAGAAAGGGTTTTTACGTCTTATCATCCAGGAAGCCAAGTAGTGCTAGGGTAGCATATAAGATCAACCCAATTGTTGACCAAGGCAATCCAATCAATTAAAACCTGCTAAATACCACTGCACACAGGCTTCAGAAATCACATATGAGAGAATCAATCCACTGGAACAAGGAAATAAAGGAACCAGTCAAGGTTAAGGTCAAATCTTTAGCAGAATTCTTAAGGGAGGAATTGGCCTGTATGGCAAATCAGTTACTGCTAAAGATGCAAACTTCGGCTAATGTCCAGAAATAGAGGTTGTTAAAATGCATTAGAAGGGTCATGTTTATATTTCTATAGTTGACTAAAAATCTTTACTCATAAAAAATAGGGTCCCCGCTGTATATTATAGTCTTTGGTGCCTGTCAATAAGAGATAATGTGCTTGAATTTCAGAATTACAGTTCTTAGGCAAGTAAAAAATATTTGTTGAATCTATGGTTAGTGTACAGCATTAAAGCAGCAACAACCAACAGTCATGAATGTTTGTTTCTAACTCAGTTCCACTGCTGTCTCATGCAACTACTCCCAGTCTTGGCTTTGCCACAAGTAACTGAGGATAACAATCTCCCTGCTCCTTACCCCATGGGACACTCAAATGAAGAATTATATCCAAAAGTGCTATGGAACTATGGGGTGCTATGTGAACATGAGATTTTAAAAATAGTCAGTTCTGACTTCTGTAACAGAATGCCATAGACTGGGAGGTTTAAACAACAGAATTTATTTCTCACAGTTCTGGAAGCTGGAAGGCTCAGATCAGGTGCCGGCACAGTCAGGGGGTGGTGAGCACCCTCTTCCAGGTTTTAGACTGCTGATTCTCCTTGTCTTCTCACAGAGTAGAAAGAAGACAAGAGAGAGCTCTCTGAGGTCTCTTTATAAGGGCACTAATCCCATTCATGAGAGCTGCACCCTCATGACCTAGTCATCTCTCAAAGACTCCAGTTTTGAATACCATCACTTTGGAGGTTAGGATTTCAACATATGAATTGTGGATGGGGACACAAGCATTCAGTCCCTACTAAATGTTCAATGTCTTTCTGTTAATGTTTATTAACATTATGTTAGTAGTGTTTATTGTCCATTCAATGTTTATTGTCCATTCTCAAAATATATTTCTGGGAAATGGAACACATATATTAATCTCTTATCCCCTCAAAAGGTCATCAAAATGACAGTAAAATAATTTTTAAGTGTGAATACATGGAGACAAGAGACTAGTAAAAGCTGTCAATGAAAATAATAGAGGTCAATTAATTTCTGAAGCTGGGGGAGTGGCCAAGGGAAGCTGCATTCCAAGGGCTACAAAGATGAATACCTAAAGGAAGTCACCTGAGAGCTCAGGACATGCAGGCACCAGGTCCACTGAAGACAGGTATGAGACAAAGGCTGATGGCAAGGAAGGAAGGTGAAAGTCTACACAGTAGGTAGTTGTGAGATGCACAGGCAACTATCTTATTGTAAGTAGCCTTCCCTTTCACAGACATATATTCTGTGGACCAGATGCACAAATCCCAGGAAAGTGATGTGCAAGATAATTTATTATTTCAAGTTTTATTTATAATTGTTCTAGTAACTTCTAATACACTGATTGGGAGTAGCATATGTAAAGTGTTCATACATAATGTACAAAGATGGACAGCAAGAACAAAGAACATGTTAGTTCCAAAGAAATTAAACCATAGAAGTTGCAGCCTGCTCGCCAGAGTGATGGAGAGAGGCTGAAAAGAGGCATTATGTGAGAATCTACATGCCAAATAGTGGAATCCTCAGACCCTTCCTCTGTCAGAGGATATCCCTCTCATGCAGGTGATTGGAGGGTACTTCTCTGGGGAATGTGATCAACATGAGAAAAAAATACCTAATTATACTAACATTCAAGGTACCCCAAAGGAAAGGACAGTCAGTGACAAATTCCCTTGTTGACAAGTCCTCTCCCCAACACAAATACACAGAGAAAGCCCCATTCCACTTTTAAGTCTACTCTTAAATATGAGCATAAATTCAGAGATAAACAGAAATCGTGAAAACCTCTAACATGAAAAACACGAACTAAAATAAAGGGCTTGAAGAAACATAATGCTTGGAGCCAGAGAAAAATATAAGAAACAATAACAATTAATAATGCCAGTATTACTTTGGGGGAGATACATCTATAAGAAAAGAAACAAACATATTTGATTCAGTGGTACCCAATATAGTTAGGATAATAAATACTGACTTTGTGAAATAACTAAATTGGAAGAATAACGGGAGAGAAAGCAGGTGAGTGGGCACCAGCCTGTAATAAAGCTGAATTCTTTTCTACCATAATGAGAGAAGTTACTAGATAATGTCTTAAAATGACAAACCATGGAATGTAGTATAAGATTTTGGGAAGATGGTTGTGAGATAGGTGTGTCTTTTAATCTCTCCAAATCATCCCCCCAAAGCACAAAGAACTAAGAGAGCAAAAAGTAGAACCCATGTAAAAACCTCTACAACAAAACTAGGTGACAAGATACCCCATGAATCCCACATTGGGAGTGGGTGAGAACAAAGCAGGGACAGTTCAAGATCTGCATGCTATTAGCATCTGTGCAGAGGGAGCAGGTGGAATCAGTAGGCAACTGGTGGATCTAACAACTGTGAAATATCCAACAAGTATTCACTCAAAAGTTCAGGGTACCCATTTCTTGCAAATTTATTGTGACTGAGGGGTTTACACACTCTAATAGCAAGTGAGTACATATTGCTCTCTATGTGCCCTCTACATAAAGCAGTCTGCACCCTGTGAAATCTCAGAATTAATGAGCCAAAGTTGCTTTCCAAGAAAAATCCCCCCTCTAAGGAAAAACTGCTGGGAATAGAACCCAGATTGAAAACAATAAGGACAATAAAGAAAAAGAAAAAAATGAGGCCTAGATAAAATTTGGGGAAGGAGCAAGGAACGCTTAGAAGGTAGTACATCTACCTCTCATTAAAATAATAGAAGAGGGACTTTCTAGCCTTGAAATTAGAAAAACTCCCCTAAACCAGGCCTCCCTTATTATTATATTTAATTATATTAATTAAATATTATATATTATATTAATTAAATATTAATATATTAATTCTACTAAAATAATATATAATATATTAATAGGTTCAATATTATTATAGTTTGAGAAAACTAATTTCACATTAAAAAATGATCATTAGAATAGATGAAGGACAAATGCTCTGCAAAGTTATTGAAAGAAAATAAAGAGTAGCACAGCATCCCTAAGGATAATAAAAGCACACCAGAAAGCCAAATCTGCAAAATAGATAAAAATCATAACTTACTATCACAAAATGGGCTAAACAATGTTAAAAATGATGTAAGAGATGAAAGAATATAATTCAGAATTAGAAAAAAATAGGAAATGAGAAAATAGAACTCAGAAAAAAGAGACATTTAAAAAATTGCTTTTAGAAAGGAAGGCAAAACAAGAGGCAACATAAGAGTGAATAAACATAACAGATAATGCTTTAAGAGAAAAATAAAATTAAACATAAAGGATTGTGAAAAAATTAATAAAAGGAATTACAGATAAAGAAACAAACTTAGAAAACAGCCAGTGAAGATCCAACATACGTATAATGGGAGACATCAAAGACCACAAGTTTAAATAAATGAGGAAACAAATACTAAAAATTGCAATTCAAGATGTGCTTGAAATTAAATATACACATATGCAAAACTGCATATTGAAAGATCACAGCATTTACTTGAGAAAATCAGCCCAGTATGGCCATAACCAGGCATGCTTTGGCAATCCAAGAAAAACAAACACACATCAAGTTAATTATAAGGGTAAGAAAATAATGTTGTCATCAAAAATTTTGACATAAATACTGAATTCCAAAAGTAAGTGGAGTAACATATTTGAAATTCTCAAAGGAAAAAAAATATAAACCGAATTTCAAGTATATAGACTGAAGACAAACTTACTTTCACATACAATAACTCAAAGAATATCATTCTCTTGAGCTCTTCCTTAAATATTTAAAAATTTATTCAAATGAGATCTGAGTAACTAAAATGGCTGGCTAGATACTGACCTAAAGACTCATCATGAGCATTAAATGTGTTTGCATGGAGAATAAGACTAAATGAGGAAATAAAGAAGAGAACGTAGCAAATTGTGGTGTTTGCTCTGACAACATAGACATAGTACAATGAAAAAAAGGAGAGAATGAGAAGAGCATATGCAATTTAAAAAAACCTGCTTTTAGTAATTATGTTGATGGTGATATTGGCATTGCTACTTTAAGAATGTTTTGTGTGAATGTGGGATAGAGAAATAAGTAATGATGTGATATTCCAATTCTATTCATCCCTGGGTGGGGTAGGGGGGCCTTGAGAACAAGAATTTTCTGTGTGGAAAAAAGGAGATGCATATATAATATAAATATGGTTACATAAGCACCCTGTAGTTCTAAATTTGAGTTAGGGGAGGAGGTATTGGTATGAACTCGTGTGTGTGTGTGTGTGTGTGTGTGTGTGTGTGTGTGTGTGTATCCTAGCTCTATACAGTGAAAAGGCCTAGAAACAATGCCAATCTATTGTTTCTCACTAAAAACAAAAACAAACCAGGACATCTTGGGGAAATGGATGATTCCAGATCTGCATAAGAAAATGTTCACAATGAGTCTGAAAAATTCTGGTACGAGAGAGAATTTTTCTCTACCAGGTGATATCAAAGGACATGGGAGCTAAGTAGAAGAGATTCTCCCTGGCCAAAGATTGGACAATCTGAGCATCATTAAGAAAAATAAGTGCAGTAAAATGAAACATTCTTAAATCCGTAAGTTTACCCTGATATCCTTCTCTCCATAAAATTATCTTTAGAGGATTCTTTAGTACCAACTCTTTAATTTGAAAATTACTAAATAAACGGAATGGAGTATTTGCTCTGCTCTTTTTTTTTAAAACAAACTGCACCTCCAGGAAACTAACTATATGAGACAAAAATTCTCTATGTATGAGCATTTCAATAAATAAAAAGAAAGATAAAATCAAAAACCACCATTTTATAATCTGTAATAAATAGGCATTGAGAATTAATGGCTACTAACAGCACAAAAAGAGAGACAAGAGAACATTATGTGCCTCTTGGTGAAAGAACACACCACTATCTACGAAATAGTTTTGCCTCCTCCCTCCCAAAATAAACGAACTTAAATATGATTAAGTTCTAGATCCAAATATTAAATTACAGGAATCAATCAGCAAACACCAGACTGTGAGAAATTCAATATGACAAATAATCTAGCCTCTTCCAAAATAAATTACAAGAAAATCATAAAGGTGGAGAATGGTGGTATAAGTTTGCTTGGGCTGCCATCACCAAGTACCACAGGCTGGGTGGCTTAAACAACAGAAATGTATTTCCTCACAGCTCTGAATGCTAGAAATTCAAGATCAAAATGTTGGCAGGATTGGTTTCCCCAGAGTCCTCTCTCCCGGGCTCGTAGATGGACCTCCTCTCCTGGTGTCCTCAAGTGGTCTTCCCTCTGTACATGTCTGTGGCCTAACCTACTCTTCTTATGATCCCAGTCATACTGGAATTTAGCCCACTCTAATAAGCTCATTTTAACTTAATTACCTTTTTTAGGTCCCTGTTCATATACAGTCACATTCTGAAGTATTCGAGGTTAGGGCTTCAACATACGAATTTATGGTGACGCAGTTCAACCCATAACAGGAGCCTGTGGATTATAAGAGACTTGAAAATATACCACCTTCACAAATAAACAGTTGGATGATAAAACTATAAAGAAAAATAAAGGAGGGAGGACCATAACAGGCTCCTGGATACTCTGGGGGGAAGTATGTGGCTGTGATTGACAGGTGCACGTGGAAAGCATCTGGGGTGACTTCAGCTTCTACCTCCTGACCAGGGAGGTGGGTACAAGGGCAATCCTCTTCTAGTTCATTATGCTGCACATTTGTTTTTTTGCAGTTTTCTGCATTTGTGTGATACTTAACAATAACATAAATACAAACAAATAGGAAGATAAACATATTATGATAAATATGAAGATAAACACATTATGATAAATACAAGAAGATAGAGCTAAAGGGGTTAGAAGTGGTTGCCTTTGGGAGAATGAGCCTGAAACTACTTACATATGTTTGTAATGCCTGTCATGTAAGCATGGCAGTACCAGTAGCGTTTCCTTTATCCTGTCTACTACTATGAAAAGTAGAAATTCTACATTAAGAAAATGTATATTCCTATTGAGGCCTGTCTTCATGAACTCTCTATAGTCCTAGTGTCTAGCTCAGTGGAAGAAACATAGCACATATACACAAGACATGGGCTTCTGATGAATAAATGAGTAAATACTTGAATTCACTCCAGAATCAGAGAGACGCTGCATCTAAATCCAGTTTTGCCCCTGCATGCCATCACAAAATTGTTTCAATCCCTGGGGAAAAACAATGCCTATAACATGGCAACATGTAACTAGGAAGTTAGACGCTGACATACACAGTTATTGAATGTAAAACTTAGATTTGATTATTTAGGTAAATCTACTTCATAAATGGTATTGCCAGAGAAGGTCTAATTACCTTTGATTAAGTGAAATAGAATATTTAAAAGTGTGTAGCACTTTATCAGGCATACAGTAGATATGCAAAAAAAATTATTTATAATAACTTTTTTTTAGAGACTGAGTCTCACTCTGTTGCCTCAGCTGAGTGCAGTGGTACAATCACAGCTCACTGTAACCGCAAACTCCTGGGCTCAGGAAATCTTCCCGCTTCAGCCTCTTAAGTAGCTAGGACTACAGGTCCTACAGCTCTCCACCATGCTCAGCTAATTTTTTTTTTTAACTTTTTTGTATAGACGAAGCTTTGTTACATTGCCCAGCATGTTTTTGAACTCCTGGACTCACATGATTCTTCTGCCTCACCTCCCAAAGTGCTAGGATTACAGGTGTGAGTCACCATGCCCAATCATAGTAATTGTTAATAGAACTATCATCCTAGGGCCTCAGCAGATGACCTTAACAATAACCATTGAGGGGACCTTGGTAAAAACTGTTCTTTAGCTGAGTCACTATTCACATGAAGCTACTTCAGGCCTTATATCTACTCCTTCCTCATTTGTGGGGATGAAAAGCAGGTTACATAATGCCTTAGTTCTCATGCAACATCATATATCTGCAGAAAACAAGCCAAGTGGCTGCAACCAGAGGCTGGGAGGATAACAGCCACAAGAGAGTTGCAAGGAGGGGCTGGTGTGTAACCAACTCAATTCTCCTTGGTATCTAAAACAGCAATCAGCTTCCTCTGGGTTTTTTGGAGTCTGCTGGAATGAAGGTTTGCTCTTCGTTGATGGGGATATTGACCCCAGCAAGAGTTCAAAAGGAAATTTTATCTTGAAAAGGTATCTTAGCTTCGACTACCATAAAAATACAAAAGACTGTGCAGTTTAAAAACCATAAAAATTTATTTCTTACAGTTCCCAAGGCTGGGAAGTCCAAGATCAAGGTGGCAGCTGAGCTCTCTTCCTGGCCTGCAGACAGCCACCTTCTCACTGCATCCCCACATGGCAGAGAGAGAGAGAGAGAGAGAGAGTAATAGAGCTCTGGTGTCTTTTCCTCTTCTTATAAGGACATCAACCCTATCGGATTAGGGATCCCCCTTATGACCTTATTTGACCTTAATTACCTTTTTAAAGGTCCCATATCCAAATATAGTCATACTGGGAGGCAGGGCCTCAACATGTGAAGTGGTGGAGAGGTAGGCACACAAATATTCAATCCATAACAAGAGCATTAGTAGCAAAAATAGGATAATGATACCCTACATGTGTGCAGCACTGTACGGTTTTCAAAGCACTTTCACACTCAAATTTTTATTTGAACGTCTCAGCAAAAGTAAGTAGTAAAAGCATTATTACATCACATTTGCAGATGGAAACGTCTCAGGATCTTTTAAAAGATGCAATTAAAACAGTGAGCTTTCTTCCTCATTTTAGGAACCTCTTAATTTAATACATATATAGGTTAGATTTTTTTAATCAGAAAAAAATCACATTAAATATATATGCTAAACTCATTCTAGCAAGAGATTTGGAAAAGTGGAGTAATCATTTTCTCTTTCTCTCTCTCATTAATTCTCTCCTACTTCCCTTTTCCTCTTCCCTATCTGATAGTAACAATACCCAATTTTCAATGCAATGCTTCACAAATTTGACACAGTATAGGCAGTTGTGCCCTTCGCAATACGTATCAGATCTTACATGGCAAACTGTGGGTCTGTCTGACATACCTGGCAGAGGAAAGAGGGGGCTTATGCACGGCCACCTGAAGCTTGGAAGTCAGGGTAAATAAACCCGCCGTCCCCAGACCGTTACACACTGGGGGCAACATAACCTGCTCAAAATAACTCTGCACCCAAAGCCAGGCTGAACACCCTGGCAGATAGGAAGGTAAGCCATGGGAGTTCCTGGTCAGTTTTTGTAATATATCCTGGTTCTTGTCTCCCACTTTCACCGCCTATCCATTCAGACCTTGCTGCTCACCTGTGGCTTAGCTCCTGTTCAGGTCCTGTTCAGAGCCCTGCTCTTCCCTTCTGGGTCGGATGACCACACTTGGTGTCCCTGGCTTTTCCTAAGGCAGCCCTCACAAAGTGTGCTCCTCAGAACACTTGGCTTTAATCTTGTCCTAGAGGAAAAAAGTAGGGCCTCTCCTTAAGTTTGGAAATACCTGTTTGAACAGAGTTAGACATGTTCCCTAGCTGCAGACCTTCTCAGAGCCTTTGGTGGCATGCAGATGAGCTGATACACTCTAAGAAAAGCCTGAGAATATGTGCTTTTCCTAAGCTTATTGTTCATGGACTCCTTTCTCTGGAGGAGCACCTCTTCCCATCCTTTGGAGCTGGTGATACCAGGAACACAGTGTGGGAAACGCTGCACTGGGGACACAGGCTGTGCCCAACCTCCTCCCACTCCTGCTTACAGGCCACACCCTCAGCCGGTCCCACATTTTCCCAAGGCCCCTCCTCCTGCCACTCCTCTCAAAAAGACAGAATACACAGGCTACACAGCCCTTTCATTTGCTGAATCTCAATATTCTGCCATGCACGCAGAAAGCCTAAGCAGCTGGACCTGGGCTGCAAGGAGGAAAAGCAGGACAGCAGAGCTCTGTTATCAGAGCATCCCCTGTGTTTATCAGGAATGGGCTTTATTAACAGGAAAAAAGAAACAATTTGTTATTGACTTGTCCTGGTAATTCACTGCCCTCCTGCTCTCCAGCTATCCAGAAAGCCTATCTCGACCGTGTCAGGCGGGCAGAGGAGGCTCTAACAGGGCTTGAATGGAATCAGAGACTATTGATCATCGTGTCTTCCACTGCTGCTGGCTCTCAGCCTGTGACAGTCATCAATCAGGGATTTCAGGGGCAGCTGGGGCTAGCGCAACTTTATCAATGAAGATCACTGAGGAAACTCTTGAGAAAGTCTTTGTGTGGGTCAGACATAGGCAAAGCAGCTTTGTTCTCAGCCATTGTCATCACTGAAGAATAAGGGAAGGTGGTGGTTGGTATCCAAAAGCGGCCTCTGTGAGCCACCATGCCCATATTCGCGCCCTTGTTTAGACTTTTTCCCCTTCCACCTTGTATCTGAGCTGCCCTGTGACTTGACCTCACCAATAGAACGCAACTGAACAGATGCTCCACCAGTGCCAGGCCTCAGTCTCAAGGAGACCTAAGAGCTTCTGCTCTTGTGATTTGGGAGCCCTGAGCCTCTATGCATGAAGTCTGGCCACCTTGCTAGAAAGGCTATAAGGACAGCCCATGTGGAGTGGCCACGGGAGATTACACAAAGAGACACCGTGTCCTGGCTGAGCTCAGCCTGCCAGCCCTCTCAGCCAAGGTGCAGAAAAGTGAAGAAGCTGTCTGAGTTGTCCCAGTCCCAGGAGATGTCACATGGGACAGAGATGAGCCAGCTTCATCCACTCTGCCCTGATTCCTGACCCACAGAACCTTGAGAAATAATAAACACGGTTGTCTTCAGCCACTACATTCTGGGGTAGTTTGTTAAGCAGCAATTCACAACTAAACAACTAAACATAACGCAGTGTGAGTTAAACAACAAAAACAGAGAGGTAGTGGGGTACCCATGGTTTGGAGTCAGGGGTCCAGAATAACAAACAGACAAGGGATGAGGTGTGCTGGCCTCAGGGGTGGGCGTCAGACAGACAAGGGGAGGAAGGGTGAGAACCATCCCAGAAAGTAGATCTCCTCATGGGGGTGTTCATTTTCAGCAAGGAGAATTCCTCTGTGTCTCTAGGCAAGCCCATGGCACTGAGCAGGGAGAGAGGGAAGGGAAGGGTCTCACATTTGTTTGGGATCTGCTATGTGCCAGAGTGTGGCCACCGTCTGGCTGAGAGTGAGACCTGGTCTCTTAAAAATAAATAAAAACTAACAATTTTTAGAAATCCTTTCTTTTTTTTTTTTTTTTTTTTTTTGAGACAGAGTCTTGCACTGTCGCCCAGGCCAGAGTGCAGTGGCACGATCTCAGCTCACTGCAACCTCCACCTCCCGAGTTCCAGCGATTCTCCTGCCTCAGCCTCCCAAGTTCCAGGGATTCTCCTGCCTCAGTCTCCTGAGTAGCTGGGACTACAGGCGCCTGCCACCACGCCCAGCTAATTTTTGTATTTCTAGTAGAGACGGGGTTTCACCATGTTGGCCAAGATGGTCTCGATCTCCTGACCTCGTGATCCACCTGCCTCGGCCTCTCAGAGTGCTGGGATTACAGGTGTGAGCCACCGTGCCTAGCCAGGAATCCATTTCTAATGTTTGGGCATAGCTGTGGATCTCTCTGAATATAAGTGCATCTGGCTGTGGGAAGGGCAGGATGGAAGGAGAGCTCGGTCCCATGTACTCAGGGCCCTACAGAGGCCCTCTGAGAATTGCTGACAGCTGCAGGATTGAGTGCCTGCTGGGTCCCTGCTGCTTCATCACCTTACGCCATTCATCTGCAAAGTTTGTCACCTTACACCACACCTCTGCAAAGTAGGAATTGCTGCTCCTTTTACAGATGAGGAAGCCCTCACAAGGTCACCAGCAGGAAGTGGCCCACCTGCAACAGGAATGCAGGGAGTCTGTGTCTCCCAAGCCCACTGCAGTCTCTGCCTCTACCAGTGACCCCGGCAGGTGGACGGGCACACCTGTTCCTAGTTCTGATGGCCAAAAATATTCCAAACCAAATGTGAGGCCCCTGGCAGCACAAGTTGAGCCTTAAAACAGGAAGTGTGGGAGGGTGGGCTGTCAGCAGGCAGATCTCCAATGTGTACCTCTTAAAACCTGTCTGGACATAGTTATAGGAAAGCACGGCAGCTTAGCAGGTGCCTAAACAATAAACACATTTCTTCTTTTATTTTAATTCCTGAGTGCCTGTTCCACGCCAGGGTATTGGTTGGTAAATTCTTTATTGCATTTAAACCCCACAACAAACCTACAATGTGGATATCGTTATCCCCATTCTGCAGCCAAAGAAACTGATGTTCAGAGAGATTAAGTGACAAGCCCACACCTGCCACACTTCAAAACCTGTGTCCTTTCCACTTCAGGTATGTCAGAGAGATAAGAACAGAAAGGTTAATCCTCATATGACACTCTGAAGTAAATGCTTGCTTTATTCTCATCTTTTCAGGTTAAAAAAAAAAAAAGTAAGATTCAGCAGGGTTTATGGCTCATTTAAAGTCCCCAGATATGAAGTGAAGGATTTAGGATTTGAACCCCAGTCATTTCCTTTCCATTACCCTCTTCAAGGGCAAGGCCCCAGCTTATTCTCTTTTGGCATTCTGCCCATCAATGCGCCATAAGTGAAAAAGGATGGAGTGTATAAGTCCCAGGAAGCTCTGAGCCCCAGGAAGGGGAGAAAGGAGAATTGGGCAGGAATATACATAAAAAGCGAAAAGATGTGTGGGCGAGAACACAGCCAGACCAACTGCTTCCTTTCTCTTTACCACACGCGTGGGGTTGCTGCAGGCATCCTTGGAGATTTATTCTGTTTCCATATATGGTATCTCTGGGACGGCAGGGGTTTCTTTCTGCACATGACCTTTTCCCCTAATAAAATGCCTTTGTCACTCTCTGATGACCTATTCACAGCTTTTCTCCACCTTTTATATTCTTTTTTGGCTTCAAGAACATCTATTTTTCACTCAGCCAATAGTTTTGCTCAATATCGAATTCATCTCCTGTCTTGAAATAAAGCCAAATGGGGATGGGATACAATTATTTGTCGATTTCAAGCCAGCCCATATGTCTACCAATATGAGAGCTGAGTTTTCCTCATGGGCAATCTTTGTTTTTAGTAGAATTACATTCTAAGACGGTGGCCTGCTTTGACATCCTGAAGAACAAGCATACTATATCTTTTATCTCTCAGTACATTGTAGTCAAATGCTTAACTCCCTTCTGTAGCTACAGGCTGAGGCCAGACTCTGTTGCCAGGACCAAGAACACTACTGGTGGGACTTCAGGGAACAACCCTGCAACCTGCTCAGACAAGCCATGGTTCTGTGGTGCAGCAGGAAGGCAGACTGATGATGGCTCTCATAATGGGTAGCAAAGACCAAAAACTCAGAGGAATGTTCGAGGTACACGTCAAACACTAGGACAAAACACTAGGACAGACATTTTTACCAAGGGCCCGAGGATGGAATTCAGGCATTCCAAGAACATGAATGGGGAAAAAAAATTACATCTTTATTTTCATTCATCACTAACTGAAATTTAGCTTTTCCTTCAATTATAAAAGGAAGCAACAAACCAGAGTAGTATTCATAGTACTGGGTCTTTGTCACCATAGACATGTGGATATTTTTATATCATGTTACAGTTGTTGCAGATATACAAAAAAAATTTTTTTTTTTTTTGCCCGTTACTACTTCAAACTTTATGGGACTAACCCTACCCACACTAAATGTTGTTATTAAGTTCATTAATAGGAAGCACATGCCATACTAATTCACAAATCGGGGTTTTGAAGTTTTTTATGTATCAATATAATAAAATATTATTGAATTATGTTTTACTTATCGTATGTACTTTATTTTCTGCATTAAGAAACATTACTCTGAGAAAGGGTCCATAGGCTTCATCAGACCACCAGTGGGGCCCATGCCATTACAGTGGTTAAGATCTTTTGCTCTAAGGGAAGCCTGAGGCTCCTAAATCCCCCTCAAAACAGGAGATGGAGAAAGAAAAGGAAGAAAGAGGAGGTGGAAGAGGATGGGGTATGACGGATGGAGGACTCCGTTAGCCTGTTTTTTTTTTTTTCTTTTTTGCATTGTTTTAAAGAAATAACCCGAGGCTGGATAATTTATAAAGAAAAGAGGTTTAATTGGCTCATGATTCTTTAGGCTTCACAGAAAGGTGCAGGCTTTATAGATTGGCTCACGATTCTGCAGGCTTTACAGAAAGCATAGTGTGGGCATCTGCTCCTAGTGAGCCCTCAGGGAACTTCCACTCATGGTAGAAGGGGAAGCCCATGCATGACATGGAGAGAGAGGGAGCAAGAAAGAGAAGGGGGAAGTCCCAGACTCTTTTAAACACCCAGATCGCATGTGAACTAATTGAGCAAAAACTCGCTCATCAGCAAGGGGTTGGTGCTTCGTTCATGAGGGATCTGTCCCCCATGATCCAATCACCTCCCACCTGGCCCCATCTCCAACACTGGGGGTCACATTTCAACATGAGATTTAGAGGGGACATACATCCAAACCATATCAAGGAGAAAGAGTATGAGGACTAGAAATGTTACCAAAGGAACCCAGAGGACAAAGAAAGAAAGACAGAAAAAGCAGAGCTTTCCAAACTCAACCCAAGAACACACCTAATAATACTGAGGAAGGGAAGCAAAAGTTTAAAATAAGGACTAAACAAATCTTGAAACTCTCTACACTCAAATATCTATTGCAAGGTAAACTCTGAAATGCCTAAAGAACAGCCTCCCACCAGAGTAGCCCTGCTTCTGATCCAGAGGCTGATTAGAAAAGCTTCCGCCTGAGCCTGCTGAAGCTGAGGCTGAAGGAGGGCTATTCTGGGATTTGCACTACATCCTAATGTGGTGTGGTAGGACTCACATTCCCTCTTGCTGGGTGAAAACAGCAGAGGATGTATTCTGGATGCTTAGAGCCCTGACAAGGCACTCCAGCTCAGTACATGGCAGAGCTGATGACCACCAGTGACTTCCCCCAGGAACAGCTCAGAGCTGGTGCCCCACCCCGAGGTAGCCTGGGAGCAGCAGGCTTTCGTTCTGGCTCCCAGCATGCTGAGTCATCCTGGCTGTTGAAACAGTCCATGCTCTCTCAGTTTCTCCTTTGGCTTCTTATGTCAAACTAGATCCAATCAGAATTTTCTCATGCCCCTTCCAACTCTGATTTTCCTGAGGTGGCTATTGAGACCAATACCCCCATTTCCTGCTTTCTAGCATCTTCTCCATCCCTTTCACTAAGGAAAGGAGAAGGGATCGGAGCTCGTCATAGGTTGGGCTCTCCTAGAAGCAGACCCGGAGACCAGGTGAAGGGAGCTGATATAGTTTGGATGTTTGTTCACTCCAAATCTCATGTGGAGTAACCCCCACAAGAATATGAGAATGGGAAATGTTACTAAAGGAACATTTGTGGTTCTCAATGTTGGAGGTGGGCCCTACGGGGAGGTGTTTGGATCATGGGGGCAGATCCCTCATGAATGGCTTAGCACCATCTCCTTGGTGATAAGTGAGTTCTCAGTTGGTTCACAGGAGATCTGACTGTTTTAAAAGAGCACCTCCCTCCTCTCTGTCTTGCTCCCACTCTCACCCTGTGACATGCTGGCTCCCTGTTGCCTTCTACTATAATTGCAAGCTTCCTGAGGCCCTCACCAGAAGCAGATCCCAGCACCCTGTTTCCTGTACACCTGCAGAACTGTGAGCCAATTTAACCTCCTTTATTTATAAATTATCTAGCCTCAAGTATTTATTTATAGCAACACAAAAACAGACTGATACAGAACATTAATATTGAAGAGTAGGGCATTGCTGTAAAGACACCTGAAAATGTGGAAGCAGCTTTGGAACTGGTAATGGGCAGAGGCTAGAAGAGTTTGGAAGGCTTAGAGAAGACAGGAAGACAAGGGAAAGCTTGGAACTTCTTCGAGATCAGTTAAGTGATTGTGAGCAAAATTCTGGTAGAGATATGGACGGTGAATTCCAGGCTGACAAGGTCTCAGATAGAAATGTGGAAGCTATTGGGAACTGGAGGGAAGCTCACCCTAGTTATGCCCTAGCAAAGAGCTTGGCTGCATTGTCTCCATGTCCTACGGCTTTGTGGAAGTCTGAACTTGAGAGTGATGACTTATGGTACCCAGTGGAAGAAATTTCTAGACAGCAATCTGCCCCTACAGGCTTACCACCACATGGATGCTGGCAAGGCTTATGGCTTGTGTCCTAAGTGTTCAAGAAGTGGAATAGTTGCTTCTAACAGCCTACAATCAGAGGAGGGAGCAAAAGAATAACTTAGAGTTGGAACTTATGTTTAAAAGGGAAAGAGAGCATACAAGTTTGGAAAATTTACAGCCTGGCCCTATGGTAAAGAAAGAATCCAAGCAGGCTGTAGAGCGACCACTTGCTAGAGAGATTAGCATGACTCAAAGGGAGCCAAGTCCTAACATCCAAGACAATGGGAAGAAAGATCTCAAAGATATTTCAGAGATTTCTAACACAGCTCCTCCCATCACAAGTCCAGAGGCCTAGGAGGAAAGAATGGTTTCAGGGGGCAGGCCCAGGGCCCGTTCTCCTGCTCAATCTCAGGACACTTGCTGCATCCTGGCTACTCCAGCTCCAGCTGCAGCTCAAAGGGCCCCAGGTACAGCTTGGACTGCGACTCTGGAGGGTTCCAGTCATAAGTCTTAGCATCTTCCATGTAGTGGTTAAGCTTATGGGTGCACAGAATGCAAAGCATGAGGGAGGCTTAGCGGCTTCCACCTAGATTTCAAAGGACGTATCAGAAAGCCTTAGTGCCAAGGTAGAAGCCTGATGCAGGGGTGGAGCCCCCACAGGGATACTCTACTATGGCAGTGCTGAGGGGAAATGTGGGGTTGGAGCCCACACACAGAGTCCCCACCGGAGCACTGCCTAGTGGGGCTATGGGAAGGGGGCTGCCATCCTCCAGACCCAAGAATGATAGATCTCCCAGCAGCTTTCAACCTCAGCATGGAAAAGCTGCAGGCACTCAACTCCAACCTGTTAGAGCAGCTACATGGGCTATATACTGCAAAGCCACAGGATGGAGCCACCCAAGGCCTTGGGAGCCCACCTGTATTAGTCTGTTCTCACACTGCTATAAAGAAATACCTAATTCTGGGTAATTTATAAAGAAAAGAAGTTTAATTGGCTCACAGTTCTGCAGGCTATACCAGAAGCACAGTTCTGGCATCAGCTTCTAGGGGGGCCTCAAGAAGCTTACAATCATGGCAGAAGATGAAGCAGGAGCAGGCACATCACTAGAAAAAGCAAGGGCAAGGAAGAGAGGGGAGAGGTGTCATACACTTTTAAATGACTAGATCTCACAAGAACTTACTCACTATCACGAGGACAGTGCCAAGAGGATGGTACTAAAGTATTCATGAGGGATCCACTCCCATGATCTAGTCATCTTCCACCAGGCTTATCTAAGACTGGGGATTACAACTGAACATGAGATTTGGCCAGGGATAGAGAACCAAACCATATCACTAATCCTTGCTCCGGTGTTCCCTGGATGTGAGACATGGAGTCAAAGGAGATTATTTTGGAGCTTTAAGATTTAATGACTACCCTGTTACGTTTCAGACTTGGGTTGGGCCTGTTAACTTTTTCTTTGGGCCAGTTTCTCCCTTTTGGAATGGGAATGTTTACCCAATGCCTGTACCACCATTGTATCTTGGAAGTAAGTAATTTGGTTTTGATTTCACAGGCTCATAGGTGAAAGGAACTTATCTCCAGATGAGACTTTAGTCTTTGGACTCGGAACTTGGAGCTCTTGATTAAGTTGATGCTGGAACAAGATAATACTCTGGGAGACTATTGAGAAGGGATGATTGTATTTTGCCATGTGAGAAGGACATGAGATTTGGGGGACTGGGGCAGAATAATATGGTTTGGATATTTGTCTTCTTCAAATCTCACGTTGAAGTGTGATCTCCGGTGTTGGAGGTAGAGCCTGGTGGGAGGTGTTTTGGATTCTCATGGCAGATCCCTCATGAATGACTTAGCACCATTCCCTTGGTGACGAGTGAGTTCTCACTCCGAGTTTATGTGAGATCTTGTTGTATAAAAGAGCGTGGCACCTCCCCTCTCTCTATTTCTCACTCCTGCTCTCCCCATGTGACATGCTGGCTCCCTGTGGCCTTCCTCCATGATTATAAGCTTCCTGAGGCCCTCACCCAAAGCAGTTGCCAGCACCATGCTTGTTGTACAGCTTGCAGAGCTGTGAGCCAATGAAAGTTATTTTCTTTAGAAATTACCCAACCTCGGGTATTCCTTTACAGCAATGTGAAAACACACTGATACAGGAGCCCTGGTAGAGGAATGGGGAAGACACAGGGAAGGGAAAGTGGCCACTAAGGAATGTGTTATCATGCCAGCTACCTCTCAGGGGGGCATGAGGCTTAATACCACTGGGAAAACTCTGAGATCCCCAGTAAGAAACACAGATCAGAGGTACCTCACCCGAGGGGCAAGGGAGCTGGGGTACTGATACTCCACACTCCCTCAGCCCATGGCTGAAAGATGACAAAGGAGAGTGGTGGTAATTATTTCTCTGTCAGCAGCAAGAGAAAAGCCATCAGCCTAGCAATGCAGGTGGCAGCATTTGGAAGGCAGTTGGTAGGTACTAAGGAGGGACAGGTGGCCATGGCAGGGCACCAGCAACACTGCTATGAAACACTAAGATTTAAAGCTCTTACTAGATATCATACACTCTGCTAAGCACGCTACAAACTTGATTTCATTTCATCTTTACAATATCACCATAGGACTGATATTTTTAGCTCCACTTCACAAAGGAGGAAATAGAGGTACCTTCTTCACCTGCCCAAGGTCAAACAACCAGTAACACACAAAACTGAGAATTGACTGAGGTTTGTCTAGCTCAGCATACAGCTCCTTGATTTTCCCACTACATCTTGGTCCCTCTAAAGCCTCGGAATGCCCTGGGGGCAGGGCCAGCCTCACAGATATGTGGCCCAGGAAGTCACAGACGGCCCCATGCTCAGAGGATCCTGCACTTGGTTTAATGCTATGCAATTTTTGAAAGAGGGGCCCGTTGTTTTCATTTTGCACTGGACTGCAAATTATGTAGCAGGTCCTGCCTCATGGCCTTGCTCACCCAAGTTCTAATCTCCCTAGGAAGCACATCTCAAACTCTTAGCTGCTTAAAATCTCACTGACTTAGATTTAATTGAAAAATCCTTTCCATCTGTATAATAATTTTCCACCCCAAAGTTACACCAAGAATTAACAGGTGATAATGATTTAACAGCACACTCCAAGCAACAAAGACCAGCCAGATTCTCTCTCAACAGCCCTGGCTGTTACTTTAATCTTCTGGCTTCTTCCCTGTGTCGCAGCACAGCAGTTAATGACCTGCAATAAATCCAAGAAGTTGTGATTTGAAAGCTACTGAGGCCTGGCAAGGAAACAGATCTACATTTTCATTGAGAGGTGGTATCTAGGTTACCTGGGCCCAGCAAGGATTCCTCGATATTAAGGCTGTTCTTCTTTTAAGACCTAATTCGACATCTCTACTGTCTCACCCAGGGACTTGTATTTTTTCTTTTAATCACTCACGCCTACCCTTTTATCTAACCTTTCCAGACTGCTTGCTCTTTAAAGTGTAATGGCTGTATTATCAGACAAAGCTGATCGTAAATGTGGTGCTGAAGGGGAATGGCCTGAACAGCTTGAAGATGTGGGCCCCAAGATTGGGCTCAAATCACATGCTAGAGCTGCAGCACTGTCCTGGGCACCTGAGCCCCTGACCCCCAACCCAGATGGGCACATGAGCAATGTAGGGCGACTCGATGAGGTATTTCTTGGGGCCACTAACACTTTATATACACCTTTCCAATTCCAATTCCCCGTTCAGCTAAACTCTCTCTACTTATAGTTAGATCTATTTGATGCAAGCTAAGTTTGAAGTACTCTGCAGTCTGCTGGGGAAGTGTATAAACAAGCTCTTTGTTCTCTCCAGCAGCATCCCTGGAGGAAACCCAAGGGAATTCCCAAGGGAATACAGGTCCACAATCCCTTATCCTCAATTTCAAAATAAAAAAAAAGCACAACAAGCTGAGTTTTTCTCAACTTATTTGGTCAAAACCTGGCCTGAACTAAGTACTGCCTTTAATTATCCTTTTAATGCTAATATCCTTACTTTTGCAGCAGAATTATTAATGTGATTGACAGCGGGGGACTACTCCAGACCTACTGGGGCTGTTACATGATATGGAATAGATGCACCATAATACCTTTCCAAGATCTGACAAATTCTAAATTCCAAAGCACATCTGTTCTCCAGGGTTTTGGCTAAGGGATTGGGCCTCTTTCTTAAACACAGCAATCACAAGATATTCACAGTTCAGGGTGTGAAGCAGGTACAATCTCTTGCCAAAACAGCTGGAAATCTGAGAAGAGATGAGACACACACATAAATAAATATCCTACAAAGTGGGACACGATCATGTCTAGTTAGGGGAGATCAGGGTGTGCCTTATGGAAAGGGGAACATTATCCAGGGTGTGCAATGGCATGGAGGCAGGAGGCTGCAGGGGAAATGTGGGATCAGGGCTCACTTGTACAGAAGCAAAAGGCCTAGGGCGAATGGGAAATAAAGTTGGAAAAGTCACTGGGGACACATTGGAGAGGACTTTGAAGGCCAGACTGAGGCAAAGTTTGGCGGGGCAACTGGGGCTGTGTTCCAGGAAGTTAAATTCTTGCAAGGCTGAGGGAGCAAAGTGGGTAACTGGCCGGGAGACAGTCACAGGAATCCCACAGAAAGACGATGAAGTCAGGCACCAGGGCGTGGGCTTTGGAGTCAGGAGGAGGACAGATTCAAAAGGAACTGTGGAGATAGAGGGAAAGGGTCCAGGAAATGTGTGGAGCCGCTGGTTTGAGCAGGGGGCTGGGCGGGCCCTGAGTGCCCATGGGCGGGCCCTGCCTCCTCTGCCTCCCTCCCAGCTGATGCACAGCCGCAGCTCTCCGGCTGCCACGGGTCTGGCCTCAGTGCCATCAGCAACATTCTTCTTCATTTGTATTTCTCTTCTAGCCTACCCAGCAATACTTAATTATTTAAATCTCAATTAATCCCCGTAAGGGTGCTTGCATGGGAAGTTTGTTTAATTACCTCCTTTAAACTCCCCTGTTGCACATGGCCTTGTCGGGTTTACTGATCACTCAACCACCAAGCTTCTCTCTCCGAGCTGGCAGCTGAAGTAGCTCAGAGGAAATTCTTCAGGAGCAAATTCCAAGGCTCACTGTGCTCCTCCTTTCACTATTCAGGCTGCGCTACAGTGGAGAATGGGGGCTCAGGACAGTCACCGGAAAGAATGGAGGCATCAGAGTCTTCTCCTCGATGCCCCGCCTCCCTTATGTGCCAGCATCCCTGCCCTGTCCCAAAGCTACAGGCCAGGCATTTCACATCCTTTCCCCTCAGCCAGACACGGGGCTCCCATGCCTGCATGCACGCAGTTTGACCCATTCTGTGCCCATTCAAATCCCTCCCTTCTTTCGGGGCCCAATTCAAGCCCTTCCTTTTCTAAAATGCCCTTCCTGCCCAAACTCTTTTTTACCACCTGGACATTCTCAGAACCTGGCTCAGTTCCTGGCCAGTTGGCTGGGTACATTTCACCAGCAAAACTGACCTCTGCCTCCTTTGAGTTCTCATGAGTTCTCCTCTCATCTCAGCAGCTCTTTGAATGCAGTTATTTTCAGCATGTATTGCTTCACGCACGGAGACCACACATTTCCTAGGAGCAAAGGCATACCGTGTCCTCACAGCACCTCATACAGTAAGCGCTCAGACATTGCTTGTTATGTGTGTGTTAAAATACACATAACGTAAAACTTGCCATTAGCCGCATTTTGTACATTCATGATGTTGCGCAGCCCTCACAACCATCTGGTTTCAGATCATTTCCATCATCCCAAAAGGAAACCCTCTACGCATTAAGTAGTCACTCTTCAACCCTGCCAACTACCTGGTGGCCTTTGTCAGTACAGATTTGCCTATTCTGGACATTTCCTACAAATTCAATTATAGAAGATGTGGCCTTTTGTAGCTGTCTTCTTACACATAGCATAATGTCTTTAGGGTTTATCCATGTTGAACTATGTATCAGTATTTCATTCATTTCATGGCTGGATAATATTCCATTCTAAGGATACCACATTTTGCTTATTATTCATTCGTATTTTTTTTATTCATGGATATTTGGGTCAAACATTGCTTTTTTATTATTAATATTTTTCTCTGGAGTATTCACTATTGTCAATGAACATTTACCCTCTACACAGCATATGGTACAGATGGCAAGTACCCAGGTACCAAGGGGCAGGTACCAAACATCTGAAAATAAGAAGACAGCACTGCAGAGCCCTACACAGTCAATGGGGCACTTTGGCCGAGCCTGTCTCACCTCATCTTTACAACTCTTGGAGGCAGGTCCTATTACCTCCAATGAACACAGGAGAATATGAGCGTTAGAAAGGAGAGTGACTTGGGCAGGGCCACAGGGCCCCCAAACTGGAGAGCTGATCCTTATCCTCTGCTTCTCAACTCTTTCACTATGCCATGCTGCCTTTCTGACCCTGAAACATAGATGAGAGTCTTGTTATTCTTCAGTGCGGGGATCATCTCTTCTCGAAGTCTCCGCTAAGCCATTCCCTTGACCCCTCCCATCCTCAGGGGGCCACCCTCTCTCTTCCCACACTGTGTCCTGTGCTGACTTCTGTGTCTTCTTAATTTCTAGACCAGTGGGCTCCACAGTGGTACGTGTCTCCATGAGACATCAGAGAGCAAGAAGAAAATACTAGAACCTTCATGTATATTTATTGGCTGTCTCATCTTTCTAAACTTGATAGTTTTTATTATGTTTCATAGTGAACACAATATATAATACAGTATTCCATGCATATGAATAAATACATATTATACGCCAACCCTTTTTATACTAAAGGGCTTTCAAGTAAGGACTCCACTGCATTCCTATACGAGGTTCTTGAATTCCGACTCTAATTAATCTCTGGATTCACAACTCTGTGTCAGTGCCTGACACATAATCTCCGAGCAGATGTTCAGTATATATAAATTTTAAAAAAATTTTAAATGAGTGGCTTTCAAAGACCTTTCCAGCCTCCTCATATGCAATTTCCTGATATCAAGCTGAAATCTAACTTCTTCCCTTTGAGTTTCTCCAGGAGGAGAACGAGACTATATTGCTTTTTTCCTTCTGCGACCTCTATTACTATGAAGCAGCTCTGATGAAATGGTTCTTGGTGCATTTAGAACTGAATTTGAGTTGTGTCTCTGCTTCATCCTAGCTCTGTGACTCTGAGTTCATTACTTCACTCTCTGAGCCTTAATTTCTCCATGTTGTATGCTTCTCAATCTACAATGAAGTTCAAATAGGAGGTATATGAATGTTTTTAGAAAATCACAAAACATTATAGATGGTAAGCATGAATTATTTTCTTCTTTAACTCATTTTTTTAAAATTTTATTATTATTATACTTTAAGTTTTAGGGTACATGTGCACAAGGCTAACATCAGAAAGACAGCAGCTTCTCTGTATTAAGCAATTCTTGCATTGCCATAAAGAAATACCCGAGACTGGTAATTTATAAAGAAAAGCAGTTTAATTGGCTCACAGTTCTGCAGGATGTACAAGCATGGCCCTGACACATGCTCAGCTTCTGGGAAGGCCTACAGGGAGCTTTTACACACTAAGAAAAGTGAAGCAGAAGCAGGCACATCACACAGGGAGAGCAGGAGCAAGGGAGGGGGTGGTGCCACACACTTTTAAATTACCAGATCATGCAAGAACTCACTCACTATCAGGAGGACAGCACCAACGAGGGATCCACCCCGTGGTCCAAACACCTCCTACTAGGCCCCACCTTCAACATCAGGGATCATATTTCAACATGAGATTTGGCCGAGACATATATTCAAACTATATCATCTTCCTTGGTATTTACCCAAATGAGTTGAAAACTTAGGTCCACACAAAAACCTGCACATGAATGTTTATAGCAGCTTTATTCACAATAGCCAAAACTTGGAAGCAACCAAGGTGTCCTTCAGTAGGTGAATGGATAAATAAAATGCGGTACATCCAGACAATGGAATGTTATTCAGTGCTAAATAGAAATGAACTATCAAGCCATGAAGACATGGAGGACATTTATGTACATACTTCTAAGTGAAAGAGGCCAATCTGAAAAGCTACATATTGTACAATTCCAACTATATGACATTCTGGAAAAAGCCATGGAGAAAGTAAAAAGATCAGTGGTTTCCAGGGGTTAAGGGGGAGGAAGAAATGAATAGGTGGAGGATTTTTAAGGGCAGTGGATTTGGGGGGCAGTAAAACTACTCTGTGTGACATTATAACAGTGGATATATGCCATACATTTGCACAAATCCATACAATATACATCAACAAGAATGGTCCCCTAATAAAAACTATGGACTTTGGGATATAATAATGTGTCGATATAGGTTCTCAATTGTAACAAATGTACCAAATTGTAGCAAATGTGCAGGGTGTTCATAGTGGAGGAGTCTGGTGGGGTGCGGCAGGGGGTAAACAGGTACTGTCTGTTCTTCTCAATTTTTCTGTGAACCTAAAACTGCTCTAAAAAAAAAGTCTATTTTTAAAAGTCAGCAACTCAACAGAATTTTTAATGATTAGAGCTTCTTTTTGATAATTTTTTTTTAAACAGGAAGATAGGAAACTATATACACATACAAACACACTAAAAAAAAAAACACTAGGAGAAAATTGTTAGCCATGGTTGCCTCTGGATAGTGAGGTCACAAATTATTTTTAAATTACACTCTATTGTTTGTGCTATTTTCTAAATCATGTACAATAAGAAAACATATATTTGAATAAGAAATAAGTTATCAAAAATATTCAACCATCTTTTCTCAAGAAATATCATGCATCTTGTGTTTTAAAATTGAGATCTATTTAAATTCAAGTGTGTCTGCTCCATCAGTTCAGTGGTTGTTAAGGCCTACTGTATGCACCAGTTCTTGTGCTGGTGCTTATGTGTTGAAAGATACAAACAAGAAACATATCCTGCCCTGGGGAAGTTCACAGCCTTGTGGAGGAATCAGAAGAGGCAGAACCTTGTTGGTCTGTTGACTCCTAGACGTACACATGAGGTTTTCAAGAAGAGGGAAGAAGATCCATTTGGAAGGACATAGCGGGGGGGGGGCAGGGAAGTGAAATGAAGAAAGGCTTCCTGCAGCAAGTGGTAGGTGAGATGGTCTTAGAGATGAAATATATCTGAGTATTTGGAGGAGTTGGGAGGAGGCTATTTAGGCAGATAGAACAGCATTAGCAAAGGTGTCAAACTGGGAAACTGTCTCATGTCTAAGAAATTCAGCAATCTAGTAACTTGGCTGGACCACAGCATATATGTCCAGTAGCTTTGGAAGATAAAATGGGAAAATTGAGTCTGACCTACCAATGAAGGTGGTTGATGCTACAATGGGCAGTTGTGTTTGACTTCTTAGGCAATGGGGAACTACTGGAGGATTCAAAGGAAGAGGAAACTCCAGTTGCATTTAGCAGGTTACAAAACAATGTGGCTAGTAGGTCCCCATTTTTTGGTAGATATAATGTGTGTGTGTGTGTATTTTTAATTACATGTGGACTAAATTTTTTAAAATAAGCATATATTACTTTCTCAACTGAGAGTGAAGCCATGGTTATTTCTGTTTCAGGAAGGAAAAGATCTTCCTGATTGAATGATCACTCTTTATGAATGTAGAGGATGAATTGGAAGGGATCAGCCTTTAGACTTTTCAGACAAGATCTGAAAAGGGGATTTTCAGACAAATCCCTCGGGGATTGTGAGACATCCCCACTTCCATGCCCACTGCCTGCAACTCTCTCCCTGCTACTCTCTCCTTACTATGCACATACATGAACATTTCTTTCTCTCTCTCTCTCTCTCTCTCTCTCTCTCTGCAATGAAATGGAAGTTTATGTCCCTCCCCAAATTCACATGTTGAAATGTAACCTCCAGTGTGATAGAATAAGGAGGTGGGGCCTTTGGGGGATGATAAGATGATGAGGCTGAAGCACTCACTATGGGATTAAGCTCTTACAAAAGAGACCCCAAAGAGCTCTCTCACCTCCTTTCTGCCCTGCGAGGAAACAATGAGAACTCAGCAGTCTGCAACCTGGAGAAAGGCTCTCACAGCACACAAACGTGCTGGCAGCCTGAGGCTTCAGACTTCCAGCTTCCAGAACCACCAGAAACAAACTGCTGTTGTTTTCAAGCCACCTAGTCTATGGTATTTTTGTTATAGCAGCCTAAACAAACTAAGACTCTCTCTCTTTCTCTCTCTGTCTCTCTCTCACACACACACACACCCCTCTAAAGTTCAAGAAGAGAACCTCCTCGAAGGCAAGATGATCCAGATGATCTCAGAAATAAAAGTGCCCAGAAAGGAAAGATCTTCACTATTGATGAAAGCTGATGTCTTTGTACAGCAGACAGTCAGAAATGCAACTTGTTACCTGTTGGATTCTATCTTAACATGGGGCTCAGAATTGAGGGGTGTTCACTCTTTCATTCAAGGTCTCCCTTGATTTAGGCTACTTAAATCATTTGCTTCCTTATGGCTTGTATATCTACCCTTCTCTTAATAGTCTATTTAAAGCTAGAAGATGAACCTCATTTTTTCCAAATGTAATTTGAGAGAATTTGCATGATACACGCAGTAACAAGTGGCTCCTGAATTATGTATGATCCCCTCTAATGGGTCGGAGCTTGTTTGGAAAGTGTGGTCTTATAAACTACCAGGTTTGCTTTTTATGGCAAATTGAATGCCATTCCCCCGTCTTGCTTTACATATTCTCCTAATTAGGGGAGATAAAATAGATTTTAGACCTGAAAAAAGAAATTTCTTTCCAAGAGCCCACACTTGTATGGAGAATTAAGCTCATTCCAGTCAGCTGCACCCTCTAATTTAGAGCTGTTGTCAGCATAAAGTATAATCATAAAAGATTTCTCCATCAGTGGCTCTTACGCAATAGATTTCCTAAGGTGACTTTTTCAAGCTAAGGAGGGGACGGTGAGGTTTGCTTCTTCAAGGTGGCCTGGGGGGAGGCTGGGATGAGACTTGGGTTTCACCAAGGATGACTTAAACTGTTCTGCAGTTTGCTTATCTATTCCTGGGGAAGCAGAGTGAGTTTGAAATGAATCATTGCTACCACTTACTGGACTCTGACAGCACCCCAGGCAGATGAGCTAGGTGCTTGGGTGGTGCAGTCTTGGCATGAGGTGGCTCATTGGTGGCACTCAGTCATCAGGCAGTGAGCGGGCACCCGTGCTTGGGGTGCAGTGGGAGCTCGAGGTGCAGTAGCCAAAACAGAGGCCTTTCCCGCCCTGCTGCACGGTACACAGAGGAGTGAGCAGTGGGGTTGGTTGGGGTGAAGGTTGTGAAGAGGAGTGAGCCGAGCATGGAGGGAAGGTTGGAGGGTTGCTTATAGTTATCCGGGAACCGTTGAAGCTTTGTGATTCTGGGTAGTGGAGTTGCTGCTTTCTGTTCTCACTCTAAGTGGGAAGAGACTCTTTCAAAGAGAGTGTAACTCCCCCCTCCCACCACTTCAGGCCATAGAAATACACCATCTCCATAGAGCAGGGGTGTCCAATCTTTTGGCTTCCCTGGGACACACTGGAAAAAGAATTGTCTTGGGCCACACATAAAATACACTAACACTAACGATAGCTGATGAGCTAAAAAAAAAAAAAAAAAAATCACACACAGAAAAATCTCATAATATTTTAAGAAATTTGACGAATTTGTTTTGGGTCGCATTCAAAGCTGTCCTGGGCTGGGCTGTGGGTTGAAGAAGCATGCTGTGGAGCAAGGGCACACACAGATGCAAGAGGGAAAGCGCCAACACCAAACACCATTCTCCGGTCAAGAGGCAACGCCTCTATCCTTTCTGGGCTCCAGAACACAAACCTGAAGGAAGAGCCAGACAGTCCAAAAGCCATGTATTTTAAGACCAGAGAGAGCAGGAAGATTCTTGTCTCTCTATATAGCCTATTTTTCCAGCCTCATTTCCAGCTCAGGCATATCCTCTTATTGGCTCAGCTGTTCATGAGAGTGTATTCTTTTATCAGGGTGACTCCCTTGCCACCCACAGACCATAACTCCCAATGGGACAGTCATATCAGAGCCTATATTGTCCTTATGAAATGGCAAATTTCCCCTGGAAAGGGCCATATAGCAAATATGCTGTGGGCCACACGGTCTCTGTTGCAACTCTTCAAGTGTTCTATTGTAGCCTGAAAATGGTGATAGACAATAGGTCAATGGATGAATGTGGCTGGGCTCCAAGAAAACTTTATTTATAAGAAGTTTGGCAGAGGGCTGGATTTGGTCCAAGCCATAACTTGTCAACCACTGGTGTTTTGGTGTGAATGTTTGTGTCCCCTGCCAAATTAATATGTTGAAGTCCTTACCCCCCTGGTGATGGTATTAGGAGGTGGGCCCTTTGGCAGCTGATCAGGTCAGGGAGACACGGGTTTAGTGCCTGATATGGTTTGGCTCTTTGTCCCCACCCAAATCTCAGCTTGAATTGTAGTTCCCACGTGTCAAAGGAGGGACCTGGTGGGACGTGATTGAATCATGGGGTTGGTTCCCCCATGCTCTTCTCTTGATAGTGAATGAATTCTCATGAAATCTGATGGTTTAAAAGTGTGCGGCAGTTCCTCCTTTACTCCCTCTCTCCTGCTGCCATGTAAGACGTGCCTTGCTTCCCCTTCACCTTCTGCCATGATTGTAAGTTTCCTGACTCCTCCCCAGCCATGTGAAACTGTGAGTCAATTAAACCTCTTTTCTTCATAAATTACCTAGTCTCAGGTAGTTCTTGATATGAGTATGAGAACCGATTAATACAGTGCCCTTGCCAAAGAGGCCTGAGGGACACTCCTTGTTCCCTCCACCATGGGAGGACAAAGCAAGAAGGTACCATCCATGAGTCAGAAAACAGAACCTCACCAGGTATCAAACCTGCCTTCACCTTGGACTTTCCCAGGCTCAGAATTTGAGAAATAAATTTGTTTTTTATAAGCTACCCAGTTTATGGAATTTTGTTACAGCAGCCTGGGTCTAGACATCTTACATATGTCAGTGTTAAAGACATATTTAGTATATTATTAATCTAGTCAAATTGTTTCCAGCCTCTTCTCTAGCAACAGATGGAGATAATTCCTACCTGTCTTAGTCTTGATTGTCTGCTGAAAACTGCTGTGAGTAAGAACATTCACCTTCCCCAGGTCAAGCAACGGTTGCACCTCAGTCCATTCTATAATCAAACAGAGCCACAAAACATCATGCCAGGTGAGAAAAATGCATCTTATTAGAACATATAGCTCTGACTCAATGGAACCCTGCAATATACAAGTCCAGGCAGAAAAACTTTTCCAAGAAAACATCTGCATTCAAGTTAATGGTACCTTCAGTTTTTCCCCCAAAAAAATGATGAGAGGAGGATCTTAACTTTACATTTTTATAACAAAAGAGCCTCTCAAGAGAGTTCTCTTCAAAATAAAAGCATCATCTTTGCCCAGGGAAATTTTACTTCTGTACCCCTGAGAGGCAGAAGTATGCTCACAACTTTGAAAAGGGGGGTTGGAGTTTTTGTTTTTGTTTTGAGAAACAGGCTTTCACTGTCACCTAAGCTGGAGTGCAATGGAGCGATCATAGCTCACTGCAGCCTCAAACTCTTGGACTGAAGCAACCCTCTTGTCTCAGCCCACTGAGTAGCTGGGACTACAGGCCACCACGTCCAGCTAAAATGGCAGGATTTTTTGCTTCTACTCATCAAGAGCCCGAAATCAGTCTCAGGGCCCAGTTTCTGCCAGCACCACCAACAGCACTCCCCATTTTCCAACACACAATACACGAGAATCACAGAATGGTCCAGCAAGTCCCTGTGGCAGCTCCTGCATAGACAGACCTAACCTAGATCTGGGATTGGATAAGGTTTTCATGGCAGAGGTCACCAGAGCTGAGAGCAGAGGATGGGAAACAGTCGGGTGGACAGCTAGCGAAAGTAAGAAAAATCCAGGAGAAACAGCATGGGCTGCTTCTCTTGTAGGGGAGAAAAAAGCCCAGAAACTGCTAGAATTGGAGAGAGGTTTAGTGAGGCTGGAGCAGGGAGCACAAGGATGTCCTGGAAAGGTAAGCAGAGGCCAAGTGGTGCAGAGTCCAGGTGGTGCAGGATGGGTTATGATGCTTGGAACGGAGCCTATGAAGCATTTTAAGCAGAGAGGTCATGTCCTCAGATCAGCCTCATGGACAAAATCACAATGGTTATGACTCACAGAGCATTTTATTCTGCACTAGGACCTGAGCTCCGTGCTGTCCACATACAATCCTTTTATCCCGGGGAGCAGCCTGGCATGGGACAAAGAGCCCAGGACCTGGAGGCCAACTCCTGGGTCACGCACCTGAGAATGAAGACCACTCTCCTTGTTCTCCTCTAAACTCAGACCTCAGAATGGAGTCCACAGACCTTTGAGTCTTCAAACAAATAATTAAGTAACTGGGCAAAAAAAAAAGCAATAACCAATATTCAAGAGATGCTCATTTCATGGCTAATTTCTTCAGACTCTGAATGTATCAGTTTTGTGCAGTGGCTGAACTGGACCCATTCAAATAATAAAGAGAATTTAGACACTGTAAAGAATGAAGAGTGGAATAATTAAGACACATTTGTGAGCTCAGTGTGAAACAAAGAAGTCAGCTCCAAGAAGTCACCTTATTCTTGGGAGAAAAAGAGAAAGAGAGGGTAGTCTTTTGTTTTCTCTCAATTGCCTTTGGGATGTCAAACACATTTTTTTTACATCTTAAGTTTTCTGCTGATTTTTTGTTTGTTCTTGGAGGGCAGGAGGTAGGAAGGGTTCTGCTCCAGTGCCCTAGCATGGATTTTGTAAAAGAGTCCAGTGGAGCTGCGAGATAATAAAGAATATTTTGCCTCTCACAGGGAGGCTCCAACCCCAGACTGACAATGACCCCAAGTGTGCATCTCCAATTTACTTTTTTCCTTTGAAATGTCACTAACACAGGCCATTATCATCTTTTTTTATAAAAAGTAAGAAGCTTTTAAAAACTACCAGGAAAAAAGGAATGGTCTGCTGCCTTCAGTACTTAGAGAAATCATGGGGAATAGAAAAGCATTTAAGACCCCCCGATTTCACAAATAGTCTTGGCCCTTTTTGTCTTGTCTTCCAGGAAGCTTGGAGTTTAATCTGGTATTCAATTGCTGTTTAAGTGTGATTTTAAGATAGTAAATGTGATTTTAATATGAGTTACTGCTTTTTACTTTCTGCCTCTATCTTCTGTGGTTTTAGTGTATGGTGTGTGTGTGTGTGTGTGTGTATGTGTGTGTGCAAGTGTATACACACTATATAAAAACCACCTCAAATCCTTTACAAAAATAACAAGAATAATATATTTTAGAAGCCAGAAAATCCTGCTTCCTGCTGTAGTCACCATTTATTGGTCTCATTTATGAAGCTAGAACATAAGAGAAACCATGCCTTAGCAAACTGAACAAGGGTCCCTCACCTCCCCTAGTAGTCCTTCATCTGAGAATAGAAGATACGAGACAGGCACTAAGGACATTGGTTCCATTTTTTCTCCCAGAAAACCTTTCCTAAAGCAGTCTCCTGAAATCAATAAGGCAGCCCTGTTTCCTTCAGTAGAGTGTACAGTAGTTGGTAACAGGTTGTATTTTCAAATACAGCCGCAGTAACATCTTTCATCCCATCTGCTCTTCTAATGTGACTTTGACATTCTTCCCACAGAGAGGTGAAGTCTGTTTCCCTCCCCATAAATGTGGGTAGGTTGGTGACGTGGTGGATGTAATGCAATATGACTTCCAAGGCTAGGTTGTAAAGGTGACACAACTTCTGCCTACCTCATTTTAGAACACTTGCTCTTGGAACACAACCACCATGTTGTGAGGAAGCCCAAGTAGCCACATAGAGAGGCCACGTGTAAGTGCCCTGACCAATAGTCCTCACTGAGGTTCCAGTGAATAGCCCGCCTCAACCGTGAGACAAGTGAGTGACAAGCTTTCAGATAATTCTAGCTTCCAGTTGTCAAGTCACCCCACCCTTTCAGTTTTCCCAGAAGAGGCTCCAGACAACATGGAGCAGAAAGAGTTGCCACCATGACCTTTCCAAATTCCTGACCCACAGGGTCTGTGAGCATAATATACGGGTTGTTGGTTGACAACCCTAAATTTGGGGTGGTTTGTAGGAAAAGTGGACATCAAATTGGATAACTGTGGTTCAAATCCTAGTGTTACCACTTGGTGACCTTAACCAAGTCATTTAACTCACATAGTTCTTATGCTTCTCATTTGCAAATGAGATTAATATCTGCTTCACAGAGGTTTGTTCAGGGTTATATAAAATTTTGTACAGGAAAGCATTTGGTAAATATAAAGGAATGCTATTCAAACAGGAAGAACTATTACTTTTTAATTGCAGAAATGTCTGCAGCAATCCAAAGGTGAATTCAGCAGGAATTCTACATGACCCTGGTGGATATGCTAGATGGGGTCCTTGGGGCAGATGCTTCTACCTTAACCTTGATTGTGACCTAAAAGGTAGTCATGAGTAATCCAGAAAGGAAGTGAAAAAGTATGTGAAATACATTTAATATTATACTTGTACTAAATAGGGTTGTTTTGAGCATTAAATGGTATAATACATTCATAATAAGGTTGAACATACATTTTTCAGAAATTCTTTGAGACTTACCTGCAAGCCAGGCTTATCCCCATTCCATGTAGAAAACTAGGGGATTCTTCTTTAGAGAAAATGTATAGGATACAGTATTTAGTAAGTGTTCAATAAATGTACACTATTATTCTTGTGTGATCTGAAATGGTCTTATTTCTGTGCAAAGTATTTCTTTTGGAGGAAATATCTTTCTTGAGATTTTTTAGGAAAAATCCAGTGTCTCTCTGTCTCTGTCTCTCTCTCGCTCCCATCCCCTTTTCCCTTCTCTTTTTCCCCCTCTCTCTCCCTCCCTCCTTCACTCTTTTCCTTCCTCTCCCGCTCCCTCTGCAGAGCTCTACAATTTTGAATTGGCCTAGACTATGGTGAGATTTCCTCTGTTTAAACCCAACATGTGTATATGAGCAAATCTTATGAGTTCAGTGATTTCACACACACACTAGCTCATTTAGTACCGGGGACTGCCCAGTGAGTTGGCAATCACAGCACCCGTTTTACAGACGACAACAGTGAGGCTCAGGCAGATTCGTGGTCTTATCCAGGATGTAGCATCAGCGAATGGCAGAGCTTGGACTGGGGAGAGCCCTTTTCTCTTGATCTGTTTCTTACTCCATATTCTAGAGGCCTGAGACGATGTCATTCTGTTTTTAAACATTACAATTAACCCCTAAACTGAAGCTGAGGAAAGAGTTAGCATGCTGGTTTATAAAGGCTAGACTCATTTTGATACAAAACCAAGATATTTGATGCACAATGTGAACATATTGCTCATTTTCAGCAAAATCAATTTTGTTTTGTTTTGTTTTGTTTTTTGTTTTTACCGTAGGGGCCACTCATGCACTCAGGCAAAGTGGAGAGACTAGAACTCAAAACCTGTGCTTTCTTTAGCAGATCATACCCTTTCCCCCAATAAAAAAGGGGCAGGGGATGCTAGAGAACAGTTCAAATCCAACATCACTGATGTCAGGCACCAAATAAACTCAGCAGATGTTATTATGTCTGTACGGGTTTTGTTTTCCCCTTCCTGGAAAGAGAAATAATGAGCTCTTGAAATTCAGATTCCCATTGACTCTGAAGTCATAAACATATTTAAAAACAGTGTGAGTCTGTGACATTTACAATCACAAAATTCATGTCAGAGAATAAATCCAGCATTACCTCCAATCACTGAATATGGAATACCCATTCATCTCCACCCACGTGTTGGGGGACACACACTTCAGAACGATGATATTCAGAAAATGCCAGGAGGAGTGCATGTCAGAGGTAACCACCCTCAGCAACCCAGCCTGTCAACAGTTGCAAATGCACGAAAAATGAGGGGAACCGGAAGACAGCAGCAGGAAGGAGATAATAGAGCAACTGAGAGCAGCCAGCCTTGACGTTTGTCAACCTCTGCCCGAAACAGCACATGTGGCTTTGCTGAGAGGCACAGGTGTGTGGGCTGAGCTCAGCAGATGAATGTCACATCCGGGAGGAGGCATGTGCATTTCTCAGCTTGAAATGCTTCCCCAACAAAACCAAATAAGGTTCCTGCAGATGACGTCAGGAGGCTTAGCTGCTACTGCCACAAAGGGACAATTTATTGAAGAGCTAAAAATGGTCGCCTCCGCAAGGCTGACAGGCAAATATTTGAGGGAACGCTCCCCTTGTTTTGAAGAGACATCTGCCAGCTCCCTGACTGGCACCTTCCTGCATTAGTCATCCTGCTGGGCCTTGCTAAAAACTCCAAATACAGGTTTATCCCTGCCACATCCTGTTCCCCGAAGGGGCTATTTCCACGGTGCCGGCTGTAAAGTCTTCCTGTCATCTTCCTCTCAAGTGCTCTCTGTCTATCTCTGCAGAGGATGATGGAGAGGGGAGATAAGGAACATTCCATGGATAGAAACACACATCCCCTCAAGAGATATCTTAAGAGCACCTTTGCTTTACTTTTGAACCTACATCTAGCGTACAGATGAGGGCAAGGAAGATGTTGAAACGTTAAAAGAAACATCCCTCCGTTTTGCTAATAGTTTTTATAATTAAAGGTTGAGCAAAGGGTGCCCAAAGAGTCATCCTGACCTCCTGCAACAAGTCATTTTGGAACACTAGCTCTGCAAAAGAAACAAACTGGTCCGTGCAGTATTCTCTAGACTACTCACTCATCAGCCCGTTGAAATATGTACTTGGTTATTTTCTGCTTTCAGCGTGTCTTGTCACCCCAAATAGATCAGAAGATCTGGAAGCCTACTGTTATCATTTACCCCTTTTTGCCACCTACAGGGCTTGACCAGGTACTCAGCCCCTTTCTACAATTCTTTATCTCACTTAAGGCTCACAAACAACCCTGTGAAATCGATTACGATCCTTCTTTTACAAACAAGAATTAGAGGCTCATTGAGCCCGTGGTCCTGCAGCAAGTCCGCGTCTGCAGAGCTGAGATCCACCTGGAGTTTGTCTGACTCTGAAGCCCATACCCTCAGCACCTTCATGTTGCAGGGGCCGCTGCAAATCCAACACTGGTTGACGGAGCAGTTTTGATCCTGAGGCCCTTGTGATTTCACTGAAGAGTCAGTCGAACATGAAACTCAGAACAAACACAAACAACTTAGAAACAAGGGCATGTCTGTGAGATGGGTCTCTGAATGGACTGGATGAATTCTCCACCCACGGGCTTCGTCCTGCCCTTAGAGCCAAACAGAGCACGTGTGTCCCTCTGCAGCCCTTTGGAGGTTTGCAAGTGGTGGTTACATAACCTCCACACACCCCTCGTATGATGGTTAATAATGAGTGTCAACTTGATTGGATTGAAAGATACAAAGTATTGATCCTGGGTGTGTCTGTGAGGGTGCTGCCACAGAGATTAACATTTGAGTCAGTGGGCTGGGAAAAGTAGACCTACCCTTAATCTGAGTGGGCACCATCTAATCAGCTGCCAGCATGGCTAGAATATATGCAGGCAGAAAAATGTGAAAAGGGAGACTCGCCTAGCCTCCCAGCCTACATCTTTCTCCTGTGCTGAATGCTTCCTGCCCTCAAACATCAGACTTCAAGTTCTTCAGTTTTGGAACTCGGACGGGCTCTCCTTGCTCCTCAGACCACAGATAGCCCCTTGTGGGACCTTGTGGTTGTGTGAGTTAATACTATATATATATATTATCCTATATATAAAAATATATATATATATATATATCTCCCATTAGTTCTGTCCCTCTAGAGAAACCTGACTAATACACCTTGTCACATTGTTGTGACTCCACAGCCTGGCCCCCAGGGCCCACCCACGGTCCCTCCCCAACACATATGCACACACAGTGTCAAAAGACAACATGCATTCCACAAATTGTGTAGCATGGCTGTGTCCCAGCTCCTACAGCCCGAGTATGGCTGCCTTGGCAAACCTTCCTGAACTATATGCACCAAGGTAATTTCCAGGCTCAACCCAGGAAAGCCTGACACAGACCAAAGTGTCAAATATGTTCTCCATCCCCATCAACCTCCCAGCCTATTAAATAAAATATAATGTTTGTTTCCTGAAAGAATGACTTTTATGTTTGGCTTGTGTTTATTACTATTGATTCAGATACAATTGCATTCATAAAATGTGTATTGAGCAACTTCTCTGCGTGAGGCACTTTTTAGGTCCTTTGGGGAAGACAGGAGTCGCTACACAATCCTGGCCCTCAAGCAGCTCCCATCCAAGGCAGAGGTACTTCTGAGTGGCCACATTGCTGGCCACTTTTTATCGAACACATCACTACAGCACACATCCACTGGCTTTGTTTTTGCATATCTATCCTCTAAAAAAAAGGCAGCAGAATAGAGGAGAAAGTGCATGGGCTTCGCAGTCAGCTCTGGGTTCAAATCCAAGCTTTGCCAACTCAGAAACAGTCCCATATGTTACGATACAGGTGGTTGCGTTGGTTTATGAGATCTGGTTTTAGCACATGCATGTTTTGAAGGAATGGGGCAGGGCAACTTTCTCACAGTTAAAGAGAAGGCCATAGCAATATATAAAGCCTTAAGGTAAAAGCTGACAATTTGCAGAAGTGCCTTTCTTTACTGCAAAGTGGCTGGCTTAGAGGCTACTAGAACTACTAAGCTTTCCATGAGGTTAAGCTATTTGGTGTAGCTATGAGTAGAGATAATCCTCCTGTAGTAAAACAGTGGGCTAATGAAGACGGCCACACCCTCAATCCAATTTTTAATTTAGATAGAAAGCAGTCTCCACAACCTAATCTCAAAAGAGGACGTACACATCCCATGGCTTAAGGTGGCAAAGAATAGACTGCTTGTGTTGCTGGTACACATACCAGTGACATTCTACATACTCTGCTGGTGTTTTCATTACTCATTTTTAGTTGGTTTTGTCAGCTTTGCGGTTACTAGATTTTGAGTGGCTTGCTTTAACTATTTTCCTCTAAGCCCTGTGCTTTTACACGCAATCTTAAAGAACCCAAGGATGTTTAGGGCCACACATATGCCATTACAGCAAAAATGCATTGAGATGTATGTGTTTGTTTGTATGTGTGTGTGTGTGTGTGTGTGTGTGTGTGTGTCTTCATGCCTAGTGTATGGTGGGTGATTTATAAAGGAAAGCTTTTATTATGGTTTAATCTTCACTCTGAACCTGGAGTTCCAGTTGAGACCTGGTCACTGTGAGACTCAGACCAGCACTGGCTGCTGGTCCTAGAGGCTGCAGGAAGAGGAGCATCTGAGTCCCAGGCTTGTCTCTGCCTGGACTGGGCAGACCACTGGGCACTGAGTCACTGGCTCCTGCCCTCTTACTGCAGCTCCCACTCCTGCTGCAAAAGTATGATGGAATTTTACTCCAAACAGGAGCTTCTCAAAATGAGGTACACCAACCAGTAGCCTCGGCAGCACCTGGCAACTTTTAGAAATGAGAATTCTCAGGCTTGACCTACTGGATCAGAAATTCTGGGGTGGGGGGCCCAGAACATGAGTTATAACAAGCTCTATGAAGGATTCTGATGCATGCTCGAAGTTGAGAGCCACCCATCTAAACATAAGGTGAATGCTTTCTTCGAGACTCCCTGAGTTGGAGAAAACACTCTTTCATTCATTCATTTTTCCATTTCTCATTGGAAAAATATCTATTGAGTATCTAGCGTGAACTTGATACTGTTCTAAGTGTTGAGAATGAGTAAAACAGAGAAACATCTTTGCCACCTTGGAACAACAGAAAGCAATGGTTAAGATCTCAAAGTCAGGGGCTGGCTGGCCTGGTATGAATCTCAACTGTGCCACTCACTAGCTGTGTGACTCAAGGCAAGTTACTTAAATGCTTGTGCTTCAGTGTCCCCATTTGTGCAGTGAGATGATAGTGGTCCCTATTTCATAGAGTTGTGGTAAAGAATAAATAGACTATGGTGTTTAAAGCCCTGTTTGGTACCTAGTACGCACTTAAAATGGCAGTTATTCATGACACATATTTAAGGATGGCAATAGTGGTCATCTTGAGTTAAATCTGATTTCAGGATAAAATGTGATGCATATCTTCTACAAGACCAGAAGAAACCTTTGTGATGATGGACTGCAGACGGCTGATAAAGGCAATTTTAAAAGAAAACTCAATGAAAGTCCAACACCCCCAGTCAGAAGCAGATGGGTAGAAGCAGTCTGGGAGCTGCTCACCACAAGGGGCTGAGAGGGGCTGTGGCATAAATGAAGGGGACAGATGAGCAAGGCTGCCATGTCCAGTGAGAATGACCTGCCCGAAGAACGTCCCAGGCATTCACTAAGTGAACCAGAACCCAGGATGCAGTGAGTCTGGGACAGGGAGCAATAGGGAGCACCTCTCAGAGCGCAGAACACATGGCAGAGCAGATAGATGGTATAGGTCTGGCCCCTATCCCCGTGGGCCAGGCTCAGCAGGGAGCCCCACATGGCAGGCATCACTGGGGCTGTCAATAGACAACAGAGTGAGCACGACCCACACATAATGGGTACAAGTGCAGAGAAGGTTGTGTGCCACCTGCCATGGGCAGGGGACATGACTCTTAGACCTGCATTAAATAAAAAGCCTACATCCTGCTAACCAGTAGTTGAGCTGGTTACCCGCTGTGTCTGTTCGAGGACAGGGTTGCTCTGTCTGTCCCTTCGGAAGGACCCTGCCACAGGTTCTCAGTAACATCCCTTGTTATCGTGTGCATTTAGGAAATGTGAGCTGTCTTCAAGCATCTAAAAAGCAGTTGCATGCTTAAGGAAACCAACTGTTCTGGGTAGCCCTAGAGGGCAGACCTGAGACGGGTAGGGAAATGTCCCTGGGAGGCAGGATTGTATTCAAGAAAAGGAGAACATTTCTAGGAATGGAGGCTGGTGCAGCCAGCACCCTAAACAGCTGTCCCACAGGTCTGACGAAGCTATTATCTAGGAAACTTCTATTCAGAGAGGACTGATTAGAAGAGATGTTCTGGGCTGGGCGTGGTGGCTCATACCTGTAATCCCAGCACTTTGGGAGGCTGAAGCGGGTGGATCACCTGAGATCAGGAGTTCCAGACCAGCCTGACCAACATGGAGAAACCCCATCTCTACTAAAAATACAAAATTAGCCTGGTGTGCTGGCGCATGCCTGTAATCCCAGCTACTCGGGAGGCTGAGGCAGGAGAATCGCTTGAATCCGGAGGTGGAGGTTGCTGTGAGCCAAGATCGCACCATTGCACTCCAGCCTGGGCAACAAGAGCGAAACTCCGTCTCAAAAAAATAATAATAAAAAAAATTAAAAAAAGAGATGTTCCAGGCCCCTTCAACCCTAATTTGTAGCTAATTGATTCCTTGGACTAAACATATTAAGGCAATTGCCCCCTTTCTGCTCAGCAAATGTGGCTCTAAGGACCGCCTTTACTCATCATCTCTCATTTACGTAGCCTGCAAAATGCGTTGCTGGGAACGCTGAGAGGCATAATTATCACATCAGTTCATGACTGAATTAGGAGTAAACAATTCATTTCCTGGGTCTCCTGTCGAGTTTAAGACAGCAGGCTCAGATGAAGAAAACTCAGCAGACTTCACCCCAGGGCCTGAAGATAGGCTAAATGTGTTTCAGACTGCAAACGTTCAACTGGAGAACTGAGAACCTCCTGGTGCCTTGCTCTGTGCTGGGGACAGAAAGGATGCAGAGATCCCCAGACATGCTTCTTGCACCCCTGGTAACCAGGTTGGAAAGAGGGATACAGAGAACCCCCAAACATGTTCCCTGAGCCCTTGGCAACCAGACTGGGAGGAGGAGATTAACATACGAGACAGTCAGAAAGCAATTAAATATTCACTTGCACACCCCAATCATAGGTACAACCCAAGATGACTTTGATTTGTTAGTAAACTCTTATTGCACAGTGTCATTCCCTGCACAGTGTCATGTGCTGAAGACCCAAAGGGTAGTCAGACCCAGGCCCTGCCACCAAAGAGGCCACATCTAGTAGGGGAGAAAGAGAGTTATCAGTGGTCACTGTGGTTCTCTGCAACAAAAACTTAAGTTGAGGGGCAGGCAATGAGCAGGGCCTGAAACTCAGTCTGGGATGTCAAGAAAAGCTTCCGGGAGGAGGCAAGGAATGACCTAAATTTTGGAGAACAAGATAGAGAAACAAAGAGGTAAAGGGAGGGCATTCCACGTGCAGAGTGGTACCTGTGTGAAGTCTAGGAATGGGAATATGCTCAGGTGAAGGTTGGCCGCCCTAACAAAACAAAAACTGAATGGACAGGAATGTGATAGGAGGTTTACGGAAGATTAAACTTGTGAAAGAAATGTTATGTGTAAACAATCTGGCTAAGAATAGAAGGAAATTATTTATAATTTTTTTAAAAAATTGAGCATTAATTAATATCGCAAGTACACTGATGCAAAACTAGAATTTGGTGCCCTGTGTTAAAACAATAAGGCTTTCTTGGAGTATTGTTCTGCTCTTAATAGGAAATGATGATAGTTTTCTCTTTACTTTCTAGGTAATTGGCCTAGGAAACAAAGATTTTGTGTTTGCCAAAATACTTTCCTATGCTTCATGTTGTCTTTATTAGGCTTTCGACATTTAAGAAAACTGAGTCCTCTCAGTTTAAGAGTTAAGGTTTTTAATAGAGTGTACTTTAAAAAACCTTTTGATATTTGCCTTCGAAGCCATTTAATTATCACTCCAGTTAAATGGTTAAATGAATGACTATTGCTGTGGTTGGAATGTGTCCCCCAAAGTCCATATGTTAGAAACTTGCATCCTCAATGTAACGGTGTTGAGAGGTGGAACACTTAAAAGGTGATTAGTTCATGAGGGCTTTGCCCTCATGCATGATTAATGCTGTTACCACAGGAGTGGGCTTCTGATAAAAGGATGAGGTTGTCCCTGCTCCCCCACTCCATATGCCCTCTTGCCCTTCCGCTTTCCACCATAAAATGACACAGCAAGAAGGCTCTTGCCAGATGTGGACCTCTGACCTTGGATCTCCCAGCCTCCAGAACTACAAGAAATAAATCTCTGTTCTTTAAAAATTACCCAATCTCAGGTATTCTGTTATAGCAGCACAAAACAGACTAAGACAACTATTATTTTATAGTAACCTCTGATCCTATTTTGGTTTTGGTTTAGTTTTTTGTTGTTTTATTTTTCTGTTTCTTTTTTTGACACAGGGTCTCACACTGTCACTCAGGCTGGAGTGCAGTGGCATGATCACAACTCACTGCAGCCTCAACTTCCCAGGCTCAGGTGATCCTCCCATCTCAGCCTCTTGAGTAGCTGGGACTATAGGCATGTGCCACCATGCCTGGCTAATTTTTTGTATTTTTGGTAGAAACAGGGTTTTGCCATGTTGCTCAGGCAATCCTCCTACCTCAGCCTCCTATAGTGCTGGAATGACAGGTGTAAGCCACCACACCCAGCCTTGATCCTATTTTGATCAAGGGTTTTAAACTCTTGATTTTTGACAAACTTCCTAAAATCAAATTCTAAATTAAATATTTTTCTTGATCTTGAATTAACTTTGGTATTTTGCACATGGGCTCTTGGAACATCTCAAAAGACTCTCTGTTTATACAAAGGGAATCTCTCTCTAGGTGCAGTGGCTCACATCTGTAGTCCCAGTACTTTGAGAGGCCAAGGTGGGAGCATTGCTTGATCCCAGGAAGTTGAGGCTGTAGTGAGCCATGGTAGTGCCACTGTGCTCCAGAGCCTGGGCAACCCTGTCTCAAAAAAAAAAAAAAAAAAAAGACATTAAACTAATTGGGCTTATTTAAGATATTTAATTATATGGGAAGCATTGTGAAATAATAAGTAATCCTAAACTTCCTTGAGGTTACATTTGCATGAATGTGTTATTAATATGTGTTCCAGAAATGGTATGAAATTCCTAGAAACCTGATCATACCTTTGGACTATGGAAAAATTCTCAGAACGCTAATGAAGAAATTGATTGGCTCATAAAATTGCTAACCTAACATCAAGGAGAACAATAATTAATTGAATACCTTGGAAATGCTTTGGTAGATTTTCATGCTAAGTCACCCAGTACTGAAACTCTTAAGATATGCAATTTGAGAACTCCATAAGATTAATCCAAGTCAGATTACCTATGATAGCCTATTTAATAAACAATGTTGTGCACCTGAGCTGGAGAAACAAAATTGGTATTTAAGAGGATGTAAATCCAATGTTAAATTTGGACTCACGGAGAGTCTGGACTGATACCTGGCCCTTCCTGAGTCCTTAAAGCTTCCAGTATTATTATCAAGACTTCTCTGTCATCATGAAAACTTTGTCCCTTTTGTTGTTTTTTCTGTGTTTCTTTTCTACTTATACATTATATGATAATGAGATAATTAAGATTTCATAATCAATAGCTTCCATAGGGAGCTTAAGTGAATATTGGATATGTCATGTTTAACCTAAATCCTTACATGATCTTAGAGATTCTCTAAGGTCACTGTAAAGTTCGCTCTGTGACAAATTTCACTGATAGTCCAACCTGTGACTATTGCTCAAAGTGCACATCTGCTCCTTTAGGTTCTTAAAGTCTTACATTCAGATTTCTTGTTTGAATCTAAGAGTAGGCAAAACCTATAGTGAGGAACTTTTGCGGTGAAATTAGAAATTGAGTAAGAAAACAAAAAAAATTCAACGGTGTGTAGACAAATTTATAACCCTAATTCCGTACTTGTCAATATCCTCCAATCATTCAATAATTCAATAATGGAGCCGTAGAGAAATATTACTAGTGCTTCCCTACTGATAATGCCTAAGGCATAAGACATTCCACAGGGAATTCTCTGTTGTGCCCTTCCAGGATATATTTTTATCTGTGGAGGATTTAATGATCAATCATAAGTGTGGGCAACCCCATGTCTCAATAAGTGAAAAACAAGGGGCCAATTTGGATTAGGAATTCTAATCATGGTACCATCACTCCATAACCAACTGGAAACCAAACCTTGGTCTACACCCCTTAGTTTTCATTATGGAGTAAAGAGGAATTCACAAGCAGGCACAAACCCATCTAAATGGGCATCTTTTGGTAGAATGCTCCTGTGGCTTGGCATCAATGTAAATGAATTTATGATTAGAAATCTGCCCAAACAGCTACAATAGCTAACTCAACTGCAAAGGCTATCACTTCCCAGCAAACTTCTTTAAATTCTCTTACTAGAGTTGTTTTAGATCACATAATGGCTCTGGACTACCTGTTGGCTGAACCAAGGGGAATGTGTACGATAGTTAACACCTGTGTGTGATAGTTAACTTATAATAGAAAAATAGGTCTGGTATCGTAGAAACTCAGTTGTAAGAAATTAACAGATAAGGTACTTGGCTAAAATAAGTAGATTCTTCTTCTGGCTCATTTTCGATATATTTGATTTTGATCAGTTTGATTCATGGGGGCTCCTGTTAAAGAGGTTTCTTCAGTCTCCTAGTATTATCCTCCTGACAGCCATCACAATAGTCTCCTTGGTGCTGTATCCACTCAAGAGTCTTTTTTATTTTTTATTTTTTTTGAGGTAGAGTCTCCCTCTCTCACCCAAGCTGGAGTGCAGTGGCGCAATCTCGGCTCACTGCAACCTCCGCCTCCTGGGTTCAAGTGATTCTTGTGCCTTGGCCTCCCGAGTAGCTGGGACTACAGGCAGTTGTGACCATGCCCACCTAATTTTTGCATTTTTTTAGTAGAGAGGGGGTTTCACCATGGTGGCCAGGCTGGTTTTGAACTCCTGACCTCAAGTGATCCGCCTGCCTCGGCCTCCCAAAGTGCTGGGATTACAGGCATGAGCCACCACACCCAAGAGTCTTAAATGTTTTAGGTAGCTTCACTATGATTAGAATAACAAAAACATAAAGAGAACATAAAGAAAAGTCAGCTGACTGATGTTGAGAATTGTAAATTCCATACTGAGACTAACCAAGTCCATTATGATGGTGGCAGAGTGGCGTCCGTACCCAAGATTTTGGTCAATCTCTCAAAATTGAGATGCTGACCAAAATGGGGGAATTGTTAAATTAAATGAAATTTGGCCTAAAGCTGCTGCCTCTACACTTTGAATTCCTAAGTGGTAAACTGCAACCTAACTTAGGATGTAGACAAACTGCAATCTAGCTAAGAGTATATTCTTGTAACAAGTAGCTGAGTCTCAGCCAATTGCAGCAGCCGAGTTTCAGCCAATCACAGGGTGCTAACTGATCAGACCATGTCCATGTCCATATGAGGTAAATGCCAAGCTGTCATCAATCAGCCTGTGTCGGCATCCCACTTCCTTTTTCTATGGAGCGCTCTGAACCTCTCCTGGTTTAGAGTGCTATGCTGTTCATGAATTGTTTGTTGATGAAATAAATTCTAGTAAATTTGTTTATAGTTTTTCTTTTAACATAACCATACACTGCCTGCTTTAGACATTAACAAAGGGGCCTGTTGGTTATATTTGCAGCAAGAAGTGGACTTCCCTCCAAGTAGGGAGCCAATCTGTATACAGTTGATATATAGTCAGTAGACAACTGAGGGTGTCACAAAGAATGGAGCACCGCTCCCTTCACTTTCAACTTCTCCTCCAATAAGAATATTTTTTACAGAAGTAAAGGCAGACAAGAGAACAGAGATTTAGGGCCAAGATCCACAGTAAGGCAGGAGAGAAATTAGAGATACAATTGGTGAAAGAACATTTTTTAGGCTCACACAGGTTGTCCACCAAGATGCTGAAGGAAATTGCCAAGGTTTACAGAACCCCTCCAAGTCAGAAAAATAGAGAATAATTTCCAAAAGTGGAGGCAGACAAAAATTCAGACACTTCATCCCAGTTAGCTTGATGTCAAAGCTTGATGTCAAAAATCTACCCATGATGATTAGCCACATGGTACATGAGTATGGTCAGTGATGCAGATGTTAACCAACTCATCTTAGAAATGCGCCATAGGCAGATACAATACATTTTTTAGCAAAATGGGGGAGAATGAACTGCACAATGTGCTTTGAGGTGGACATTTTGAATGTGGTGCTATCCCCTGAGAAGGCTATTTGTGGAAGAATAGATATATTCTGTGGGCTCCTGCAGAGAGAACTATGCCTCATGAGAGGGCATTGCATGGAGGCAGATTTTGTCTCAATTTTCAAACAATCAGAGCTGTTCAACAATGCAATGACATTCTCTGAGAGTGAGCTCCCCATCACTAGAAGTATTCAACTAACATTAGCATTAGCATCTACCAACATTGCTCTAGGAGTGAACACAATGTTGAGAAGCTGGACCAGTTTCTTCCAGCTTAAAATTTTTAAATCGTGTTATTCCCATAAAGGGGCATAGGCTCTAAAATCAGGCATCTTACTCTTGGTCATGGGACACATCATAGAAAGGTCTGGAGTCAGAATCTACTTGACTACTTATCACCTACGTGACCTTGGAAAATTCACTTATCTCCTTAAATTTTGGCCTCTTTCTATGTAAAATGAAGGTAATTCTTTATAGGGAGGTTGTGAGTTATAGGAACCTTGTAAGTAATAAATTAAATGAGATAATTTCCATAAAAGTGTTTTATAAACTAAACAGTGCTGTACTAATGTGTGTTATCATTAAGATTTTAGGAGCTTGGAAATAAAGGGCTCTTGAGGCTAGTAGCATTTTGTACAGATTGCATTATTTGATGCTGGCACTCTGAAGCCTAGATAGAAATAAAGGGCTGTGAAGCATATCATGCCAGCTCTGGCATGTAGGGCACAGATTATTACTCAAACTCCTCGTTCAGTCATAATGATTATTTTAATGCATTGAGGCTGGGCTAATGTATCCACTTGGAAGTTGGCATATTTTTATTTTGGTTTATTCCAAGTTTGAAAAATTATGTATTGGGTACTCTCTAGGTCCAGAGACAGTCAATGAAATTCCCCACCTAATTAAAGAAGTTGACAGATGGAAATGAGTTTCATTAGATTCTATCCCCAACTCACTGCTGGACTTGGAGCAAGGTTGCTGAGGCTCTTCATCGGGGGCCTCTGTGGGGAGAATGATGCTGTAGCGGGACAGAGTTGTTTTCCCCTCGGTTTCATAGACTGCATAGACATCGGTGGTTTGTGGTCTGCTTCTTAGCTGTGACTTCTAGCTCCATTGCCTCATTGTTCTGTAGAGAGCTCTGACTGAAAAATGTTGTTTCTGAGTATCTGGGGGCATGAATTCATTTCATTCGCACTTACTGTGTACCTTCTACATTCTTGCATGATTCAACTCAGCAAGAATTTGTGAACAACTATGCTAGGCAGCAAGCCTTTCATCTCTATTGAGAATAAGAGGTGGGCCCAGCCCTGCTCTGATATAGGAGCAGTACATCCTTCCACCCCAAAAGCCACCAGAACCCTAGTCATCAAGCTGACCCTGCACTGATTACTGTCAGCCCCTCAGGGTCCAGCACCACACACCCTGGACAATGTGAGAGTGGGGGGTTCAAGAGAAGTATCAGACGTGAGGCTATAGGTGAGTGTTCCAGCAATCCAACCTCCCCAGCCATGGAGCAGCAGCATCACCGAAGCAGAAGCTGCTCCCTCCAGCCCTAGGGCTCCCTACACGAAGAGGCTGGTGGAAGCCGGTGATTCTTAAGGACTTTTCCAGTGTTCTAAGAGTTTACAAATTTGTTGCTGATGAGTAATTAAATGTATAAAATACTAGAGCACTACCTAGCCAAAAAGCACCAGCTTTTGAGCTCTGTCACGTAACTAGCTGAATGCTAAGCTAGGTAGGAACGTTAAGCTGAAAGACAGCAACATTTGGCAATCCTTAGTGTCTCTAAAGGATAGAGCAAGTCCTTAGCATCTCTGGGCAAGTCTTTGGTATCTCTGACCCATCTTTTATCTATACATAAAGATGAAAATCTTTACCTCTTGTAATTAAGTTCTAGAGAAAAATATGTATGTCAAGCCCCTAACAGCTTGAGCAGCACATAGTAGGGATTTGATAAATCTTTGCTAGCTCAGTTGCCCTACATCTCTGACAAGAGCTTCTTCTTATTTTTTTCAAGAGAGTGGAGACTCATTTATTGGAAGACCCAACAGGCAATGTGTTGGGGAAAAGGAGAGTGCAAAGCACTTAAGCAAAGTGAGAATGATTCTGTTTCCCATCTAAGGCAACTTGGTAGAAGTTTCCAAGACCACCACCCTTGCAGCTGAAGACACCTCTCTTCCCCAGCTCTGCCCTATTTCCTTCCTGGGAGCTTGGGTCATCTCCTCAAGGCTTCCAGGGAATCAGGTCACCCTTCTTTTGACTTCAGGAGCAGATGGTGTCCTGCTGGGGCTCCAAAAAGCAGCACCACACACTTCCAAGCTGGATTGTGTTCCGGATGCTGCATTTTACGGCACAGTATTCACAGGGCTCTGCACTTCTAGTCATAGTAAATCTTCCTTCGTCTTCCTGCAGAAGTAATTGCCATACACACATAAAACTGACTGTTGAAAAGTTTCAGCCCATTTCCTTGTTCCCTTTCCACTGTGTAAGCATTCCTACAGAGCCTGGCTCCATTGCGCAGATGGTCTATGAGAAGAAATCAATAACAACTCATCACCGGGTGTTATTCGGTGCCAAGGCTCACAGAAGGCTTATGCTTCACAATGGAAAGGTAAGTATTTCGAACAAGGAAGAACCCAGAGTCTTAAAAGCTTCTTTTATTTCATACTCTCTTTCATAGTGGTGGGTTTCATTCGGAATCTCACTAGAGACTTGACGGGTATAAAAAGCAACCATTTCCTGCCCAAAAAATGTTGCCTTCTGAGTTTTTTTTCATTGTTCCTTTGAACTCAGCTAGCCTAGGTAAGAGAAGGCTGTTCTCCATGGGAGGGCAATGATGCTGACAAAGACGGCATTGTTTGTGCTGCAGCCAGGAATAGTAGCTCTGTACAAGCCATGGGCCCTGGTCTTCCCCAACCAAGGCCTCTTCCTAGAAGCAGGTGGGGAGATGGGAGCATTCCTATAGGGCAGGGGGATAGGTTGTCAGGCACAGGAGTGTGAGGTTGGCTTCACAAAGTTTGTTTCTCTTTTCCTCTGTCTGTGTGGAAAGCTGTCTTCGTCTGTTCAGGCTGCCATAACAAAGTACACGAGGCTAGGTATTTATTGCTAACAGTTTTAGAAGCTGGGAAGTCCCAGATTAAGGTGCCAGCAGATTTGGCGTCTGGTGAGGGCCTGTTCCTCATAGATGGTGGTTTCTTGCTGCATCCTCACATGGTGGGAGGGGTGAACACCCTCCTTCAAGCCTCTTTTATACGGGCATGAATCCCATTCGTGACGGCTCCATTCACGTGACCTAACAACGTCCCAAAGGCCCCACCTCTGAATACCATCATCTTTGGAGTTAGATATCAACATATGAGTTTTTAGGGGAGGGGGCACAAAATCCTCCAGACCACAGCAAAAGCTAAACTGGACTGTGAAACTGAGTTCAAGTCCATAAACTCTATGGCTATCTTTCCAAGCACAGACCCTGTGCCAGGCACAAACCCTACTGAACATAATTTCCGCTGCCTCTATGTATTGAATCTAGCTACTTAAAACACCCTCAAAAAGGTTCTTACTCAGTGTTTCTTAACCTTTCTGGATTTTGGGGAATCCAGAGAAAGCCATAGGCATCCTCCCTCCCTTTGACCCACCCCCCTCTCACACACACACACTCCATATACACTGAATAATTTTACATGCAATGTCACAAATTTCTTGGACTACCTGAAACCTGTCTATGCAAACCAGGAGGTCAATGGATCCCATAGTTAAGAACTCTGCTCTAAGTTGCACCCCACCACACCAAGGAAATCGCTTCAAAGGTGTCTTTCCCGCCTGAGTGTCAGCTGTCTGATGGCGAGGTTGCATCATGCTCACCTCCGTGTTCCCCACAGCCATCAACCCAGGACTGAGTGATCATGAGAGATGGATTCCAAGCCCAAGAGTGTGTTCCCTAGGACCCACAAGGTGACTTGTGTAATTTATTAACCATAGAAGCTTCTACCCATTGAATGAAGAATGCAGAATTATCGTACACCATAAGAGGAGGGCTCCTTCTCACCCTCCAGAGCAGAAGAATTCTCACAAATACAGATCAAGTCATGGCACCGCTTAGCTGGGCAACTTCCACAGCTCCCAGTGTGCGTTTAGGGCCGTCTTCGCAGCATGACACCCTCACCTGGGCTCTGCTTATTGGGGCTGCTCCCCACCACCCAGAATTCCCCTCCCCGGGGTCTTAAGATACTAACCAGGCACCAAGTTCAACCGGTTCCTTTTTTTCATATCAGATGCAAAATATTTCCATATTTCATCACAAGCTACATCAAGCCTATTTTTGCCCTAGAGAGAAGAGGTGGTCTTGAAATGTCACTTGGATAAGCAAAAGCCCTGTCATGACAACTGGGAGCAGGGAGAACTGAGGAACATCATGGAAAGAAGAAGGGGTCTGGACTGGAAATGCCCGGCTCTCATTCCCAGCATTGCTGCTTGTGACTAGGTGACCCTGCGTGTGTCACTTAGCCTCCCTTGCCTCTGTGTCCTCCTCTGTAAAATGAACATAAGAGTATCACATTATTGTTTTGAGAATCCAAGGCCAAGCATGCGCCTTGTAAACTGTGTTTGCAGGAACAATATGAATAGTCCTGCTCCTAGTCCCGGGCTCTGGCCACTCTGCACGCTAGGGGAGAATGGGGACAGTGCCCAAGGGAACCGGGGGGACTCTCTGGACCCGGTGGCTGCCCTACCCTGCAAGGCCATCCCGTGCACTGATTCCAATGACCTTATTCCCTTAGGATGGACCAGCTCAAGGCCTCCTCCAGGACCAAGAGTCCTGAATGAAACAGCAATTACCCTTTTCTGATAAATTCTCTGGCCCCTACAACTCATAGCTCCACGGTGAACAGACAGCAGGAGAGCTGGCTGTGGGATCCCGTTGCCATGGCAACTCCTGCAGGTGTTCCTGAAAGTAATGACAAGGCCACGGGGTTGGGGTTGCTTTTCTCTCCCTTTCGGCAAGCCTGGAAGTGAGAAAGGTCACAGGGTGAGAGAGGCCTCCTAATGCCAGCAGACACAAAGGCCCCTGCCTGGGGTTACACAGCCAGTAAATGACAATGCTGAGGCTGCCATGGAATCTGCTCTTCCTCCTGACAGCAGAACTGGAGAAGATGGTGTCTTTGCTGCATAAGCCTCCCATTCCTCCTTTGCTGGGTTTCCAGTTACCTGTTCTCTAAAGGGGATTCAATCAGGGCAGCTGCGAAGCCCCAGATACCCAACTCCTCTCCGGCTCCTTCTGGTAGAAGAGCCTTCCTCCCTCAGGGCTGCAGACCCAGCCAGAGTCGGGGCCCAGGATTTAGCAGTGAAGGTGGGGCTCGACTTTCCTCACCTTTCCTCTTTCCTCTTTGGTGGCTGAGTCATGAGGATGTGGCCCCAGGGCTCCAGGTGGCCATGTGCCCTGCCACATGGAGAATGCCCTTCTGGAGGGGGAGACTGAAACCAGCAGGCACAGAAATGGGGGCGGTTGGTCAGAGAGAATCTTGGGTAGACATCTCAGTGCCCTAACCCAGTGTTTCCAGAGGCCCCCTGCACCCTGCTGTCTGTGGCTGGTTGTGAGAGTAAACAATTGCCCCTTCCAGAGTCCTCCCATTGTTGTCCTCTGTCAACAGGACCCACATTTCTCCACCTCCCATGCTACCTAAGGCTTGGTGTAGGTGGGCATCACTGCCCTTCTCTTGAGGAATCTTCCACCCCTTTGCTCTTGGGGCTTGAAAGCCTCTGCCCTTCAGAAGAGAAGAGGCATCAGAAACAAGTAGGGAGGAATCTGGGCATGCCGGTAGGGACAGGGGGCCTTCGGTTTGCACTCCCAGGATCTCCACTGAAGGTGGGAACTCTGGCTACTAAGGCCCTGCGCGTTCACCAGTTCAGATGTCTTTCATAGATTTCATCACAGCTCAGGCCTATGCTGTCCAGAGCCCAGAATGTTACCCCTGGGAGAGCTTGTCATAGAACAATCCCATGTTTGGGATAGATGAAGGTTATGAACGAGGTGTTATGATGCTGACTACTGCTCAAAAACTGCAAGCCTAGTATATACATACAAAAGAGTAGCATTCAGCCTTCAAAAGGAGGGACCAGCACGTTACAACATGGACGAAACTTGAGAACACTGCTAAGTGAAATAAGCCACACATAAAAGAAGAAATACTGTATGATTCCACTGGTTCTACTTATGTGAAATACCTAGAGTAGTCCAATTCATAGAGATGGTAGCATGGTGGTTATTAAGGGCTGGGGGGAGGAAAGAATGGGGGAGATGTTTAATGAGTGTAGAATTTCAGTTTTGCAAGAAAAAGTTCTGGAGATTGGTTGCACAGCAACGTGAATATTAATACTTAACAGTACTGAACTGTACAGTAAGAAAGGGTTAAACTGGCAAATTTTATGTTATGCATTTTTTACCAGTCATACACACACACACGCGTGCACACACACACACACACACACACACACACTGCTTGGAACAATGGAAACAGTAGGGATTTTAGTCTGAGAAACCATGGCTTCAAGTCTCAGTTCTGCCACCTACTGGCTATGCAATTTGGGGATATTGTTTCATCTCTGTGAGCCTCACAATGCTCTGTAAGATGCATTTCAAAAATCTAGCAATAAGATTATTGTGAAGATTAGCTATATTGCATGTTATGTACAAAGCAGCCACCAATCCAGACAGGATGTAAAAGGCTTTGATTATCATGCTAAGGAGCTTATCCTGTGGATCATGGAGAGCCGTTCAAGGGCTTTAAGTTGGGGATGACAAGGTTGGAGTTCTGCTTTAAAAAGATGGCTCTGGTGATTGCAGGGAGGAGATCCTGGAGTGGAGAGACGAGAGGTAAGGAGACCAGGTAGAAAATGCCAGGTTCAGATGAACACCGGGGTCTCAGGGACTCTTTCCACAGTAGTAGACAGGGCAGCTTAAGAAGGCATTCAAACAGACAGGACTTGGCCGACATACTGGGGTGGCAGGCGATGAGAGAGAGAGGCTCAAAGATGCTTGAGCAAGATCCCTACGCATGGACACACCTGTGGACGCAGCAGGGAGGCTTAAGGGACACCCCGGGGCTGGGAGGAGACACATCTTGGCTCATAGAAGAAGGAGATTTCAGACAACTAAAGCTGCTGCACCAGGAACAAGCTGCTTTGTGAGACAACCTTGGCAGAGAATGCAGGACCTGCCAGGAAACTGAGCAAGAAGTCCCAGTGTGGGCGGGGGGAGGGGGGGGGGCAGGAGGCTGGACCAGGTGATCCCCCAGGGCCCCTTCAATCCACAATCTCTGATTGCCTGCACCCCACAAGGGAATCCCCCATTGACCAATCTCTTCCTATTTTCTTTCCAGGGAGAGTTTGCAAGGATTAAATTTTGGCGCACAGATTGAGCTCAGACAGATGTTTGTTTAAGTATGGGGGAAACTGGAATTTCTACCAACTGGGTGAGGTCAGCTGGGATAAGGAAGTCTTTTTCTAAACAGGAACATCCATTCTCAGGGTGAGGATGATAAAAGTTCTATTTCAGTAAGAAGGTAACATGAAAGGGTTCAGAGAACTCTTTTGCCTAACAGATCCTGGATACATGGGGTGGATTATCCATTCTATACAAGGAGATAACTGGATGCTGCCTCTCTGGCTGTGGTCAATCCTTTATCCAAGTTCATGGTCATGGAGACTATTAGCATAGTCGAAGAAAGCCTGAATTCTCAAGGAGTGTGGAGTTGAGCAAAAGTTGGGCTTTGGAATCAGAATGATGTGAGTTCAAATCCTGACTCTCACTCTTAGGGACAACTTACGCAAGTTTATTAACCCCTCTCAATTGGTTTTCTCATATATAAGTGGGGGATACTATCTGTTTCCCTTGCTGGAGTGGTTCGTGGCTAACCGCTAAAGTCTATGAGAGACTTTGAACACATATAGGCGCTCAGTATAGTGCACCTTATCTCATTGCTAGTACTAGCAAAGAGCAAAATGTTTCCCGGTTAAAGCAAAGGTGATGTAAAAAAACGAGCTAAAATCAAATTGACCAAATGTCAGGAGGATGTCTTTTCCTGTCTCCTAGGAGAAAGTAAGTTTTAAGTAACAGGACAAACTTGGGAAAAGAGAGATGAAGGAAGCAAGTGTGGCATGGAGAACGCTAAGTAACCAGTACTGCTGAGGAGAACTTCAAGTGTCCAGAAGAGAAAGTTCACCCCTTTTCTAAGGGAGAAGCAGGCCAAGTTTGCAAAGCACTTCTGTCCTGGCTACACGGTGGCCTCCACACCTGAGCCTGGGTTGTTTCACCCCGGGCCTGCAGCTCTGCATCCAGATGGGGGAACTTGCAGTGGCTTGAGCTCCACCCAGCCAGGGCAGCTTTTCTCAGGCATTAGGAGATCCACCTAAGTCTCCTGATTTGCAAACCAAGTGGTTGCTGTCCTCCCAGAAAGTCATAACCCTAAGGGTCCTGATCTCTCAAGCAGCTCAGGTGTAGTAGGGAGTCCTTGAAAATTCAAGTGTCAAAAGAGATAAACAGAGCACAAGAGGGAGATTAGGGATGTCACCTTAGGATTTTAGAGTCTACTTCCTGACCACACTACGTGCAGATGGTCAATACCTATAGTCTACCTTCCCTCAGTGTTCCTCTCCTCCAGCCATTCCCCTTATCTTCAAGTTCCCTTACTCTCCTCCTGACACTATTGTTGTTTGAGCCTAACAACAGCAGAGAGGTGTGGACAGAAAACAGATACAGAGAAAGCCAAATAAAGTTGCTTAAAGTCGTATTAGCCAGGCCAGCTCTCAAACCCAGACCCCTGACTCCAATCCAGTGTTTTCTTCCAAACAGCCCTGCCTCCGCAACAGGCGCGTTGTTTGTCAAGACAACACGCATCCCATCTGCCGGCCTAAGATTGACCCATGGCCGAGTAGAAATTCCAGTGTGGCTCCCTCCCCTTTCACTAGTGAAGCATCAGGATACCCCCAGCTTCAGAACCCCCCTAGGTCATCTGAACCACACATCCTAGCTCCCTCATCACCTGACCATTGCTGAAGGCTGGTTTTGGAAATCTTCGTCTTGCGCCTGGAGGCAGCTTTCCACAACTCTGACAGCCACCGGGGGAGCAGAAACTCACACTCCAGTAGTCTAACACCAGCATCAAAGTCAGAGTTATTTTTCATTTTGCTAGCAATAGTTTGATGTGCCTGATTCCCGTCTCACAGCTGTGAGCAGGTTGCAACACCAAAGCTCTCCAGTTTGCAGTGGTAGTCGCAAGTCTAAGAACTCTGGATTCATTAGAACAAAAGGAAACCAAGCCTTCCTTCTCGTATCTACCGCTGCTGGTGCGGAGAAAACCCACAATATGGGTACTCAAACAAGAAGCCTCCTTTTCTCCCTTTCAAGCTCTGGAACACCCATTAGTTCATTTTCCTATTTTCTCATTGTATGTGCCATCTTCAGTTTATAATGAGTTTGAAGTTATTAAGAAGAAATACTGAATTCCCAGCTGTTGGAGCTAAATTAGACTACTGAGCTGCTGCATTTGCAGCTAACTGGAGAAAAATGCAGGCTCTCTCCAAAGAACAGGGCAAACTTGCATTTGAATGCTCTTCTGCTACATTTATCATAATGAGTTTTCTTTCCAAAAAGATAAGACCCAGTTCTCAAGGTGAGGGGAAACAACAGATCTCGTGCCACGGGCCTGCCGCTATTCAGACCCTGGGAGCTGCGCTGACTGGGAAAACGACCTCCACTCCAGATCTAAATCTAGCTGCAGGTTCAAGAAGCAATGGGAATTCTCACTTCTTTTAAAAATTGGGTCCCTTCTTTTTAAAGCCAGCTCCTGCACACTCTCGCATGTGAGAATAGGGCGAAGAGAAGTGGAGTTGAGAGATCCATCACTTTCCAAGCCAAGTCCAGCATCCCCCGCTTCCCAGCAGGCCTTTCCAGAGTGGGACTAGAAGGGAGAAGGGGGTCATATTTGGATCCTTTCATTTTCTGTGTGTTTCTGAGGGAAAAGCAAGTGGGCAGAGACATGGCCAACAAGAGATAAGAAGCCAGTGACATAAACCCTGCTCTCCTGACTGGCTCTGGTTAAGCAGCTCTTGGGGACCACCCCTAGACATTCTGACTGAATGGGTCAGACTGGGAGGGACTCAGGGACTCGGGCTTCAATCTGGGTTACATTTTCCTTGGGTGATTCTGATATGTAGTCATGACTGGTAACCACTGGGCCAGATGGACTTCAAAGTGAATCCTAACACTTTGGAAGTCCCTGACTCAATCTTATTCTAGTAACCTAAGTGATGCCATAATAATCATTGTCTACAGAGAATGTTAACGGTGACAAATCTGCACACACCTTCTGGAAAATCTGGGGTATGAGGGGAGGTTTGGATGAAGGGTCCCACGTCTTATTCTGTGAGAAACAGGGGAGTTCAGACACTTCAGTATTACAACTTTTTTTTTTTTTTTTGAGACAAGAGTCTCGCTCTGTTGCCCAGGCTGGAGTGCAGTGGTGCAATCTCGGCTCACTGCAACCTCTGCCTCCCAGGTTCAAGTGATTCTCCTGCCTCAGCCTCCCGAGTAGCTGGGATTATAGGCGTGCGCCACCACGCCTGGCTAATTTTTGTATTTTTAGGAGAGATGGGGTTTCGCCATGTTGGCCAGGCTAGTCTTGAACTCCTGGCCTCAAGTGATCTGCCCACTTTGGCCTCCCAAAGTATTGGGATTACAGGTGTGAGCCTCTATGCCCGGCCCGGTACTAAAACTCTTGAACAGAACAAAGATAGAGTGTGCCCTTTGGGAAGGCAGGGACATCAGCTAACAATTAGAAAAAGTCACAGACATTTCATGATCTCCCTCGGCCATGATATTATCAGTCCCTGAACAGAAAAGGGAAATGGGAAATAGAGCAGAGTGTGTCATTCAAATGCCCTCCAGGATGCCCACCAGGTTCTCAGCAGAGGGACCTAGAAGTGCTCTGATGACTTAAGTTAACACGGCATTGGGCCAAGGGTTACATACCTGGGTTTGCATTGTGGTTCCATTACTTACCAGCTTTGTGACATTGAGAAAAGTACTTATTAATTAGTAACTTAAGCATTATTAGCCCTAGTTATGGGTAAGAAAACTGAGGCTCAGAGAGAGAGGCCTCCCAGTGCTCACACTTCGGCTGTCTGACTTCAGAGGCTCTCACCCTGCACTGGCTCACCCTGGGGGCCGCGTCCCAGGAAGCAAAGCTATAGAATCTGAGTGTGAGTGAGGGCCAGGGCAGCCCTTGCTTATTCTGATTTGTTTTCAGAGAAAGGTTTGGGATAACTGATAGGAACTTTTAACTGTAAGCAAGACAACATATCATCTTACTCCTTCATCTAACATTTATGGTTAACATTCTCAATACCAGCACAAAGAGGAACGCAGCGTTCTAGAGAATTTTTCCAACTGGTGTGATTCTTGAGTGAATTATTTGTTGTTCCTTCTTTTTCTCTTCCCCCCTCCCCGCCGCCCACAGAAACTGCTCAAACCTTTTAAATTTGGTTTCTAGTAAACGAGGATGTGAGTCAAAGCCATGGAGCTTCCAGGAGAGAATCCCTTCCTCATAAGCATTGTGGGGCTGGGGGACTGGAATGTGGAGCCCCTCAATCCTCTGCTGTCCTTTGTGCAGTCACTCCAGCCCTCTGGGCCTCAGTCTACTAATCCATAAAGTCAGGGTGTCATACTAAATGACTTCTGAGATCTGCAATACTGCAATTTGAAGAAAAAGGTCTCAGGAGGGATTCTGTTATAACAGACTGTGTTTCTCAGAATATTGCTCACTCAATGTTTTCATTCACCTGAAATGATGCAGGCTAGCTGCAAGGTTACAGAAAACCCATTACTAGTAAGCATGCTGCCTAGGAGTGGCTTGACCCACACCATCGGACATAGGCGGTGCCATCAGAGCTCTAGGAAGCTTTTTTGGCCGCGTGGGTCTGTCTGGACAGGTGTTACCTAATTTGGGAGAAATATGGTGTCCTCTTTCCTGTGAAGTATGCTAGAGGCTTGTGCAGGCCATTCCCAAATTCTAGGTGCTACTGAATTGGGAAAGGAACTCAATCTTGGGGTAGACAGTTGGTGGGAGGTCAGGGGAGTGAGCAATTACATAATAAGTCTCCTCCAAAGATGACCAAAACTTTCATCAGAGGACTCTGCAGCTCTGCAGCTACATCTAGAGGAGCGGAAATGAGGTGAAGCCGACGATGATGGTGATGATAAACTATAAGGCGAAGCGATGTTATTCTTAAATAGATGGGGAACCCAACCAGGTTGTGTGTAGGGCACCGGTGGGAGTGGGGTGGACAGGGGGAGGTGTGGAGATGAGGCTGCCCAATACACTGTATGTTAAAGACCACCAGGGAGCCCCGTTACATTCAGCCTGCTGGCTTTGACAGAGCAATGCAGAAATTGATCCAAGGTAGCCTTTTCACATGACTTAACCTTGTGCAAATTACTCCCTATAACAATGATGTAATATCATCTCATCTACCTAGACTAAACCTTCCTATTAATACACAGCCACTCTCCCTCCAAATTATTTCTTGGGGCAGAGGTAAAAGACCAGCACGCCTTAGTGTAGATGGATGCCTCCAACGGCCCCCCGGTCACTCTGTAGGTGTGGATGCTCTCCCCCAGCTGTGCCTCGGCTGCTGCTGTGGCTTCGATAAGGTGTGAGTCTCAGGGGGGGCGAAGTCTAGAGCCTCCACCATCAAGCACATACCTCTGTGGTGGGGGCAGGTGCCAGCAAGCTATGCCCTGGGACCCTTATCCTCCATCACAGGGAACACCCCTTGTGTGGGAGGTTTTCCTAAGGGTGTTGCTATTCACGCCCTTGCTATGATTGGCTGTATGCACATCAGCGAACCCTAAGATGCCAATCCCACCTGTGATAAGTGTGCATGCTGGCTCTGTTCCCCCACCCACCTGCCTATGTACGTTTATGGACATGAAATGTGTCAACCTGAACATGTCGATGCTGATAAATTTTGAAGCCCTCTAATCAGACAGCAATCATGTATTGGTCCTGATCATCTGGCTATGCCCTGAAGGTCATAATTCATATACTGTGACACTAGTGAGTGGGACAGAGAGTTAATATTTCTTCAGCTCCGGCTGTGTATCTGATAGAGCCTCACACACACAACCCCACATAATACTTATCAACTTTACGAGACAAATAATACCACCCTTATTTTTCTACAAAATAGACATAGGTTCAAAGAGGTGGAAGAATTTGCCCGAGGTCATTTAACTAATCTGAAACTTGAGTCCAGGTCCACCCTCCCTCCACCCATGACACCTGCCTTGACCGCCAGGCATTCTGCACACTCCCTCCCTTCCTAATGCCACCCCATCCACCAGCACATCCAACTTGCTGAACTACAGTTGTGGACACATTATAAACTGAATTCTATCCAGAAAAGGCAGGTTGAAATAAAAAAGGAGGGTGGGAAGGAAGAGTCTCTTAATCAATAAGAAAATATGTTCACCACTCAGTACAAGAAAGAAAAAAAAGGTTAAAAAAGCGGCAGCTTGCTCATCGTTTCCATACAGTTTTATTTGCAATTTGTTGGAACCATGGAGAACAATCGGCAGATACACATGTTGCTTCTGGGAACAGCATTCAACTCCAGATGCTTTTTCTGCTAAGGAGCAGGGCCACAGGTGGCCCTCACACCCAGTGCTGTGCTGCGCGGAGGGCTGTACTGAAGGTTCTGAAGGCCTGGTGAGTCCCCCTCACGGCCAGAAGGAGAGACCCGGCTTCGGCTTCATGGCCGGCCTCCCGCAGGTGTCTGCCCAGCTCCTCTGCATCCCAGCGCCCTTGCTGGAGGCTAGCCAAGAGGTGGTCAACAATACGTGGATAGAAGGGAGTGGAGACACACTTCACCAGCAGCTTGGCATCCAGGAGCAGGGAAAGAAGTTCTTGGTCACAATTGGAATCATTCACCTTCAAGAAATAAGACAGGCACAGCGTGAGGGGGTGTTTGCTTTGTTCGCCTCCCCCTTGGATCCCTCGCTCTCCACTGGGCTGCCTTCATCATCATTCATGCCCTGGCCTGGGTTTAAAAGCGTGTGTGGGTCACGAGCACCTCTGAGGTAGGTCACAGATTGGGATGACAGACGGGGCTCCTCTTAACATAAGAAGACACAAGAACCCCACTGCAATCATCACTACAGCTTCCAGATACTGGGTGCCAGAAACTATTCAACACTGTACCAGCATCTCTTCACCAAGGCCTTCTGATTCAACCCCGTGACTGGCACTTTTACCTCCCAATTGACAGAAAAGGAAACTGAGGTGTAGCAACTTTGCTTAACATTGTAACCAGTTGTAGAGCCAGATTGTAAATTTGGGTCAATCTTGACATCAAAGTCTGTGCTCTTAACAACCACATTTACTGTTTCATTTGTACTTTCACTGTGATCCACATTCTTTAATGCTGTATCTTTCTTGAATATAAATACACATGAAAAAAATTTTTTTGGAACAAGAAAACCTTTTTTGTACTCCATTGAGAGAAGAGTATGTCCCTCAAGCCCACTGATACGAGTAAGATAACCAACAGTGGGGTTTTAAACTATTTTTGCTTCAGCCTCTAGGAAGCTCAGTACCAACCTTGCCTTTTAAAAAACGGTTTCATAGGTTCTTTCAGTTTGCGTATTCTCTTTCTCCCTGGTCTTGTCTTCTAAATATATGTATTATTTTCAATATTTTTTTAAAGAATCAAGTCCACACTGATCATATTATCAAAATTCGGAGCTTCTCACTTACATTGGGGTATCATAAAACAGATTCCTGACAGGCTTTTCTTAACGTTACTGTGCCTTTTTAATAATTTGGATTGTAGGACTCTCAGAAATAATGTCAAAGCCAATTAACTAACGTTTAGACCAACTATATTATGCAACTGTACACAATGTGCTCTTCCTGCATGTTCTGTGACAAGGAAGAAAGGCTATTGAAGATGCGAAGGTCAACTGTGTCTACTTGTCTACTGACTGTGAGAATTAAAGCAAGAGAAGTACTGAGAATAAAATCCTGCCCACTATCGGATAGCGTGAATCTTTCCTACTACCCACAGGGGTCATTCAAAACCCAATGTAAACATCACCTCCAATGCCATCTTCTTGCTGACATTTTCTTTAACTCTCTTGGCCAATACTTGGGAGTATGACCAAGGATTCCTCCTTCCTCCATACTCCCAAGATGCCTGAGATCTGCCTCTTCATGCTGTATGATAAGTAATTTTATTTTATTTATTTCTTTTTTGAGATGGAGTTTTACTCTTGTTGCCCAGGCTAGAGTGCAGTGGTGCAATCTCGGCTCACTGCAACCTCCTCCTCTTGGGTTCAAGCGGTTCTCCTGCCTCATCCTCCCAAGTAACTGGGATTACAGGTGCATGGCACCACGCCTGGCTAATTTTTTGTATTTATTAGAGATGGTGTTTCACCATGTTGGTCAGGCTGGTCTCGAACTCCTGACCTCAGGTGATCCACTCACTTTGGCCTCCCAAAGGGCTGGGATTACAGGCGTGGCCACCGTGCCCGGCCTGTATGATAGTAATTTGTATGTCTGTCTCCCTTACCGACTGGGAAATTCTTGAAGGCACAGAAGTTTTATCACTTTTACATTTCAGCTCCCCATTTCATTAACATTTGTTAAATGGCTGAGTGAACCTACATTATGAAACTTTGTCACATTTTTGTAAACTGCACAAGTACACGATAAAGACCCTACCTCTCAGAGAGACTGAATAGAACTAGACTCCAGAACAGAAGACCCTCTCTGCAAACCCTCAGTGTCTTTTCTCCGGCCTCCCAATTCATGAACACTTGTACAGCCCACCTTTGACCCCACCTTTGACCCAAAACACTTAGGTTGAACTCCAGGAATTTACCTTTGTTTTTGTTTTTAGGAGCTAGATGACAGAAAAAGCCACCGGTTCAATGGACTTGCTTTTGTGCTGGAAGGGGCACGGAGCTTTGACTTCTCCTCGCTGGGGCTGCCTGTGAGTTCTGAATGCCTTCTTTCCATCCCACTTCTCTCCCTGTCTCTTCATGCCTAGCAAACAAGAGTCTCAACCCCACAGAGCTCCTGCCCTCAGCAGCACGGTGTCTACGTGCCAGAACCCTGAGAGGCCCTTGAAGTCTTCAGACATCCCTTCAAGACAGTTCTCACCTCCTCTGACAGAGGCAGGTTCAGTGAGGTCAAGTGTGATACAGTTGCTCCATGGTGGAGTGGCCTAGAAGCCCGTGTCTCGGCCTAGTTTACTTGTTTATTGTTTGTTTCCCTCCAGAACACAAGTTCCTATGGAGCAGAGATCTTGTCTCTTCTGTTCACCCCTGTATCCCCATGTCCAGAATGGGTGGTCACATGCTAGGAGCTGAGCAAGATTTGTGGAATGAATACCCAAGTGAATGAATCACTCCAAAGCTCACATTCTTTCAGTCTGTGTGGCTGCCTCCAGCCACGTGCATGCACATGCTAATGCGTGCACACACACAGGGCATCTGAGTTACTGTATGTGTTATCTTGGTTCATCCTTCAAAACAAAGAATCCCCCTGCCTAACCCTGCAGGACAGAACAGTGTGTGCCAGGATGCTACAGGCACATGTTTGATAAGATGCACAGATAAAAGGCTCAGAATCTGAACACTGCAGGGCAATACTTTCTTTGTTGCCCTGAATACGTCTTCTAGGCTGGGACACCTTTATTATTCTTTCAGTTTACTCACTAACCCTCCCCTCTGGGAGCCCGACAGTCTCCTAGAGAGGTAGTGATGGATTCTTCCAGCCTGAGGAAGAGACAGGGGTTCTGTTAACGCCTGCGGCCGCTGCTGCTCTCATTCCCTTCATAGTTTGTGTTTCTATCCAGTGCAACCAAATCCTTCCCGTGTTTCTGGCTGGATATACCCAGCTTTTCAGAAGCTGCTCTCATTCTGGCAGGGAGGGCAAGGGGTGGGGAAGGGCAGGGTAGGCTGTCTTTTCTCCAAAAGCCTGCTGCTTGCCTTCTTGGCTGAGAATGCCTAAGGCTAAAGACACGGAAATGAAATGCATGCTTCCTTCCCCTTGGCCCCGGCCCACTCAGAGGTTCCCTAAAGAACGATAAAGGTCTGCGTTTGCTGACCTGCATTGAGCTTGGGCAGTGAGCAGGGAAAGGTTGGGAGGAATTTTGGGTTTGGCTTCAGATAAAATCAAGTGCTGGAAACGCAGGGTGGGTGACTTTATCTTATTTCCTTTCTCTGACATTCTACCTGGGCCTGGCTCTTTGCAAGAAATACAGAATGGCCAGAGTATACTTTAAGATTGTCAGCTGCACGGAAAATACTGCATAGATAATTTTTCTGTGTGTATTTGGGAACAAAATAGAAAATGAAAGAAGAAAGAAAGAGATGGCCTTTGTAATGACCCATTCCAACAAGTACATTTTAAAGAGTCGTCTGAGGTTCAGAGAAGGAACAGGTCATAGACAGCCAAGATGTTCCTTTCTACATATCAGGGCACCAAGGCCAGACAGAATCCTTCCCATCAGCACAGCCGAGTGCTGGGTGTCCTGTCCCAAAGCACTCTCCAACACTGTGACATCAGCACACTGCTGAGTTGCTGGATTAATTTGTTAAGCCTCAAGTTGTCTTTGTTTTTTCTTGTTTTTGACTAAAATTTGTACTAAACATACTAAAACTTTAGTACTATCTGCCACAGAAGCTTGGTACTCTCTGACCATGCATTATTCATTCTAACCTACTTTTTCTTTTTAAGATAAAAATAAAAAAGTGGAAATAGTTGGAAAAAAACATGCCACCTTCTTGCTGACATTTTGTTTAACTCTCTTGGCCAAGCTGATTCCTCCTTCCTCCATACTCCCAAGGCACCTGAGGTCTGGCTCTTCAGGCTGTGTGACGGTAATTTGTATGTCATCCATGTTTGGGTCACCACAAGAGAATTATTTCACCCTCCTTTCCTCTCCAGTAACTGTCCATGTGCATAGATTTTTTTCCCACAATTAATCGTATGATATTTGTATTCTATTTTTCTCATTATATGCTAAGAATTTTTAAATTGTTTTTTACATAGTTTTCAGTCTTAAAAATTTTAATGGCTGCAAAATAGTTGTTATAAGTTATTTGACTTCTATAAATATTTCAGCCATTTTAAGTTGTCTGATATTACTGAAACACTACCATGAATGTTTTTTTGCACATACTTTCTTCTTCATCGAAATTATCGGCATAGGACAAGTTACCAGGGGAGGTATCACTGCAGTGTTACGGGCTGAACTGTGTCCCGCACAAATTCGTATGTCGAAGCCCTTACCCTCAGTACCTCACAATGTGACTTTATTTACAGACAGGGACTTTAAAGAGGCAATGAAGGTAAAATGAGGTCATCAGGATGGACTCCGATATAACCGGTGTCCTTACAAGAAGAGAAGACAGGACACGCACACAAAGCAAGGGTCAGCCATGTGAGGACAGTGAGAAGGCGGCCGTCGACACGCCAAGGAGAGAGGCCTGGGAAGAAACCAACCTTACACCTTGACATCAGACTTCTGGTCTCCAAAACTGTAGGAAAATAAATTTCTCTTGTTTAAGTCACTTAGTCTGTGGTACTTTGTTAGGGTAATATGAGCAAATTAATACATCAGGCAAAGTATCTGAAACATTTTTTTGGTTCTAAATATGAATGTAAGCACAACCACATAATGATGTCAACTGTGCCAGCTTACAGCGGTGACATCAGCATGGGAATGCATCAGTGTCACATCACGAACTTCTCAGCTTTAGGTGTTAATATTTTGATAGGAAAAAATCACTTGCTAATTTAGGAGATATGTAATGGTACCTCAAGGTTGCTTTCATTTGAATTTATTTGCAAGAATGAATTTTTCCATAAATTTCCTATCATTTTTATTTTTTGTTGTGGGAAGAATCAATCATTCACTCATTTAGGAGAGTTATAACAGCTTCCCACTCTTTCACATGTGAAGGATTCTCTGTATAACTGAAATCTTAACCCTGATTTTTGTTATCATGAACATTCTAACCTATTGTTTACAGTTCTGTTTCGGTTGTTTTTTGTTGTATAGAAGTTTTACACTTTCATATTGTCAGGAAAGGATCTACTCCTTTATGACTTGTTTTATTGCTTTAAAACTCAGAACTTACAATTCCTCAAAGGAACTGATATGTTATTTTTATATTTTCTGACTTTTAACAACATTTGACTTTTAAATTGATCAGAAATTGACTTTGGTATATGGTCTGTGGAAAATCACACAGCCCTGCCAGTGGGTTGACTGGTGCTTAAGGGGCATGAGAAAGAAAATATATTCTGTCATTTTTGGATGCGGTTTGGATGTGAGAAATAAATATGAGACAAGTCCAGAGAATTAGTTGACTTAATTCCCCTGATCAAATAACTTTGAATTACAGTGAGAGATAGTCTGGTGCTATGAAAAGAAGACAGGCTTTTGGGTTAGAGACAAATTTCCAATCCTGGTTCTGTCACTAAACAACTGTGTGACCTTGTTCAGGACGATCTCTCTGAGCTCCAGTTTCCACATCAGAAATACACACTGTCTGTAAGGGTTGGGAATAATACAAGCTTTTAAGTGCCCAGCACAATGCCAAGTGCAGAGTCCAGGTTCAGTAAATAGCTGATGTTAATACAGGCAAACAAATCATGAGAAAAGGATTTTCTAGAAAGGGAAGGGCTTATATATATCAGAAGATGAGTAAAATGCTTGCTATCTCTGTCAGAGATTGTTTTTTGTGTGTCAGCAATTAATTTTTGAGAATAAATGATACTTTACAGATCTTGGGAAAGAAATCTATTAAAGCACAAAGCACTGCTGTCTTCCAAGCCATTAAAATGTTATCTGCTTAATTCCTCTTCCAACAATAGGTAATGAACCTTCTCTGATTTAAAATCTTTGATTTTATGGATCTATATCAAGCTAAGAGTAATTACAATAATGAGGAAAGCTGAAATTCCAGAAGCATAATGCATGCAGCCCTCATTTCATTTGCTTTCAAGATTATTTAATACTATTTCACTGTTTACTTTAGGGAAACATATTTGTCTTGTTCTCATATATACTATTACTAATAAAAGTTATTAAAATATCAACCACAAGGGTAGAAAAATAAAAGGACAACGTAAGTATACGCTTGAGAAAAACACATACAGATAATTTTTGTATTCTGTATTTACTTGAATATGATATGCAGTTTCCATTTTCTCAGCATACCATCAGTTTCACTCCTGGCATGGCACTTAATGGAATACTACTTCTGAAACCAAAACTATGACAAATCATCTGCTCACGATCTCACAACGAGACGGAGACAATCTTTGAAAATCCAAGCTTGATCACCTCTGCAACCAAACCCACATGCTGGATTTGAGGGCCCTGATCTGGCTAGTTCCACACGCTGTACCTACCTCCTTGCTACCTTCGTTAATTCTTCGTGTTATTATTTCACATGTCAATCTCTCCATGAGATTATTCATTTAAGCACAGGGATAATAATATTTTATCGCATCTTTACAAGCGTCTTACCTATTCTTCACTTCATACACAGTGCCAGGCTGTGCACAATGCATGCTTGATATGTCTGTTCATACCAAGTAAATTAACCAACCACTAGTGCTGTTTAGGAATCCCAGGCTGACCTGCAGAGTGAGCTGCCTATTGCTGGACGCATCCAGACAGGAGGTACAAGTCAGATCTCTGTATGTTCAGGTTAAAACGATAGAAATAAATAGACATACCCACAACTTTGAAACCTGGACAGAGTTAAAGGGGACCAAAGACAGGAAGGTTTCTTGGTTTTGTATAAATATGTCGATTCACACATGCGTTTCTGAAAATCTTTATGGTTCTCCCCCCAGCTTGGACACTGGCCACTGTAAATAATGCTAGAAGGTTCTGGTGCCTTCATGGCAAGATTACAGGGGATAGGAATCACATTTATCAAATATGTGAAGGACTGTCACTGGAAGAAGGACATTAGTGATCTGAGAAAATCCCCAGGGCAGGACTAAGGTCAATGTGTTGAAGATAAAGGGGTATAGGTTTCATTTAGGAGGTGCTCTCGTGTCATAATCTCACCCAAAATGGCCCAGAGCCCCCTGCAGTGTTCAGCTGGAGCCTGGGAGAGTAAGTGGGCTTAAAAAGGAAGCACAGCTAGGCGAGTTGTTGGGGTAGGTCTGCTCTAGTGTTTTGCAGAGCTAATATTATATGCCTCAAGGTGCTTTCAACAACTTCATTCCTCTGTAGAAATAACCCTTTTCCAATATAATAAAGCCTTCCTACTTAGGTTAAAAGCAGAAGCATGGTGGGGTATAGACTTTGAATGTTAGGTCTGGTGTTTACATTTCAGCTTTGGCTGCTTACTAGCTGTGTGACCCCTGAGCCTCATGTTCTCATCTGTGAAACCAAAATAATAATATCTTCTCATACAATCATTAACAAAAAAAGAGAATGTACCTATTATAGTACTTGGCAAAGAGGTGGGATTTGCAAGATGGTAATTATTGTCATCAAGGAGAAACCCTTAATTAGGTACCGGAGGTCCTAAACACTTTTTATTTTTTATTTATTTATTTTTTTGAGACGGAGTCTCACTGCAGGCTGGAGTGCAGTGGCGCGATCTCAGCTCACTGCAGCTCCACCTCCCGGGTCCACACCATTCTCCTGCCTCAGACTCCCGAGTAGCTGGGACTACAGGCACCCACCACCACAACTGGCTAATTTTTTGTATTTTTAGTGGAGACGGGGTTTCACCGTGTTAGCCAGGATGGTCTCGATCTCCTGACCTCATGATCCACCCTCCTCGGCCTCCCAAACTGCTGGATTACAGGTGTGAGCCACCGTGCCCGGCCAACACTTCTTTTATAACCCCATGAATTACTATTTTAATAGACAGCACAGTCCAGGACAACCCCTGGGATGAGGGGTTGCATAGAGGCATTGAGCAGTACCAAAGAGGAGGAAGCAATGAAGAGCAGGAGCCGTTACAAATCGGGAATTACAAAATGGGAATTTTCAGCATACAAAGCCGTTATAAATACGTATCTGCTTACTTTGATGAAACAAGTCAAGAGGCTTCCATCCAAACAGAAAATATTCCAGAGATGCGAGTCAAACACATCAGCAGCATTGCCCATCTTAGAGAGAATACGGTTTTGAAAGTGAGCTCTCAATTTTACTGAGAGTGATGGAGAAGGTAATCCAGAAGTCTATACCATGCAGGGTTTTAATTGTTCATCATCAATACAATCTCAAGGAAGGACTTTCCATTTCTGGCCCAGGAAAGAGGCTGTTGGCCATTTATAAAAGGTTACACGCACCAGAGGTCTGCAATTTCGGAAAAGCTTAGAGAAAGAAATGAGTACTACTGCTAGAGGAAAAGTCAGTACAATCTCTGGCATCAGCACTTAAGCATCATCCTTTTAACTGTAAACACCTATAAAGCTGTCAGTATCTTATAATGAATAGCAAAATAATACATGCTATCAGCAAACAAGTGGGGGTGTTTTTAAACTTGGATCTGCACACCATGCAGGAGAGACTGCTATCAACGGAGTGCCTCTGCCAGATGTTTTTCTTTTAATGTCAATAGGAGCTACTGTCAACAACCAATAAGGGGAAAACTGAAGTTATTGATGAACTCAAGCGCCCTGCTAATGGACACGGTGAATAGCAAAATAAAAGCAACAAAAAGAAAGCAAAAGTTTTCTATTTTTCATTGCAATACCAAGGATGACTTAAAAACAGCTAGACGTGAGTCGGGCCAAAATGCCCACTGAAACTCTTCCCTTAGAAAAGTGTAACACAACCCTTTAATGGTGTTGGAAGAGCAATGATTAATTACAGTGATTTCATATTTTATTTATGTAGCATTTTAAAATGATACAATTACAGAGAACAGATTAGCAGTTGCCAGGGGTTGTTCAGGAGGTGGGGAGGAAGAAGGTGGCTGTGGCTATAAAGGACAGTATGAGAGATCCTTGTGTCTGGTACCTTGACTGCAGTTAGTGGTCACACGAAGTTACAGGTGACAATGTCACATGGAGACACACACACACACACACACACATACACTCAAGAGTGTCTGCAAAACTCATAAAATCTGTATAATGTTGACAGATTGAATCAATGTCAGCAACCGGGTCATAATATTACAGGTAAGTATCCCTTATCCAAAAAGCTTGAGCTCAGAAGTGTCAGTTTTTTCAGATTTTGGAATATTTGCATTATACTTACTTGTTGAGTATTCCTAATCAGAAAATCTGAAGTCTGGAATCTGAAATGTTCTAATGAGCATTTTCCTTTGAATGTCATGTTGGTGTTCAAAAGTGTTGAATTTGAGGCCATTTTGGATTTCTGGATTAGAGGTGTTCAACCTGTATACTCTAGTCATGAAAGATGTCACACTGGGGGGAACTGGGTGAAGAATGTGAGAGACCTTGCTATATCATTTCTTACAACTGAACGTGAATTTAAAATTATCTCAAAAAGTTAAAAAAATGTTTTTAAAATGGAAAACTCTGTAAAACCTTAGCCTCTGGGGACTGCAAAAGGTCTTTTTGTGGGACACATTTTTAGGGCACAGATGGGCTAGCCTAATGTGAGCATTCAACTTAATGCAGAGATGTTACAGTTCAGTCTCATTACCGAATTTCTAAAAGGAAGGATCTGAATGGTAGGCAAGTGACTCATCTTAGCAATTTATACCTGTGGCTTTGATTCTTGGATCTGAAGGGCACAGACGTTTCGTGCGCTATCATCACAACCACAGGCAAACTACTCACAGTCTGCAGAGCAGTTTCAAAACCACAGGCTTAGCACCATGCAGCACATCTAACGTGCAGATCAAAGTGTTACGGAAGTAAATCAGTGCCATATTAAAGGGACTTGGGCACTGCAGTGTTACCATTTAGTCATTTAGTTTCTTATTTTGATAGTTACTGTGTAGGTATGTGGGGGAAATGCTGCTGTGTGGGTAGTAAGATTAGTCAGCAGTTAGGGACCGCCTGTGCTAGTTGCAGTTCTGACAGATGCATTTGAGATAAAGAATCTTTAAAATGAAAACTGATACACTCTGCCCATGGAATCCAGGACTGTATCAAGAGAGCTCCATTTATGATGAATATGGAAAGGCACTGTATAATACATCACTGTTTTATTCTCAAAGAGGCCCATGGCAAATTTTTGTGAGAATGCCTAACACAGTGTACGAGGGTGGGGAGGAAAAAAAATGCACTGAGAATATGCAGAAGTTTTCTCTTCTTACCAATTTCTTGGATTTATAAGAAAAAACTGGCTAAGAAAAAAACTCATTATAATTCTGTTTCATATAAATTCTCCAAGTTATTCAACTTTCATTTCAGCATAGATAGGTGGGAGGGCTACGGAAAGGCAAGTCCCCTTGATTCCCTACTTCAGTCAAGGTCCCAAAGAGGCCTTCGTTCTGATTAATTATTGGTGATCAGGTACGGTATTCACAAAACCCTTGCAGAAGCTTTTACATTATTTTAAAAACACATCTAAATGAATAAAGGCATTTGATTTTCTCATTTTATTCATAATGATTATTTCCAAATACAATTATATTCTGCTTTCTGTAACTATTTACAGAATTTTCTGTATCCTTTGTCATTAAGAAAACTTTATATCAGTGATGTCTTTTCATCAACCTCTTCACTGTCTTGAGTAGCAAGCATATACCTCTGCTCTAGATTCTCCTTCCTTCTCTGGTCCCTAGAAGATATCCTGCCACATTTTTGTTTAAAAAAATAGCATGCATGTGTATATATACATATATATGTATATATACAATGTAAAATTACATATGTGTGCATGTATGTGTATGTGTATAGTGTACATACTCAAACAGACATACATACACTTCAAATGAAAGAATGATCTCCACACAAAAGGGCTTCAGTAAGGATCATACAACATGAGTTCGTTAAAACACAACCCTAAGCTATCTAATCCTAAAGTGGAAAATTTTAAATGAGAAGAGAAAGTTTCTTCCTAATCATAATAACAAGGCAACAGGCCTTGAGGGAGAAATCTCAAGTTGACTCCAGTACATTACTCTTCAAGACAAGAAGGTTGCCAGAGGAAATCAGAGTTTGAGATTTCAGATGGTGCCAGTAAACACTACTTAAACCCACTGTCTTACCTTTAATTAGTGGATAACCTAACACACACATCCACAGATGGAAAACCTGTGCAATGATGGGAGTTCCCTAGACCCAAATTTCAAGTAGCAAGAGGACTGCTAGTTGATGGCTGCTTTGATCTTCTTAAGGAGACTAACATCCTGCTTCTGTAGAAAACTGTCTTCTTATTTGGATTTGTATTCTGAGCACCAAAAACACTGAATCTGGTTCACGGGAAGAGCTTAGTAAGTGTTTGTAAAATAAACATACACTGCTGGGACAAAACAGGAACAGCTATTGTGGTCAGAGAATACTATAGATATAGTAGTCTTCAATTAACCACGGTGTTATTTATGAGAATGAAAGTGCTAATTCATTCCTTTGAAACATTAAAAAAAAAAAAAGAAAGAAAGTAAATTCAACTGGGCATACCGTAGTGACTGCCGTGATTTGCTCCAGTGCCATCTCGTGCAGATGCTCATCTCGGCTCTCGAGGAGAAGTTTCAGAGATGGAAGCAGGAGGGACTGGTTAAGCAGCAGCAGACACAGCTCCTTCACACCCTGAAACCACAGAGCAGGGGTGAGCGAGAACTCCACGACGTACTTCTCACCGGCACGGTTCTGGCTGGATCATTCCACCCCTTTTTCTGTGGTAGCGTGTGTGTGTGTGTGTAAAGCCACATATGGTACCGCACTGGATATACTGAATATGGGCGTTGGTACCTGCTTCACTTGGTTCACAGTAAACTGTGTACAGATTTCCAAGCTATCAGATATTCATCGACAATATTGCTTTTTAATGGCTTTGTAATGCTCATTGTACAGATATAGTGGTATAATTTATTTTCCTAAACTCTCACAGCCCTAATTTCCTCATAAGTAAAATGTATGTATTTATAGCTCCTTTGCAGGTTTTGTGTTTTGTGTGTGTGTGTGTGTGAGAGAGAGAGAGTTTGTATTGATGAACGCAGCATACAACGCTCAGCATATAGTGGAGGCTGAATTATAATAAAAAGTATTATCAATTGCTAATATTGTTAACAACCTCTAGTTGTCATTCACTGAAACAAAGGAAATCAGCAAATAAAATATTTTAAAATGTATCTATCATTTTAATGTCAAAATGAATTGACTCCTTAATATACTTAAGACAGTCTATCTTCACGAAAACTATCTGTGTTGCAGAAAAATGAAAATGTGTTTGGATCCCCACAGGTGTATCTGAATTTTATTCTCAGCCCTGTATTTTACCAACTGAACCTGTGGTCACAGAGCAGGCTTTCGTATAAGGTAACAAATGATAATCCTTTACAACAAAAGCATAAAACAATAAGAATAAGATTTGCAATCTGTTTTGCCCTGCTGAGCTGTGTTGCCATTTAGGTCCTGACTTTAGCTGTAACATAAAGAAGAGAACACTTTGGACCAAAAACCAGACGATGAATGACTCCATTACACTAAAGCAAGGGTTGCTCTAAAGAACTGATGATCATTGCTATCCACGGGATTGATTTTTCTCTCGTGCCATTCAGACAGCAGATCGGAGAAGAAAAACTCAAATTTACTATATTTTCAAAATTGCTTTACATTATTATAGAGCATCAATAAAATAAGAATGACACAAGTAAGCTCGCATTTAAACTCAGGATAAAGTTCTCTTGGGAATTCTGCACATTATAGTTTTAGCTTTCACCCAGCATGTCTGCTCTTGAAATCTGCAAGGCCCTCACGTTTCAGAGTAGAAGGCTGTGCTACACAAACCTGTGTGACAATGATCAATACCAGCAGGGTAGCAGTTTGTAAAACACATTCCTCATACATCGGGAATTCTAATTCAAAAAAGTACGGTGTATGCCTGAAAGAACACGTGACACAGAGCAGTCTCACCAAGCATCTGGGGCAAAGAAACAGGCAGACTTTTCATCCGGGATGCCGAAACCTGCAGAAGATTATTTGGGAGCATGAAACAAGCTCCTGAGCATGGCACTCTGGCCTGGCTGGCCGCATCCTGTGGCCTCTTCCTCCTCCTCTCGGGTCATGGCAGTGCTCCCCACCTAAGCATTCCACACAAAGTGATGTGCGGGGCCCCTTCTGACACAACACACACATTCTGTATCTGCACTGCCCAATACCGCAGCCACAAGGCACAAGCTACATTTGAGGTGGGGCTAGTGCAACCGAGGAACTGCATTTTTAATTTTACTTAAAGGGTTTAATAAGCCACATGGGGCCAGCGGCTACCATATTAGGCAGTATGGCTGCTGGGTGCTGGACTCTCACACCTCCAGGTGTTTGCACATAGTGTAACTTTTGCTCTTTCTCTGTCTGATTAACCGTCTACTTGCTCTTTAAGTCTCAGTTTAAAAATGCACAGAAAAACTATACTTCCTCCGCAAAAGCACCCTTAAATGTCCCAGGTTAGCACTCAATGTTCTAAATGTACTGTATAAATATTTCCCACCTTATCTTTTATCTTGTATTATGGTAGTCATTCATCGGTCTACCTGCCTTGCTTTTGGGCAAGAATATTGTTCCTTCTCTGTATTCTAAACTTGCTTGGTACATGCCATACCTAAAACTCCTTGTATATAATTCCCTCTCTGAACACACATTTGCTCACTCAAAAAGTTATCAGTGATGAGTAAACATGCATTTTCAAGGATTTATGATATTTAGACATAGCATGACACTTGGCTGACCTTGGCTTTCATGACAAATTTTATGGAATAACCTGTGTGTCCCTCTGAGCAAGCATAATGGATAGATGGCACACAGAGAGGCAAGGATATCCAAGAAGGGAGGAACCCACTTTAGGTGAGCCACTGACTACTTTTCATCTCTTAGCTACCAGTGATTGGCCAAATACTTACTCTATCTTTAAGTGCTAAATCCTCTACTATGTTTGTTTGCTACTTTCCCCCTGTGTTGCAAGAGAACGTTTATTAAGAGATTTACAAAGGGATTTGGGGAACTGCAAGAAAGGTCGAAGCAGCAGAGAAAAGCCACAAAACACGTCATTTGACAGGCCTTCGCAGTTCAAACCTGTCAGACCATGAGGACAGAACGAACAAGAGATGCCTTGGATGGAGAGGACTAGGTGGGCCCAGGCTTAGAGCCAGGCCACAGACCTGGATGTTTCTTTTCCCAGTGGACTATGATTTATGAGATGCACTGGGGCACTGTTCCCATTGTCTGACAGTCATGAGAGAAGCAGGACCAGTTCACAAATATGCCTTCTGTCCTCACACAACTCTCCTACTGTCCCTGGAGTATCTAGCATCAAAAGGTGTTGCAGGGCCTACAGCAGGAACTAGGGGCACAAGGTATGCAGGGATTGGTGATGCAGAGACCGAGGGGCTTATCACATGCCCCAGGCATTGCATGGGGGCTGCAAGGCAGCTTGCAGTCCTTGCCCTCCAGCAGGCCTAGAATGGGCTGAGCTCCCATTGCTGTTGCCTGGATGTCCAGAAGCCCCTGGCACTGCTGGTTCTGCAGCCCCAGGTTGATCACAATCTTGGCCAGCTGGGCCTCCACACTGGCCACCAGGCACTGTACCTGGGCCAACTGGGCACTGCAGCGGCTTTGGTTTTGTGTTCTCCAGAGCCTCTCAGGTTGTGCTGGGCCTGCTGCTCGACCTCCAGGGCACTAGCCGTGCCTCTTGGACTGTGATCTCTACCAGCAAGGCAGCTGCTCTGAGCTGAACATCAAGTGTTTGTTATATACTTTGCTTTGAAATGCATCATCTCATTTAATTTCTCCTCAAATCCTTTGAGAAAGGTGTGATCTCAGCCCTACTAATCAGATGGGGAAAGCAGAGGTAAAATGGTTAAATAACTTGAGTGTTATTGCATAACTTGACTGATTCTAAAAATCAAGCTCTTGACATTAGCAAAAGTGGCTCAACCCTGATAGAGAACAATCACATTGACTTTTAGAAGCTGGGAATTATTAAGGCTCACTCATGAGCTGGGTGACTTAATCCCATACAATAGACCCCAAGCATCGGTGACTAACCCATGTTTCGTCTCAGCGAAATCCTGGACCTTCAGGGTCAGTCACAAATAGCGGGACCTCGGAATTTTACATCTATAAATGCCAACAAACTGTTTATGCCAATTTCTTATTCTACCTATTCCCAAGTCTTGAGAGGGCTTTATATACTGCCATGGATACAAGCTGAGAAGGATACATAACTTTTGAGACTGTGGTACACAGGACCTGTGAGAAAGTCACTCATCCTGCTGGTAATATTTTCCATCAGGAAAACCATCATGGCCATAAGTAAGCAAGTCCCAGGAGCAACAGCAGGAGTCACGAAGGCATTCTGAGGAGTCGTGAATTTTTTTAAAAGTCTGTAAGCATGGGAGCTTAGTGAAAAACGGGAAATGGAGATGAAGAAAAAGGTGAGTACTCTTAAGTACTCTGACATAAACAATTAGGCACACACGTTTCCTAAATCATGGAGTACGACAACCAAAGGTATTGAATTTAGGAAAAAAAAAATCATAAGTAACAGATAATTTTACCACCACAGTGATATAAAACATTGTAGAACTCTGAAATTAAACTCGTCAACTTCCAAGTGTAGTAAAATAAACTTAAAAAGATACTGCCACTTTTTAATAGTAATGTTCCTTCCTCTGTAACACTTTCAATTCACATTTGAGCACATTTAGCCATCAGTAAAAACAGTACATACCATTTGCAAATAGCCTCTAATCACAGCAGCCTCAGGAAAACATAATCTATAAATGTGCCCAATTGAGAGACAGAAACTGAGGCAGCTTAAGGAAAACGATGGAAAGTCACGGTGACAACAGAACTCTTTGAATAATTATCTTTTGTTTCATCAAATTAAAGAAACATGATAACGACCTACTTTGCAACGGGATTTAACCCAGTACCTTGTCTCTCATCCCGAGAGAATTACACATTTATGAAAGGTAGTGAATTATGTGCTATGGATGAAGCAGTACACATACAGCCTCAGCTCATTCTCCTTAGAGAATAGACAGAACTAGCATTTTCTCATCCAGCTTAACCTCTTCTTTCACAGACCAGAAAACAAAGATCCAGAGAGTTTGGGGCTTTTCTCATGTTCACACAGATGTGGCCCATTCTGGAAGAGAAACAGTACAGCTTCGAGCATTACTAGAGTTCTTTCTGTTCTACTATGTATGATGTTCCCTGCCCTTAAGGTGCTCCTAGTCTTAATAAAGAGCAGACGCAGTACATCCCTTCCCATGGAGTGTGTGAGGAGTGCTCTAACCGATGTGTGCTTTAGGTGCTGTGCTATCTTTTCTGACCTCTTAAAAAACACTTAGCAATCACTGACCAGATGATTCTGAGATCAAATGAGACCCCTGCAAATAAACTTAATGTATTACTCTATTTGTCAAAGTACCTCCCCCTGGCTGTAGACACTTACTAGGAAGCTGAATCATCACAGCTAAATCAGAACTTTTCATTTAACCACCAAGTCATTTTCCGATAGGAAACAGAAAGCACAGCTTCTTACACATTCATCAGTAAAAAGAACACGCTATTCTTCTATGTATGTAAAATGTAAATGGAATGCTGACGAGAATATTACTGCCATGGACACAGATATGTCTAGGACTTATTCCCAGGCGGCTAAAAGATAGTACATATCAAGTGGTCCCTATAGGTCGTTTTGGCCCCAGGGACTGGTTTTGTGGATGAAAATTATTCCATGGACTATGGAATAGTCCACCCCATGGAGGGGATAGTTTTGGGATGATTCAAGCACATTAGATTTATTGGGCACTTTATTTCTATTAGTATTACACTGTAATATCTAATGAAATAATTATACAACTCACCATAATATAGAATCAGTGGGAACCCTGAGCTTGTTTTCCTGCAACTAGATGGTCCCACCGAGGGGCGATGGGCTACAGTGACGCATCATCATAAGGAATAAGGAGTGCACAACCCAGATCCCTCGCATGTGTAGTTCACAATAGAGCTTGTGCTCCTATAAGAATCTTGTGCCACCACTGATACGACAGGAGGTGGAACTGAGACAGTAATGTAAATGATGGGAGCAGCTGTAAATACAGATGAAGCTTCACTCATCGCCAGCCACTCACCTCCTGCAGTGCAGTCTGGTACCTGACAGGCCATGGACTGATAGCAGTCCTCGGCCTGGGGTTTGGGGAAGCCTGATACACATAACTGTTACTGAGCCTTGATTAGCTAGCTGGTGAGATGATGTCAGGGTCAAGGATGCAGTGGCCATGTCATAGCCAACTTACATTCCTTGCCTTGCAAAAGTTACAGTAAAACCAAACCGATAAGAGTATTTTAAAGAACAAATAAACTTCTTCAGACAATGACAGAGATCCTAACAACCTTATATCTTAAATACTGATCATCTAGATGCTAAATTCTATAGGCCATTCTTGAAGGAAGTATTGAAAAAGGAAAACTGACAGTAACATTTATACAATTGTATGAGAGACATTCAATATTCATGTATCTCCCAAAGGTAGTAGGAATGGCTCCTCTGGAAGGATTCCTTTCTCAAGCTTTCAAGCACAGAGACTTGATTTGAAGATCAGACCCACCATTCACTGCCTGAAGAAGCAGGAGCAAGACCATTGACCTCAAACCCTCCAATCCATCAGCTGTCAAGTGGAGATAAATGAATCTCCTTACAGAAGGTGGTGAAGGTTAAAGGAGGCAATATAGATGAAAGCCCAAGAGTGTTAGCAAATGTTGGTTATCACCATTACCACCTCCTGTTAGGCAGTAACAGGAGACCTTAAACAATGCTTTCCTAACCTAGATTCGACAGAACTGACAGCAGAACACTGCTGGTCTTTGGTCCTGATCTAATAATGCTTGATCTTAGCTTATATTCAAGCAAAGGTGAATCTCATGTTATTTACATGTTGCTTACTTTGGTGGGGATAATGAAGTGCACTGAGTCCCCATACTACACAGTGGGCTGAATCCTGCCCTGGGTATCACAGACATGATATAGCCATGGTTCCCCCTCTCCAGGAGCCCACAATATAGCAGAGCAGATCACGGGTTCATAAGTGGCTGATACAAGCAGACCTTGGTCCACAGCCCAAATCACACTTTACTAGAGTAAGGGGAGGTAATTTTTGGTGCTGGTACTTTATTTTGTAGAATAATTGTGTCATTCTGGTAGTTGGAAGACTTCTTTAAATGGATAAAATATTTCAAAAATCAATAAAAAAAATCCAAGCCCTCATTCAGAAAACAATTCATTAAATGTGCATTCATGAGAATATTTTCCTTGAGTGATTACAATAAGGATTTAAAGGATCATATTTACAAATTTATTTTCAAGTTTATCTCCTACATAGTAGGAATGCAAAATCAATTTAATGCCATTATCCAAATGCTTAAATTTAAGACATGTAAATTATTCAAATAATATACCGCTGAGGTGGGATCCACAGCAGGGAGCTGAAATTAATATGTGCTTACTTTAGAATGTTCTCCCTCTTTCTCTCCATACATACATATATATATACACACACACACACACACACACACATATGTGTATGTATGTGTGTATATATATATATACACTTATGTATGTGTGTCTGTGTGTGTGTATATATATGCATATATATATAAAATATATATGTATATAATAAATGTCTCTGTGACAGTCAAAATGGCATCAAATAGAGAACAAAGGTCAAAAAGGAGGTGCCTGAGTTTTGACCATACTTCGCAGAGAAAGAATATTGTGATTATGCAATCTCGTTACAATGATGTCAAAAAGCATGTAAAATTCAAAGTGGTTGGTTATCTGCTGAGAAGAGTGCTAAAGTTTACTATTACTTTACCAACTGGCCTAGTTCAGACAGATAATGCCTGAGCTACCATGGCCACTTGGAACATAAACTTGAGTTTGACAAAAAAGGGCATCCAGAAGAAACTGAAAACTGGGTTATATTCTGGAACTTGTACAGGAAACGCTGGCCCCCACAAAAAGAAAGCAGCCTCAAAGCATCCTTTCAGCACTGCTTTTCTTCATCTGATCCATCAGAAATTATGGCCTTTACCAGTAATTACTTAAGCTAAATGTTCCTCAAATCCAGTCTCTGGGATTGCTTACAATAAAGAGTTCTGATAAGCAAAGGCCACTCCTTAGGAAAGCACTCAAAATATCCACTCACCTCTGCAGGCAGCATCTGCTTGGTGTTATACAAAGAGCGACACATTTTCAAAACTTCATTCCCCAATCCTTCCTTGTTCTCCATCGTACATCTGGTTAGCATCACTGTAGCTAGTCTCACCCATGGATTATTGGTTATGCTGGTGTTTATGGAGAAAAATACAAGGCACTGGAAATGACTAAAGTTATCATAATTGTGATAAATTTTAAAACAAGTGAAATGCTTACGGTAAATTACAATCAGAATCTAGGTGACGTGCTGCTTCAAGTCAACCTTGTAGAAAAGATAACACCTTAAGGAGAAAAAGCAGCTTCCTGTGGTATCAGCAAGCAGCCCAGCAGCACGGAGGTAGTAAGTGCATTGAAACAGCACAGGCTTTGTGAAGCCAGACAGACTCGGGCCCAAATTCTGACTATTTGGGTCCTCAGAGAAGTTATTTAATACTTTTGCCTAGTTGTATGGTTCTGGGGAAGTCACACCCTTCTGGGCCTCAGTTTTTTTCACTGTGAAAAGGTATTTAATGACTTTTTTTTCCTTGAAGAGTTGCCTTAATGAATGATGTATGTAATTGTGAAGAATCAGTGTTAATAGCAATCACACATTACTATTTACTACATAAATACTGCCTCTTGTTGATATTATTACTATTATTATCATTGTTATTGTTATTGTAATGGGGTCAGGGCAGGACTAAGTTACAATCAGGGTATTGCATAGCAGAGGTCAGCTGGGGAGCATAGGTTGAGGAAGCCACAGACAAGCAGTATGAAGATCATACTTTGGGCTTCACGTTGTTTCCTTGTATTGGAAACATAAAAGCATAAAAAAGTTTGCCGTTTCTTTCCCTTGTCTTGACTGACACTACCCTGTGTTTCATAGAAACATCAAAATTTCCATTTCTATTGACAAGTTAATGGTAAATTCATTTCATGGCCCAGGAGCAGGGTACTGATTTTACTTACATTAAGAAAAAATTACTATTTATGAAGAGTCTGTTGGTTCATTAGCACAGCACTACATTCTAGACATTGAACAACCAGGGATGGTCTTGCCCTTGAAAGAATTTTATTCCTTGGGCCCTGAAAAGAATTTCAAGTGCAACAGTAACAAGGGGACGAGCCCTTGGCAAAGCCTTTGTGTCTCAGCTCAAACTGACAATCTGTGCGAACAAAGAACACTGCTTACTTCAAGGTACACACAGTTCTGTGAGAGTGTCTGGTGTGCTGAGGAGTCTTCCTACACTCAAGGACTTCCCCTCTTTTCTCCTCTTGCAAAGTCTGAACTCAGCTCTCCTGGGTTTTTCTCTACAGTTTTTCTCATTGTAGGAGAAATGCTGCTTGGCCAGCATGGTGAACCAATGGGCAACGAGGCTTTGGTAACAAATTATCAAGATATGTTTTTCACCAGCCAGCAGTGATACACTGGATGAAAACAATGAATCTTCCTTAAGTACAAACTCAGTATTTTTCCATGCATTTTCCTACAAGGAACTAAAGCTAAAAAACCAAAGTTGGTACTAGTAAATTATAGTCATGTGGATCAAACAAATGTCTTAAGTTGTAACCTTTTTGTGTTGATGGGCAACATACCATCATTGTCACACTATCCTCCCTCTCTTCCACCCCCACTCCTTTTTTGGTGATTTATTTATTCAATTGGATTGTCTAAAAGGAAAAAATATTCAAAAGTACTTCTGAGCACCTGTTTGTAAAGTATCCCATCACACATTCTCCAGAATATTTGATTTATGCCCTGGTTATCTCTTAGGCAGAGGAGACATGAATGATAGGAGGGGAGGGGGTGAGCAGACTGGGAAATGCTTTGTTCTGATTCTAATGATTTAATAAAGCAGTTTTATAAGACTCAGGTTAGTAATTTACAAATTCCATTTCATATGTGGCTACAAAAGAATACAACTTTAAAAATTAAGATTTTTGGGTTTACAAATGCACTAAATGTTTTAAATGCAATAAATGTTTTAAGTAAAGCTGATTTTGGTTCTTGAGAATAAGTGAATGATTTTAAATGGTCAGTGTTCTAAAAGTAAAAGAAACTGTAAACTAAAGTTAATCTCTTAGAGGTGTCATATTTTGAATTGGGAAATGAGGGTTAAGAAGAAATCTACAATTCAACTCTAATAATTAATTTCCTTACAAAAGTATGGCATTAGTGGCAATCTGATCAGTGGGCTCCACACCTGTCTCACATAGTCTCACCCAGGAGTGTGTTCAGAACAGATTCCCAGGTCCCAGTATGGAGAGATGGACTCCACAAGTTGAGCACAGGACCCAGGACCCTGCTTTGAACAAGCACCCCAGGCTCCGAAGGCACCCACACCAAGATCACTGGTGGCAAACACAAGTGCACTGTGAACTAAAGGTGTTATGATGTGAGAGCCTGCACTGTGGATTTCAAATAGTGAAGGTAAAAACCTGTTCTTAAAAACAAGTCAGCATGCCATCGCTGCCACAAAGGTAGAGATCTAAGAAACATTTCTTTTCTTTCTGAAAACACTTGGTTAAAAAAATACCACAAAGTGAAAGCACCATTCTCCTTGGTTTGCTTTGGAAATTACTAACAGTCTCATGGAATCTTTTCCAGATATTTGTTGGCAGTCCTAACTGCTCACAGGATATAGGACTTTATTTTCAGAAAAGCATCCTTCTTTAACCTCAGACACGTGGAGATGTTCACTGGCCTGTGGGGGCAGTATGTCAGCTGAGCATGGGGAGAGCAAGATCAGTCCTGAGCCAAACAGGCACTTGCGACAAGGGCATTGGTGCTCATATCATTTGCCAATGAGAAGCCACAGCTCATGAGACCCAGTCCATGAGCTCAGAGGAAATCTGACCACTTCTTCCAAAGGAAAGGGGTATGTTCCATGGCTGATACCACCAGGACTGGATAAGTACCCCACGCAGCTACGGGTGGCAGCTGCAACTCAGTGTGACAGAGGAAACAACAGGGGCTGTGAAGGTAGCCAGCAGTTGGTTAGAATTCTGTCTCCTCCACTTATTAGCCGTGTGAAGCCTGAAGTTGTTTAACTCCTGAGCCTCAATTCCTTCATGTATAAAATCAGATAACATCACCTTCCCTTGTAGGTGTGTTGTGTGAGTGACTGATAATATATGTAAATTGCACATAACATTGTGTTCTCAATAAGTAGAAATTATTCATTTATTCCATTTGGATTCTCAAGTTGGCACTGTAAGCCGTGTCAAGACAGTCAAGAAATTTCCTGGTGAAAATACTGAAACTACATTGTTTTTGTTGACATCATAAATCAGATATTATCAAGCATTGTCTGATACTTTTGAATAAAATATTAGAGTTTAGGGGCAAGGAGAAACGGAAAGACATTGCAATATTTCAAAAACAATTTTAAATTCCTCTAAAGGCAAATACTGACTACGCACACACATATAATTATTCTTTCATTGGCTCTTTGGAAGGTGCTACATTTTTAGGGCTAAAGTCCAAACAAAAGAACTCTAATTACGCTAATTTTATGTTAATACTTACACATATTCACTTTTCATAGGTGGCCAAGCTTGCAAAAGTAAAACCAAGTGCTGAAATTCAGCCTCGTGGTGACTAGATTCCAGGAGTTCCATGAATAGACAGTAGCGGTTCTCTTCATTCTCAATGTCAGCTATGTCTACCTGGAAGAAGAAATACACACTTAAAGCTGGTGGCAAAGGCTACTGAATTGGTTTATAGAATAATTCTACTTTATTTTAATTAAACTTTTTTTTAAAATGTTTTACAATGTGTTAAGATTCAACATCAGAAAAACAACCACCTCAAAAGCTCTAAGCCTTACTCAATGTCAGATTATGTTAAAATTGTTTAGAACTACAATCAGAGGAAGGTTCTAATTAACTTTAACAAAGTAAATTCAAACAAGCAGACTTCCACAGAACTGGCTTGTTGGCATTTAATACACGTTAAGAGACTGAATTGCTTTATTTGAAATTGTAATATTTCACCATCCTCAACATTAGGTGAATTTTTTAAAGTTTAAGTTATCCCAACATGAAATCCTAATTTTCATTAGAAATGAAATCCTAATCTTCATGTTGTCTAGAAAATGTCTCTAATGTGAAATGATTTTACTAAAGTGTATCTGTCATAGAACTTTTTTGCTATAAATCAAAATAGAATAAAATATCCTTTATTTATACCTCCATTTCGAATGAAAAAGTAGTCTCTGCCAAATACAAAACACCCATTTTTCCTTTCATTGAATAACTAAACGATTTTTCTTTTACATTGAGGCAGTCCTAAAACAAATCACATCTCCAATGTCTCTGTGGATGAAAATGTATGCTATTTTAGGTTAAAAAACAGTTTTAAGCATAAAAATAAGCCAAAGTCTGGTTCTCTCATTTTCTAGCCTCAGCATAGATTGTTTATATTTAGGTACACAGACATTCATGATGATGAGTTCATAATGATTTGGGTACAGACATTCAGATGATGATACCTTGAAAGGATAATGAGAATGAATGGTTACCTGTATACATGCTACATTGTCTGCACTAATGCATATTTCCAAAACATTTACTTTAATGGTCATTCTGGCTCTGATCCCAAGAAGCCATCCGAAAAAGTCACACCATGAATTCTGCATTTTACAAAAGTTGCTATGTACTATGAAATTATCACTAATTGCTATGGGAAGCCTTGTTCACACAGTGACCCACCAGATCCTTCAAAACCTGCCTTAAAAGCCCATGTCGTTCTTCTATGGAATAATAGCCCACAGCCATTTTGTAGCTTTTTTGAAATAATTTCACAATACAGTCAGTCAGTTTACCCTTACAGCAGTTTTGTGTGGAGGACAGCACAGGTATTAGTAATCTCACTTTACAGATGAGGAAACAGGCCAACCATCCCGGTGGCACGACTAGCAAGTGACAGAGCCAAAATATCACTATAATCAGATCAGGATGTTCTGAAACTAGAAGATTCAATAAGCTACATAAGCTTTTGATAATAGAGTTGGACCTTGAGTTGGGAGTTTGGCAATGTTGCCTTGCCTATTTATAAAGAAACTTAAAAAACCAAAAACAAAAACTCAAGACATCCATCCATCCGTAATTCTCCGACCTCACCACCTTCAACCTGTCTCCAGCCTCAGGGTCCCTTTGAGGTCCCTTGCATACGTAAAATCATGCACACTCCCATCTCAGGCATTCTGATCTGTTTCCTCTGCCAGATACCCTCTCCACCAGATATCTGAGTGACTCACTCCCTCCTTTCAAGTTTCTCAAATGTCACCTATCAGTCAAGGCCTTGTTCAACTGCCTTACTTACAGGAGCACTGCTCCATACCTGTCCATCTCCTTCACCCTGTTTCATTTTCCTTCTTAGCACTTACAACTATGTGACATGCTATATATTTACTTGTTGCCTTTCTTCTTCCGTAAGAAATGTAAGATTGCCTTTCTTGTTCCATAAGAAATGTTAGCTCCTTGAAAGAAGAGGCTATTTTTTTTTTTTTTTTGTCCACTGGTCTATCTCAACTCCTTAAAATAATACCTGCTATAGAGTATATGCACAGTAAGTACTTATTGAGTGAATTAACTAGTGAATGGACATACATATGAATGAATGAGTGAATGAATGAATTTGTCACTTATAAAATAATTTAGTATAAATTATATTAAATACAAATGGAGTTGCCATAAATTTGTGGCTGGTTTCATTATTAGAGATTAATGTAAGATTTAAAAAGAAAATGATATTGCCAAAAGAAAAATTACTATTAAATTAAAAATCAGGACAAAAGACGGCAGGTTTGCTAACATTACAACTACACAAATGATACTTTGTGACTGTTAAGTGATTTCACTAAGGTCACTCTGGGCATCATATCTGAAAAATGGGTTCCAAAAATGTTGAAATCTCAGAAGTTTTGCTAGCCTTTTCTTCCTGCAGGATAATCTCTGTCTACATGAGAGTTTATATGCAGGAAAGGTTTGTGCTTAAGAAGTATCTAAAATCCATTGTAAGAAGTGTTTCCAATGTTCCTAGCAGTGTCAATATTCCAACTACTATAATTAAATGCAGCATAGTTAGTAACAAGTAGTTTCTCCTTTTTATCAAATGTACACTTTATATGGGTTATTTTCTGTATGTGATGCACTGTATGAATAGGAAGAGATTAACAATAAAAGAATCATGTTTTCAATACCATCTAAATTTATTCCTGAACTTTTCAGAAACTGTAATATACATTTTGAGGAAATAAACTATATCATAAGGGAAGAAAAGAGAACAGAAACTATAAGTTAAACCTTTATATTTGTTTTTATAATAGTGTGCAAATAATAGTTCCCATGTTTAAAATGTATTTGATAAATTATTTTTGTATAGCACCTTTCTCACATGTAGTCTTTTTAAGAGTATGTCTTTGTCAGAAAATGTTTTCTTCTAATGTCCACTAATCATTCCAATTTTTAGTAACTTACTTTTCAGAGCCTTGACCCCCATATTTTAACTAAAAATGTGAAAAATACAGTAACTTACATACTTATCCATTTGTGCATGCTTGCATACTCCATCATATCAAAGCGTTTCAAGTCAAGTTACTCAGCTCTTAAGAATGCAATTTTAAATTTGCTACCACTGTAGCTGCAAGCTTTACCTTCTATGAGAGAAGAAAATTGGCCTAAAAATGGACTTCAGCACATATTTTTAAAACATGATAAAGAAATACTTGGTTTGATAATTGTTATATACCTTCAAATACAACAAGTGCTCATCTAAGATTGTGCCCAAATATTAAAATATCTAAAAAACGAATGTTAATATTATCTTCTTTATTACATCCTTTAAGATTTTTTGCAATAAATTCTGGTGAATTTTGAATTTTTGAGAAGAAAATGGGCCTAAAATTAGACTTGAGCATATACTTTTAAAACATAATAAAGAATATACTTGGTTGGATAATCATGATATACTTTGATATATAACAAGTGCGAATCCAAGATTTGTGTCCACAAATTCAAAAATTCAAAATGAATTTTTGTGTAAAGAAAAATAAAAGGTAAACTTATGTAAAGGGCTCCCAGTCTGAACAACATGGCTTATCCACTTCTCTCTGCTCCTCTGCAAAGCACAACTATAAACTATAGGAGTCATAAAAGAGACAGTGAAGGGAAAATTCTGAAGAGTGGTAAAAAGAAAGTACACTAGCCTGGAGTTGCAAGCCTAAAGAACATGGTATTCAGATATCTTCTGTCTCTCCAGCCAAAAAAAAAATCAAAATAAAAGAAGCCCACCCAGACCTAGTATTTCCCAATTCTGGACCTAGAAACAGACCAGAGCTCAAGCAGACCCATTTGCAGTCAGAATCCCACAAGAAAAGGAGAAAGAGCGTGAAGCTAAAAGATATTATAAGACATATCTAAAAACTTCCAAAATTTGGTAGAAGACACAAACCCACACATTCAAGAAGCTAAATTATTCCCAAACAGGACAAACACAAAGAAATTCATGCCAAGTTACACCATAATTTGAAACTTGAAAAGTAGGTAGAAAAAGAAAAATTTTGAAAGCAGACAGAACAACGTTACCTATAGGAGAACATTAATGTGAATAATAATGGATTTATTATCCAAAATCATGGAGGCCAGAAGGAAGTGTCGCATTTTTTCAAATGCTGAAAGAAAAGAACGGTTAACTACAAATTCTTTATCTGGCAAAGCTATTCTTCAGGAAAAAAAGAAAATGAAAACATTCTCAGACAAAGACAAATTAAAAGAACCTGCCACTAATAGCCCTCATCTTAAATACTGGCTAAACAAAGTTCTTCTTTCTTAAAGAAAATGATAAAAGAAGGAACTATGAAGTATCAGAAGGAAGAACAAAAAGAGCAAAAATATGGGTAAATACAATAGACTGTTCTTTTCCACATACATGTTCTAAATCATATTTGATGATCAGAACAAAAGTTGTAAACCATATGACATTCAAGACAATAATATTTAAAAGTGGGGAAGGTAAAGGGACTGACCCAAATATGGAGGTGAGATTTCCATATTACATGCCAAGGCTAAGATATCCACTCCTACCACTCTTGTTCAGCACCATACTGAACGATCTAGCCACTACAATAATGCAAGAAAAAGAAATAACAGAGACATAAATTGGAAAGAAAAAATAAAATTCTATCTACAGATAAATTGTCTATATAGAAAATTCAAAGAAATCACACACAATAAAACAAACCCTAAAACTAAGAAACGAGTCAGGAATGTCATAGGATACAAGATCAACATATAAAAATCAATCACATTGTTATATAACAATAAATATGTGAAAACCAAAAATAAACATGTATTATTTATAATAGCTCCAAAGAAAATAAATTATTTACATGTATAGAATCTGCTATGGTTTGAATGTCCCTTCCAAAATTCATGTTGAAATTTAATTGCCACTGTGATAGGATTAAGAGATGAGATATTTAAGAGGTGATTGGGTCACGAGAGTGATGCTCTGAATGGATTAAGGCTCAGCTAGGGCCTGCGTTAGTTTTACTGGGAATGGGTTCCTGATAAAAAGGAAGAGTTCCACCTTGCCCTCTCTTGCTGGGTAAACAAAGTCACTCACAAAGGGTTATATACATACTGTCTGATTCCATTTATGTAATATTTTTGATATGACACTCTGAAATGGGGGAAAGATTAATGGTTGTCAGGGGTTAGGGATGGGGTGGATGTGATTATAAAAGGGATCCTTGTGTTGTTGGAACTATTCAGTATCTTTGTTAGAGTGGGTAGCTAGGCAGACATGAGCAGGGTAGGAGAGGAAACAGACTCCACTCCCTTGACACCAGGAATGTTAGGTGACCATCAGGTGATGGTCAAGTGGTTGTTAAAATGTCTCTCTAAAATAATTGGTTGCAGCAGATATCAGGGAAAGGCAGTCTCCCAATAGACAGAAAACTCCTGAAGCTGGTGATCAGCAGCTTCCTGATTGGATCTCAGGAGTTGGGTGAGTGGGCTCAAGCATGTACACTAAGAGGCAAAATGGTGGAGTTTAACTGGTATATGAACATCCTGTAGGAACACTACACTGGTAAGAAAAGAATGGCTCAAGTGAGCATGCGTACAACTCTAGTAAACACACTGCGCACACAGCCCCTTCCAAGGGCTGGCATGCCATGGAGCATGTGGACAGCTCATGCCAAAGAAAACTCAAAGGAGAGGAGACACAAAACCCCAGAAGCATGCCAATGTGTAAATCCCCAAGTCAAAGGTCAGACAGGGCACTTGAATCTCTCAAGTTGCCTGCTTGGCCTTCTTCCAAATGTACTTTCGTTCCTTTCATTCTTGCTCTAAAACCTGTTAATATACTCTCACTCACACTCAAAAATTTGCCTCGGGCTCTCTCTGCCTTACATCCTTTGGATGAGTTCTTTACTTCAAGAAGGCAAGAACTGAGTTGCTACAAAGCCATATGGATTTGCCATTGCTAACATCTTGACTATGGTGCTGGTTATATGAACCTATACAGGTATAAAACTGCATAGCACTAAATACACACAAAGACACACAAATGAGTACAAGTAAAACTTGAAAATTCTGAATAAAACCAGCAAATTGTATCCATGTCAATATCCCGGTTGGATATTATACTGTAGTTTTGCAAAATGTTACCATTAGGGGAAACTAGGCAAAGTGCACCAGAAATTGCTCTGTATTATTTCTTACAACTGGATATGAATCTATAATTATCTCAATAAAAATCTAAATTTTGAAAAGGAGGATGAAAATGAATGCAATCAGAACAAACTTCACAGAGGAAAATGCTTATACAAACAAAATGCAGAAAACAAACTAAATCATGATGTAAAAATAAAGATGAATAAGCAGAATACAATTTGAGGGGAAAAATCCCTATACATGATGTGACATAATTTGTATAAAGCATGCAGCAGAAAAATGGCTACATATATATTTAATATAATGTTTACACTTGGATGACAGATCTGTTGGTGATTATCACTTCTACCTGCCTTTTGGTACTTTTCTTGGTTTAACATGCATTGTTTTCATAATTGGAGGTTTCTGTTTGTTCGTTTAAAGAAAGAAACATACACAAGAACCACAGGAAATTGGCATGCCTGTTTAACAGATGGGTCTGTATTTGGTGACTTATCCTTCCTTTATTAAACCATAAAATCACTTTATAAATGATCAGTTATGGCAAAAAGAAAACAAAGATACAACACCACACAAAATGAAATAAAAAATAGGGCTTTTCAAATCTACTGACCACTAAGGATCCATTCCCTGACTTCAACATAAAGATAAAATTAAGAAAGCTTGCTGATACCTTAGGGGTGCAGTAGAAAGCAAACTAAGTTTGAATTGTAGTCAACAGTGTTATAAACAGGTCTCAATGCTATATATAAGAGCCGTCTCAATGCTATGTATAAGAGCCGTCACAATTTAGTGGCTATTAGGTAGGACTGTACAGAGGCTTCCTCAGTAATGAAGTGAAGCATAAACATATATTTTGCATAGCCAAAGTCATACAATCCTAGTTTTTCATTCCAACCCTCATCTGCTCACTACCCCTTGCCACTTATTACAATACCTATGTAACCTGGTGCAAACAGTCTAGCCTAGGTCTGAGTTTCTTTATCTGTAATTTGTGCTGATGACGTCTACTTCATAGGGTTATATTCATTCAATTCCACAAACACTAACTGAGCATCTACTTTTTTTTACTAGAGATACAGTGATTGGAGAGATGACCATTCAATTTGTGAGAATTAAGCAAGACAAAGCCTGAGAAATTAGACAGACGATCCTCAACTAATAAGTTTATGTCTTCCAGTCCTACGAGGAGTTCTGTCTCATGCCACACACCATGGAAAGGGAAATTCTAGCCCTCTCTTGTTACTCTCAGCTTCAGTTCTAAACATCTTGCCCCAATCTACTCCTTGTAATGGTACTTCCTCCCATTACTATGTTTCTAACCTGTAACTTGTCCATTTGCCTATGTTGACCTACTTTGATATTAAGGACTTAATGTGTTCCTCTGCCTACATTTGAATTACCCCCATCTCAAACATCCCTCTCAATTCAACTCAGCTTCTGGAATCAAAAAGTCAAATGCTCTCCATGTTCCCTTTTAGTTTTGCTGAAACTGCAAACTGTTTTGCATATGATTATGCAAATGCAGATATGATTCAAAAGAGGGTCTTTTTCCATGAGAAGTAGATTATGGACATTGGCAGTCTGGACAAATCAGTTGTCTTCATATATTGTGAGACATATAAAAATGAACACACACAAAGTAGACATTTTTATTCTTTTCATTTAGATGGTCATATAAAACCACAGGAAGAAAGTGTCAGTTGCTCTGCAAGCATAGTTAACTTGGATATTTAAGAAAAGGCCTTAGCTCTACAGTAAATATTTGGCAAATGAATGCTCATTTATATATTTAGTTTCACACAAATATTTAAGGTATGCATATATCATATTTTATGATCTCCACTTTAATACACAAGTACCTGACTCAGGTGGTAGTTAGAAGGCTTTTATTGTAACACATTCAATCTGATAAAGGTCTTAAGAGACATACGGTTTATAGTGCTATAAGAAGTGAGAAGTTAACTCGAGATCAGGAAGGGGACAAGGTGGCACACGAGAAAGGATCTGAGGGAAGAGTAGCATTTGGACATGTAGAGGTAAGGGAAAAAAGAGAAGACTGGGTAGAGATGAGGGGAGTCAACAGAGGGATGCTGAGTAGTAGTTTGTGGCTCATGAAGGTGAACTGTGGTTGAAGCGGTAAATAAAGTGTGCTGGGGCCAGAACATGAGGACAACTACATGCTTGGGAACATTGTGTATGTTCCAAAGGTTGAAAATACTGATGCCAGTTCCTCTGAGTTTTAGCTATAATTAAATCCTAGTGGTCAGCAGGGAATATGGAGCAAAACAAATGATTAATATACATTTCTTGCAAAATAGCACAATACAAATGATAATTTTGTCTACTTACTTTCCGAAAGACATCTTTGGCCCAATGTATGTGCATACTATAGCTAATATTGCTCATTAAGAGTTAGAAAAATTGGCCGGGCGCGGTGGCTCACGCCTGTAATCCCAGCACTTTGGGAGGCCGAGGCGGGTGGATCATGAGGTCCGGAGATTGAGACCATCCTGGTTAACATGGGGAAACCCCGTCTCTACTAAAAACACAAAAAATTAGCCGGGCATTGGTGACAGGTGCCTGCAGTCCCAGCTACTCGGGAGGCTGAGGCAGGAGAAAGGCGTGAACCCATGAGGCAGAGCTTGCAGTGAGCTGAGATTGTGCCACTGCACTCCAGCCTGGGCGACAGAGTAAGACTCCATCTCAAAAAAAAAAAAAAAAAAAGAGTTAGAAAAATTAACCTTAAGTTGAAGAAACAACTACGTCATAAATCTAACAAATTATCTGAAAAAAATTAGAGAAGGAAATATTGCCCTAAGATCACAAATCACAAAAGATGAAGCAAATGGGTCTCAGAGGCTTACTGAAGTTGTGAGAACATGTGATTAGTATGAATATTACAGAAATTTGAATTCGCCAAAATACTTGAAAATAAGGCACGTGGCTTAGCATGGATGTGGACCTAGAAAAGAATCAAATTCTCTCTTTGCTAGAAAGTAGTATAGTACCTATAAAATACATATGTTCCAAGCATCTAAATATATTTCATAAAGTATGAGGAGTACAGAGATCTCATGTAAGTCTCCAGATAGTTACAATGGGAAATTACTATAGAATATATTTTAATTTGAAAATTACAGGTAGTTATCAAATGCTTCAACATATCTCACTACAGGAATTATAAATGATAATAGGTAAATTTGATTAATACATGGCTTTCAAAAAGTGATGATAAAGTCAAAATAATACAGAAAAATGTTTATTATGGAGACATTTACTGACCTTTTTAAGACTTGATTTTTTCCTCTTCCATAGGACAGAGATAACAAATACTTATATGATGATTGTGAATACTAAATAAGATAATGGGAATAAAGTAGCTGGCAAAGATTGGTGCATAGTAGGCACACAGGAAATGATAGGTATTACATTATCAACCACATAATGTACCAAACATTAAAAACAGAAAGCTGGATTTTTTTTTTTTTTTTTTTTTTTGAGACAGGGTCTTACTCCGTTACCCAGGCTGGAGTGCAGTGGCATGAATCAGGGCTCACTGTAGCCTGAACCTCCTGGGCTCAAGTGACCCTCCCACCTCAGCCTCCTAAGCAGTTGAGACCACAGGCACATGCCACTATGCCTGGCTAATTTTTTTATTGTAGAGATGGGGTCTCCCCATGTTGCTCAGGCTGGTCTTGAACTCCTGGGATCAAGTAATCCTCCTGCCTTGGTCTCCCAGAGTTATAAGCATGAGCCACTGTGCCTGGCCAAAAGCTGGATATTTGTTATGATTACTTCTACTGAGAATTATGTCTATAGACTAGACAGGACAGGAAAAGAAGACAGACAAATATGTCTGTTTTGGGAAAATAAAATTGTAGGTTGATTTTCATCTCTTTTTAAAATCTCATTTACTTGTGCAATAAATATGGTATTTCAAATGACTCTTAAGCATGCCTTCCACAGATTAGTGAAAATAAACAAAATAAACTATTTTTTTTTACTACATTTTCTTTTACTTTGTCCTTTTGCCCAGTGAACAAGAAAGTAACATATACCTCTTTTAACATCCCCACCCCTTCCACAGTGAGTGTCAAACAAAATCCTGGAGGTGAAAACGTCAAATAGTTTACAGGCACCTGTAATAGTTAGTGTTATTTCATACTGACACAACTAACAAAACATCCTAGGATTATAAAGAACAAAATTCAAATGTGACTCAAACATAAGAATATTTTTTTCCCTTTTGTCTCTGAAAGCACTGTTTCTCTCCTCATTGAATTAGGTGACTTTTGCCCTTGTTGTGTATGTCAATTTGTCATATAGCTGCAGCCTTCTTATCAGACACAGAGTCACTGTCCTTGAAAAAGTGAACTAAGTCACCTATTATCAGTAGAAGACAGTCTTAACCTCAAATTTCTCTATGGCTCCTGGAAGTGAACACAAATATCTTAAATTAGGGTACTTTTGAAATATGCATCTTCCTACAGGTATTGACAGTTGCTTATTTTATCTTTAGAAATTTACAAATATGATGTAGTTATTAATACATTTAAAAGTACTTTATAAATAGACAAGATTTACAAATATGAAGAGAATTATTCCTGGCAGTAGAGACAGTAACCACCATATTCTTTTTAAGAAATGTTTTTTACTACTATTTTATTGCTCCAGGTAACTCACAGAATAGTAATCACCATACTCTTATCTTCCATAAGAACTGGTAAGCTGTTAGCCTGCTCCTAAGAGACTCATATAATGACACTTGATTTGAAGTTGCAAAATAACTGTGCAATACCTTTCATGAACACAATAAAGTCATATTGAGATGTCGTTGTATGCAAGGCTTCAAAAAACAGAATGAACAAAAATCCTCAGCTTCAACAGATATACAGAAATATCAAAAGGTGACAGAGTTAACCTCTAGCAATACCAGACCTCTGCCTGTTAAAGCCACTTCTTTGATAAGGTTTCAGGTGGCCAATAATGCCTGTTGTGTCTACTGGATTGAATTAATATCTCTGTGGAAGGGAATTTTGAGAAGACCAAAACCAGTCATAAGCTGTTGACTACCAACATTCCCCACCAATCTAAGCAGTTCTTAGACCAGTGCTTGGCACACAGCAAGTATTTAATAAACAATATTATGACTGTTATTTTTATTAATTATAGTCTGAATTATTGCTATTAGATAAGAAAATATAAATATGATATGTTCTATTTTTGTTCATTTCTGGATATTTATGGATTTTATTAAATAGAAAATATCAAAGTATGGAAAATCATCAAAGTTTAAACATTAAAAGTAAGGGTGCTATTTTCTGCTTATTCTCCCTTTTCTATGGAACTAAAAAACAGATGCAGATATGGCGACAATTTTCTAAATACTTGACCTTGCACAGCTCATATAAGGCAAAATGTTTTGCTGAGACAGTCTGAAGGTTCAAACAATTGTCCCTAGCTCATGCAAGGGTGAGAAGATCTCCTGCACAGAAAGAGTGTCCTGACCAGGAAGAAAGAGATGAGAAATTGAACTCTTTCCCACTTTTGCTTCTAGGTCTGGTGATCAGCAAAAACTTTTAGCTCTGCTTCTTTTCAAAGGAAGAGTAGGAAAATGAGTGCCTGTTTATAAACTGCTTAAGAATAAATGGTTTTCAATTGCCACAGAAAGTCTCTCCTAGGGCACTGCAAACACCCCTTGGGATGGGGAGAAACCCAATGAAAGAACAGGAATGTAGGCTCCCAAGCAGCCTACACATCCGTGGGTACAGAAACATATCTAAACACACAGAATCCAACAACTGCAATTCAGAACCATGCTTTACAGCACCCTACTTATTTTATTATACCTGTAAACATAGAAATTACACAATAAAACATGCTGTAATCACTCCCCATAAGTGCTGCTGTCACTTCGATATGTAATACATATTTTTACATGACTAAATATATTTTATGAAACACTTAAAAACATGTAAGGGGAAATATTTTGTGTTAAAATAAGAAGAGGAAAGATTTTGCCTTATAAATTTTTTCTCTAAGACAAATAATCAATCATATAGTGCCATGTGACCCCCTATAAATACGTGTGTTTGTTTGTTTATTTATTTATTTATTTATTTATTTATTTATTTAGAGATGGAGTTTCGCTCTTGTTGCCCAGGCTGGAGTGCAATGGCACGATCTTGGCTCACTGCAACCTCCGCCTCCTGGGTTCAAGTGATTCTACTGCCTCAGCCTCCCGAGTAGCTGGGATTACAGGCACCTGTTACCACGCTGGGCTAATTTTGCATTTTTAGTAGAGACGTGTTTCTCCATGTTAGTCAGGCTGCTCTCAAACTCCCGACCTCAGGTAATCTGCTTGCCTCAGCCTCCCAAAGTGCTGGGATTACAGGCCTGAGCCACTGCACCCGGCCATGTGTGTTTATTTTAAACAGCTGCTATTGAAACTAAGGCCATACTTTGCTTTGAGTTAAATTTGATGAAGTTTTAATAGAATAATTCATACAGCTGAAAATTTTCTCGCTGTAGTGTATCATTCAGACTCAGATTTGAATATTGGCCCTGTCACTTAATAGCTGTGTGATTACATAAAAATACCTCTCTTAGCCTCAGTGCTTTCATATGTAAAAATAAGGTAATAATACCTAACTAGCAATATCAGATTACTTTGAGAATAATATAGTATAGCATAACATATAACATAATATACCATACAGACATACACATACACCTTTACATGTGTCTAACACTGAGTTAACACTGAGCATCTATGGTAGCTACTAGTATGGATAGTTCATAGTTATATATCATTCTGTCATACTTTAGCATTGAGATATTACACAAATTTCTTAACCACTTTGAGTCTATTTCCTTATGTGATGAATGGAGTGATGAGATCACCTATGTTACAGGGCTGTTACAACGTTTAGATGAAATGATACACATATGAAGCCTAATGTTAAGTCCATGGAAGGCCCTCAAAACATGGAGCATGTAGTATCTTCACAGCTTAAGGGAAAAGAGATTTCTGTTGTACTTCTAGAGTTTTAACTTTGATGTTAAGTTTTATTCCAGTTAGAAATTATGCAGGGAGACTTTAGGGTAACAGAAGAAACTGGCAACCAATGAATTATGTCTACCTATATTTTCTCCAAATATAAAATAGAATGACAAGAACAAATAAAACTACACAAAACCCACACATTCAGCACAATTATAGACCAAGCATGTCCATACTTCAAAATACCATAAGGAAAATGGAAAAAAAGCACTAAATCCCAGAGAATGATCTCATATTCCATGTTAATATTTCACATATTCAAAAAAGAATACCTGAAATCAGTAATAGGGCAAAACATATAAAAAGAAAAAAATGAACCTAACTACTAATAAGTGAATAAGATAATCATACTGAAGGTGGCATGTCTGTGTGTGTGTGTCTGTGTCTGTGTGTGTGTGTGTGTGCTTGTGTGTGTGTGTGTGTGTGTGTGTGTGTGTGTGTGAGTGGGGAGGAGGAGGGAATTAAGTGACTTTGAAAAACATAAACCAGATAAGCCAGGTGCAGTGGCTCATGTCTATAATGCATCCAGCACTTTGGGAGGTTGGGGCAGCAGGACTGCTTGAACCCAGGAGTTTGAGTCCAGCCTGAGCAACATAGTGAGACCCCATCTCTACGAAAAATATACAGTTAGCCGGGCATAGTGGTGCATGCCTGCGGTCTCAGTGACTTGGAAGGCTGAGGTAAGAGGATCCTTGAGCCAGGAGGATGGGGCTGCAGCGAGCCACAATTGGTCAACTGCACTCCAGCCTGGGCAACAGGGTGAGACCCTTTCAAAAAAGAAAAATAGAAAAAGAAAAAGAAAAGAAGTATCAGTACTCTTACTTGAAGTCTAAACATAAAAAGAGCTCTCAAAAATATTGTACTCTACCCAGTAATTTCAAAATTCATATGTACTCCAGGATTGAGCAAATATATAAATATATTATGGATAATGAACCTAAGTTTCTTATTGACAGAGAGAGGAGTTTACAAATAAGAAAAGGGAGAAGGCTAGAATAAACTCTGTGAGACTGGGCTGGCATTAGAAGTAGCAATAAAGAATTATAAATCATGCTGCTATAAAGACACATGCACACGTATGTTTTTGCGGCACTATTCACAATAGCAAAGACTAGGAACCAACCCAAATGTCTACCAATGATAGACTGGATTAAGAAAATGTGGCACATATACACCATGGAATACTATACAGCCATAAAAAAGGATGAGTTCATGTCCTTTGTAGGGACATGGATGAAGCTAGAAACTATCATTCTGAGCAAACTATCGCATGGACAGAAAACCAAACACCGCGTGTTCTCACTCATAGGTGGGAATTGAACAATGAGAACACTTGGACACAGGGTGGGGAACATCATACACTGGGGCCTGTCATGCAGTTGGGGGAAGGGGGAGGGATAGCATTAGGAGATATACCTAATGTAAATGATGAATTAACAGGTGTAGCACACCAACATGGCACAGGTATACATATGTAACAAACCTGCACATTGTGCATATGTATCCTAGAACTTAAACTATAATAATAAAAAATAAAAAAATTAAAAAAAGAAGTAGCAATATGAAATTACAGAATAAGATATAAATAGAATAAAACAATAAGTTAAAAAGCCAGGGAATGAAGTTAAGCTGTAGAGTTTTTATTAATTTTCATTTTGCTTGTTTCTTTGTTTATGCAAACAATGTTAACATTATAAGCTTAAAACAATGAGTTATAACACAGAATTTGTAAGATGCATGGATAACCTCAAATCAAAAAACATACAACAGATACACAAAAATAAAATGCAAGAAATTAACTCATACCACAAGAGAAAATCACCTTCACTAAACGGAAGACAGGAAAGAAGAAAAGAAGGAAGAGAAGACAACAACACAAAAGAAACAACAACAACAACAAAAACAGCAGGAGTAAGTCCTTACTTATCAATAATAACCTTGAATGAAATGGACTAAATTCGCCAATCAAAAGACATAGAGTGGTTGAATAAATTAAAAAAAAAACCAGACCCAATGATCTGTTGCCAGAAACATGCTTCACCTATAAAGACAACATACGCTCAAAATAAAGGGGGAAAAAAAAGAGATATTCCATGCCAATGGAAACCAGGAAAGAGCAGGAGTTGGATTGGCTCTGTGTCCCCACTCAAATCGCATCTCGAATTATAATCCCCACATTTTAGGGGAATGGCCTGGTGGGAGGTGACTGAGTCATGGGGGTGGACTTCCCCTTTGCTGTTCTTGTCATAGAGTTCTCACGAGATCTGGTTGTTTGATAAGTGTCTGGCACCTTCCACCCCCTCTCTCTCCTGCTGCCTTCTGAAGATCTTGCTTCTCCTTTACCTTCTGTCATGATTATAAGTTTCCGCCATGTGGAACTGTGAATCAATTAAACTTCTTTTCTTTATAAATTACACAGTCTCAGGTAGGTCTTTATAGCAGTGTGAAAAAGGACTAATATAGAAAATCAGTACCGAGATAGTGGGGCACTGATATAAAGATACCTGAAAATGTGGAAGCACCATTGGAACTGGGTAATGGGTAGAGGTTGGAACAGTTTGGGTTCAGAAGAAAACAGGAAGATGTGGGAAGTATGAAACTTCCTAGAGACTTTAATGGTTTTGACCAAAATGCTGATAGTGATATGGACAATGAAATCCGGGCTGAGGTGGTCTCAGATGGAGATGAGGAAGTTATTGGGAACTGGAATAAAGGTCACTCTTGCTATGCTTTAGAGATCTGTGGAACTCTGAGCTTGAAAATGATAATTTAGGGAATCTGGCAGAAATTTACAAGCAGTAAGTGTCCAAGATGTGACCTGGTTTTTTCTGAAAGTGTACACTCATATGCACAAAGACAGAGATGGTCTGATATTGGAACTTAGTTTAAAAGGGAAACAGAGCACAAAAGTTTGGAAAATTTGCAGCCTGACCATGTGGTAGAAAAAAAAAAACACTATCTGAGGAGAAATTCAAGCCAGCTGCAGAAACTTGCATAAGTAAAGAGAAGTCAAACATTAATAGCCAAGACTATGGGGAAAATGTCTCCAGGGCATGTCAGAGATCTTCATGGGAGCCCCTCCAATCACAGGCCCAGAGGCCCTAGGAGGGAAAAATGGTTCCATGGGCCAGGCCCAGGGCGCCACTGCTCTATGCAGCCTTGGACATGGTGCCCTGCATTCCAGCCACTCAGGCTCCAGCTGTGGCTAAAAGGGGCAAACACAGAGCTCAGGCCATTGCTTCAGAGAGTGCAAGCCAAGCCCCAAGACTTGGTGGCTTCTACATGATGCTGGGCCTGCAGGTGTACAGAAGACACAAGTTGAGTTTTGGGAGCCTTTACCTAGATTTCAGAGGATGTATGGAAATCCCTGGAGGTCCAGGAAAACGTCTGCTACAGGGTTGCAGCCCTCATGGAGAACCTCTACTAGGGCAATGCAGAGGGGAAATGTGGGGTTGGAGCCCCCACACAGAGTCACCACTGGGGCACTGCCTCTAGTGGAGCTTTGAGAAGAGGGTCACCATCCTCCAGACCCCAGAATGGTAGATTCACCTACAGCTTGCACTGTGCACCTGAAAAAGCCATAGGCAATCAACGCCAGCCTGAGAAAGCAGTCATGGAGGCTGTACCCTGCAGAGCCACAGAAGCAGAGCTGCCCATGGCTTGGGAGCCTACATCTTGCATGACCGAGCCCTGGATATGAGACATGGAGTCAAAGAAGATGAATTTGGAGCTTTAAAATTTAATGACTGCCCTGTTGGGTTTCAAACTTGCATGGGGCCTGTAGCTCCTTTGTTTTGGTCAATTTCTCCCACTTGGAATGAGGGCATTTACCCAATGTCTGTACTCCCATTGTATCTTGGAACTAACTAATTTGTGATTTTACAGGCTCGTAAGTGAAAACAACTCGTCTTGTCTCAGTCTCAATGAGACTCTGAGCTTGTGCTTTTCAGTTAAGGCTGGAATGAGTTAAGACTTTGGGGGACTACTGGGAAGGCATATTGGTTTTGAAAAGTGAAAGGGATAAGAGATTTGGGAGAGGCTGGGATGGAATTATATGGTTTGGCTCTGTGTCCCCACCCAAATTGCAACTCAAATTGTAATCCCCATGTGTTGGAAGAGTGGCTTGATGGGAGGTGACTGAATCATGGGGGTGGACTTCCCCCTTGCTGTTCTTGTGATAGAGTTCTCATGAGATCTGGTTGTTTGATAAGTGTCTGGTGCTTCCCCCCTTCTCTCTCCTGCCACCTTTTGAAGAAGGTGCTTGCTCTTCATTTGCTGTCATGGTTGTAAGTTTCCTGGGGCCTCCCAAGCCATGCAGAACTGTGAGTTAATTAAACCTCTTTTCTTTATAAATTACTCAGTCTCAGGTAGTTCTTTACAGCCGTGTGAAAATGGACTAACATAGTAACTAACACAAAATTGATTTCAAGACAAAAACTATAAGAAGAAACAAAGAAGGTCACTATATAATGATAAAAAGGTCAATTCAGCAAGAGGATATAACAGTTGTAAATATATATGCACCCAATGCTTGAGCACCCAGATATATATAAAGCAAATGTTATTAGAGCTAAAGAAAGAGATAGGCCTTGTATTAGTCCATTTTCACTCTGCTGATAAAGACATACCCATGACTGAATAATTTATAACGAAAAAGAGGTTTAATGGACTCAGTTCCATGTGGCTGGGAAGGCCTCACAATCATAGTGGAAGGCAAAAGGCATGTCTTACATGGCAGCAGGCAAGAGAGAAGGAAAAACCAAGTGGAAGGGGAAATCCCTTATAAAAACACCAGATCTTATGAGATTTATTCACTACCACGAGAACAGTATGGGGGAAAGTGCCCCCGTGATTCAATTATCTTCCACTGGGTCCCTCCCACAACATGTGGTAATTATGGGAACTATAATTCAAGATGAGATTTGGTTGGGGACATAGCCAAACCATATCAGGCCCCAATACATAATAGCTGGAGACTTCAACACCCGACTTTCAGCATCGGACAGATTGCCCAGACAGAAAATCAACGAAGAAACATTGGATTTAATCGGTACTATGGATCAAATGGATCAAATAGATATTTACAGAATATTTCCCCCAACAGCTGGAGAATATACTTCTTTTCCTCAGCACATGGATCATTCTCAAGGACAGACTATATTATAGGTCACAAAACAAGTCTTAAAACATTAAAAAAATGGAAATATTATCAAGCAGTGGCCCAATGAAGAAATGAAGAAGGAAACTGAAAAATTTCTTGAAACAAATGATAATGGAAACATAACATACCGAAACCTATAGGTTACTGTAAAAGCAGGACTAAGAAAGAAGTTTATAGCTATAAGTGGCTACATCAAAAAAGGAAAAGAAAAACTTCAAATAACCTAACAATGCATCTTAAAGAGCTAGAAAAGCAAGAGCAAATCAAATATAAAATTAGTAGGAAAAAGGATATAATGAAGATCAGAGCAGAAATAAACGAATTGGAAATGAAGAAAACAACATAAAAGATCACTAAAACAAATCATTGGGCTTTTTTTAAAAGATAAAACTGACAAATCTTTAGACAGATTAACTTAAAAACAAAAAGTGAGAGAAAACCCAAATAAAACCAAAGATGAAAAAGGAGACATTTCAACCAATACTGCAGAAACTCAAAGGACCATTAGTGGCTACTTTAAGCAACTATATGCCAGTAAGTTGGAAAATCTAGAGGAAATGGATAAATTCCTAGACACATGCAACCTACCAAGAGTGAACCATGAAGAAATCTAAAACCTGAACAGACCAATAACAGGTAATGAGACAGAAGCCATAAGTCTCCCAGTAAAGAAAAATCTGGGACTGGATAGCTTCACTGCAGAATTCTACCAAATATTTAAAGAAGAATAATACCAATCCTATTCCAACTATTCCAAACAATAGAGGAGGAGGAAATGCTTCCAAACTAATTCTAAAAGCCCAGTATTACCCTGATACTAAACCCAGACAAAGACACATTAAAAAAATAAAACTACAGGCCAATATCATTGATAAATAAATACTGTTAAAATGTTCCTACTACCCAAAGCAATGTACAGATTTAATGCAATTTCTCTCAAAATATCAATGACATTCTTTAAAGAAATACAAAAAACAATCCTAAACTTTATATGAAGTTACAAAGACCTAGAATAGCCAAAGCTCTGATGACCAAAAACAACAAAACTGGAGGAATCATATTACCTGACTTCATATTATACTATGGAGCTATAGTAAGCAAAATAGCAGGGTAGTAGTATCAAAAGATACACAAACATCAGTGGAACAGAATAGAGAACCCAAAGATAAATCCAAGCATCTACAGTAAACCCATTTTTGACAAAGGTGCCAAGAACAAACATTGGAGAAAGGACAGCCTCTTCAATAAATGCTGCTAGGAAAACTGGATATCCATATGCAAAAGAATAAAACTAGACCTCTATCTCTCACCATATATAAAAATCAAATCAAAATGGATTAAAGACTTAACTCTAAGACCTCAAACTATGAAATTAGTAAAAGGAAACATTGAGGAAACTCTCCAGAACACTGGACTGGACAAAGATTTCTTGAGTAATACCCCACAAGCACAGGCAACCAAAGCAAAAAAGGGACAAATGGAATCACATCAAGTTAAAAACTTCTGCACAACAAAGGAAACAATCAACAAAGTGAAGAGACAACACACAGAATGGGAAAAAATATTTGCAAACTACTCATCTGACAAGGGATTAAAAACCAGAATATATAAGGAGTTCAAACAACTATAGAAAAAAAATAATTATCTGGTTAAAAAATGGGCGAAAATCTGAATAGACATTTCTCAAAAGAAGACATATAAATGGCAAATGGGTACATGAAAAGGTGCTCAACATCACTGATTATCAGAGAAATGCAAATCAAAACTACAATGAGATATCATCTCACCCCAGTTAAACTGGCTTATATCCAAAAGACAGGCAATAAACAATGCGGACAAGAATATGGAGAAAAAGGAATCCTCATGCACTATTGGTTGGAATGTAAATTAGTACAAAAACTATGGAGAAGAGTTTGGAAGTTCCTCACAAAACTAAAAATAGAGCTACCATATGATCCAGCAATCTCTTTGTTGGGTATATACCCCAAAGAAAAGAAATCAGTGTATCAAAGAGATAGCTGCACTCCCATGTCTATTGCAACACTGTTCACAACAGCCACAATTTGGAAGCTACCTAAGTGTCCATTAACAGATGAATGGATAAAGAAAATGTGGTACATATATACAATGGAGTACTATTCAGCCATAAAAAGAATGAGATCCTGAGATCTGCAACAACACAGATGGAACTGGAGGTCATAATGTTAAGTGAAATAAGCCAGGCACGGAAAGACAAACTTCACATGTTTTCACTTATTTGTGGGAGCCAAATATTAAAAGTATTGAACTCATGCAGATAGAGAATAGAAGGATGGTAATCAGAAGCTGGGAAGGGTAGTGAGGGTGTTACAGGGGAAGTGGATGATTAATAGGTAGAAAAAAAGAGTTAGAATAAATAAGACTTAGTATCTGCTAACACAACAGGATGACTATAGTAAAAAATAATTTAATTGTACATATAAAAATTACTAAAAGTATAACTTAGATTGTTTGTAACACAAAGGATAAATGCTTGAGGTGGTACATGCCCCATTTATCTTGATGTGATTTTTATGCACTGCATGCCTGTATCAAGATATCTCATGTAACCCAAAAATATATACACCTACTATGTACCCACAAAAATTAAAAAAATAAAAAGATAAAAAATAAAGAAATGCAATGTGCAACCTATATTAGATGTGGACACTAGTGGGACAACGAACAGTATTTGAATTATGTGTAAATTGGATGACAGTATCGAAACAATGTAGCTTTGTTATCTTAGATGTTAATATTTAATGAATCTGAGTAAAAAGTATACAGAATACTTTGCATAATTTATGCAACTTTTTTGTAAATCTCAAATTTCCAAATGAAAAGTTATCCCCAGTTATTCTATCTCCTCTACCAGTGCCCAACATTCACATACTTTTATTTTTCGTGACAATTTTTTTTCCTTTTCCTTCAACGTTTTTCTCGCTTATCCGTAGGAGGATTGAAGAGAAGATATTGTTGTGCAACATGTTAACTAAAGATCATCACTGCTGAGATCATTACACCTCTAAGCAGAAGGCACTTGGACATGATTAGCCCAACTGAGACTTGACCTGAACCTGGGAAAAGAGTACCCAGAGATGGTGTTAGAGCAGACCTCATCCAGTGACATCTGCTAAACTCAAGTTTACTTCCTAGGAAGTGGTCACTGTTAACTAGGACACATTAAGGCCATGAAGAAAGGATGCTTGTGTGAAGGGGATAAACAGAGCGTCCCTATATCTCCACTTCCACCTTCCAAAAAGCATTCTTCAGAATTAAAACATACTAATGACTTCCCTGAAATTAGTGTCATTTGCCACAAAACTGGATTCTCCTCCTGCATGTGCTAATAAGTTCAGCAGCACCACTTCCTCCTTGTAACTTAGGCAAAAATCAGAGGCAAAATAAGTTCTTTTCTAAGCCCCCATATCTAAGCAGACACCAAGTCCATGGATACTAACACTTTACACTTTCTTTTCTACCCTCTTGTTTGTTCGCAGCTAGTACCAACTTCAGGGCCAGTACAGGCAATAAGACCACTGCTTTTGTCTTCCAACTGGCATCCCTCCAGCCAGACCTCTCCAGTCCACTGTTCATGCAGAGGCCAGAGGGCTTCTCCCTAAACATAGATCTGTTCATGTTGCTTCTCGGGCCACACCCTTCCGTGTTGCCTGAGCAGCACAGAAGTCAAACCTGAGCATGATACTCGCGGCTCTCCAGGATCTGATCTGCTTCCTTCCACTTTCTTCTTTTGGTGGCTGTTGTCTTCATACCATACACCAGCTGGGCTGAACTCAGTTTCAGTATCACCTCTTCAAGAGCAGTGAGCCTTTCCTCACTGCTTCCAGACACAGTGGCTGCACGCCCTCCTTTGACCCCTGTGTACTGTGCAGACTTTTATCACAGTACCTGATATGTTTGGCTGTGTCCCCACCCAAATCTCATCTTGAATTGTAGTTCCCATAATCCCCACGTGTAGTGGAAGGGAACTGGTGGGAGGTAACTGAAGCATGGGGGGAGTTTCCCCTATGCTATTCTCGTGATAGTAAGTTCTCACAAGATCTGATGGTTTTATAGGAAGCCTCCTTCGCTTGGCTTTCATTCTTCTCTTTCCTGTTGCCATGTGAAGAAGGACCTGTTTGCTTCCCCTTCTGCCATGATTATAAGTTTCCTGAGGCCTCCCCAGCCCTGCAGAATTGTGAGTCAAACCTCTTTCCTTTATAAACTATCCAGTTGCGGGCAGCTCTTTATAGCAGCGTGAGAACAAACTAATACGGTATCTAAACCTTTAGGGTATCTACTTCTTTGTTGATAGATCTATGTTCTCCACTGGTGTAGAGGTCCTTCACCAATTAGGTCCATTTATTGGGACCAGAATTAGAGCTTTATAGGTATTAGCCTATTTAATTCTTACAACAATTGTATTGTGTTATTATTTCCATTTTTTAGACAAGGAAATTGAGGTTATGAGAGATTTACTAACTTTTCCAAGCTCACAGAGCTAGGGACTGGTGGCTAAAAAGTCCAAACATTTTACTATCAATTGCCTTGTCTATTTTTCTGTCCCTAGAGTGTAGCACAGTGCATGTCAAATGACATATGCTTGAAGAATATTTGGTGAATATTCCACACATATTGCCCTGTTCAAACAACAGTTAATAGGCATGGCATTTTTCAATATTTTAATTAAGCAGCAGTTAACATATATAGTACCATGTATCGAGACGTGACAAATGTAAAAGATGAAGCAATGTTTTCTATTCTGTCAAACCCCTGATTTCTCATCTCTAATCAAATTTAATCCATGTAAAGTCATAGTGGGAAGAGGAAAAGACTATGCTTTATGTAGTCCAATGCTATTCAAATATCAGTGCCATATATTTCCCTGGAAAATAGGAAGAAGTGTAGTACAAGGCCAAGAATATAGGTTTTAGAACCAGACAGAACTGGTTTGAGTTCCATGTATCACCTTAAATTGGTCATGTGACCTCATTTAAAACAGAGAGGATGGTAACCACTTTGCAAGACAGTTTTAAAGATTAGCGTGCACATAGTACACATTCCAGGGTTCCTTCTTTGGCCCCCAGTGATGCCAACAGCGAGAGGGCAAATATTTAAAGCAAGGAACACATTGTTCATAAAGAGAAACTCTCAACATCTCCAAATATTTGCAGGACCAATTAAAACGGATGTTCTGTCAACTTTAATCATTTTAGGAAAAAAGACACAAGGAGCTATATCCAAACATTTCAAATCTCTTGCTCATATTGGGACAAACATGCTGTGACATGAGAAGCAACTGGCTGGTCAGAAATCATTGTCAGCAAACTATGGCAAACTAATAAAAATAAAATAAAAGCACCAGGCCACTCTATAAGGAAATCTTCCCATTATTCCAAGCAAATCATTTTGCTTGCATGTCAGGGGGAAGTGGCATGGTCTAATCCTTCATCATTAATGGCAAGAACATCAGACTGAAAGTCAGGAGTCCTGCCCTGCCATTTTAAGGGTGACCTTGGACAAATTTTTAAAGATTTGATATTCATTTATTCAACAAATATTTATTGTTTGTGAGATCCCTCTTCTCATGGAATTTATATCCTAATGGAAGAAGAAAGAGTTCATATAATAAATAGACAAACATAAGGATAGGCAGGAAAAAGTCAGCAGACACTGGTGAGTGATTTGTGGAGAATTAAGACAGCAATAAAATAGACAGTGACTGAGGTGGTTAATTTAGGCTGTATAGTCACTTTAGAAAAGGAAACATTTAAGCTAAAATATGAGGAAGGCAGTTATCCTTTCTGGACTTCTGTATCCTTTTCTATAAAGTATGACTGCTGAACTGGGGATGCTTTTGAAAGTCTCTTCTAGTTCTAGGAATCTGTGATTTCATGGCTAGGTTATATTATATGATATGGATGTGTGCACATATATTTTTAACTTCAAATATCCTAAATTTGGTTAAGTAAATCATGACAGTGAGTCTTAGCTTTGAAGACATTTAAGGTAACAGTAAATTACTTGTAAGGATCTAAATGTAGCTTGGCATACTGGACTTTTGTGGCTGTTCTCTGAGCTCTGAGAGGGAAGGGCACATTTTACTAATATTTTGGAAATATAGTCAAACTGGTTTCTGAAAAGAAGGGTTAATATGTCCCTGAACATTTCAAAGTAGGCAAAATACATGCATTTGTAATGAGGTTAGATTGTCTTAAACTAATTCTTTTGGTGATCGCCTACAACCACAAATTCAGACATACTGAAATTTTAAAAGGTAAAACTAAGCCACATGTTCTTTTTTACATAAAAATGGGAAAAAAGTTTGAGGTGACATGGTATGGGATTTTTTTCTAAAGGAATTAACCATATTTTGCCCCATATTTTTCATGCACCAGTTAGCTAGAAAATTACAAAAGCTGAAAAACTCAGATAAACCGTACTATGAGGATTAACACAACACATTCATCCCCTCTCCCCTGCCCCCATGTCCCTCTCTTTTTCCCTCCCACCCCAAGCTGGGGCATATTTCTGGAATGGAAATAAAAGCCTCTCAAACTGTTGAAAAATGAAGGCCTCTGAATTTTTAATTCTGTTAACTAATCATTAGAAAACTAAAAATTACTGTCTCTCCGAGAACCAGTGAGGTAGCAAGAACCAGAGACTCTGTGTTTAATTTTGCAGGAGCTGGCTGGTTTCCCAGCAACACACTGATTTGTGGGGCCACTACTTTGGGCACCTCGAGGATAATTAAATATTAAGTCTCTCTCTGATGTATGCAAAGTCTGCCTAAGAGGGTTGGCAGCCACAGTGAAAGTAGCAGTCACACATTTTTTGGTAACTGAACATTGCAATATCATTATCTATTCTTATCCTTACTCTGTAAGAACTTGTCTCTATCCTTAATATCACCCAAAGTTATCTCTGAGAATGAAGAAGGGGATAGAGAGAAAATGAAAAAAACAAGAGCTCATACAGTCAATACTTGGGGATCTTCTAGGTGTTTGGGATATGGAGATGAAGAGTGGAGTTTAATGTGTGTGAGAGAAATGATGAGGGGAGCACAACATCCTCTATCTCCTCTAGTTGAAGCTTCCATTTTATACACCAAGCAGCCAAGCACACAGATGAAGAATCTTCCCCCAAATTCTAAAACTAGTGGTAGAGGGAGGATGGTCACACACACAAGTATCTGCCCACTAGTGCCCTGATCTTTCTACTACTCTAGTGAAAGGTAAGACAATTTTTGAAAAACAATAATTTAAGAGACAATTTAAACTATGGGCATAGTTTTGTAACATTCCAGAAGTTGTTGGTGTTTCCATTCTAAACACAATACTTCTGCATTCACTCACCAAGTAACAAGAGGTTATTTACAATTATAAGTCATTTTCCCCCATCAAATGCACCTGTCCTTCAAAATAGATTTCAATCAGTAATGCCAGACAGACATCTTTACTTTCTAAAGGAGGAGGGGGACACTCACTGATTTACTTCTTGGAGAAGACTCTAGATGAGTAGCATCATTAAGCCAGTGTGGCTTTCTTATTTGTACTACCAAATATTCAACAAATCTGTATCATTACCTACCAAGAACAGGGAAAATGCTCTTACATAAGGGGAAAGCAGAGAGGCGAGAAAACAAAAAGAGTGAGGGGGATATGAGATGACTTGTATTAGAGTCATTCAGAGACTCTTGGGAGAGATTTCCTAGGGGGCCGGAAAAAGTTTGCACCACCACAGAAGAAATATTGGTGAAACGCAGATACACATGGATTTGGCAAATGAGAGAAAATAGTTTGCACTCATAACAATAAAGTCAAGTCAGTTTAGAAAAGTGCTTGAGAAAAAAATCTTAATTACAAGCCAAGTTGCCTTAAGTTCTGCTTTTGGAAAAAGTTAAGCTATCAAGGAACTAAAATCTCAAAAATATTCAGAAGTCCTTGAACTCATATAAAAGTTACAACTTGTTTCTTGAGTAATTAGAACATCGACAAAAGCTTAAAGGAAGAAATAGCAATGATACTTATTTATGAAGAGCTCGCGTTCAAATATTGAAGTGTATGTTCCTGTGTTTTAACATGTCAGGTAATATGGACATTTTCCCCTTTTCCCAACTTCTACACTGTTTCCTCTTATCTTTAGAATATTAGGAATCTGACATAACATAAAGTGAGGCTCTAACCAGAGAAATCAGCCTCATCATCCTGGCGAGAAGGTGAAACTGACCGAGGTCGAGAATTTAAAAAGTGAAGGTATGAGGAAAGTACATAACTGTAGTCACATCCATTTGCTTCAGGACCAGAGTCAGAACCTAAAGTTCCACATAGCAAAACTAATGTGACCTAATTTAGGGTTTTCCCCAGGGATGCCACATGAACCTTCATGTTTGCTGAAAACAAGCACATCTCTAACTTCTATGCCCTGTACCGGCAATAGAGCTTGTGGCCTATGCCTTCGTGTCCCTAGCCTGCTCTTTAAAAAAACACTGCAAGTGGTTTCCTCAAGTAATTCAAGGCAAAATGTTGAGACTGAACATGTTAAGGTCACAGTGCTTCAGAGAGAGTATGATTCTGATATTCATGACTTTTAAACTACAATCCACTTCAGTGATTTGACAAGAATAGAGAATCTTTGATAGGTCTATCTTTTTTGAATCTCAATTTCTCTAACTCTGAAGAGCAAACAATAGTATTGACCTCTTCATCTCACAGAGGGAAATAAGACTGTATCTGATAATAATTACAAAGATATTCGTGATGAGGCCCAAAATATTCTTAAAATCTGATTCATTTTTTAAAAGGAATTTATTGTTCTTTAGATGTAGTAATAACCATATAAATTATAAACTTGCTTTAAGATTAGACGGTAGAATGAGTTGCAGTTAGACCTCTAGGAAACTCTTTTGCAATGGGGATTATCTGGGAAGTCCTAATTTGTAACACTTATTGACATGATGGTCTAACCCTGCGTGCTAAAGCACGTGATTAAGGTTCCCGACTCCTGGACGCTATGGCCTCAGGTGCATCAATTTAGAATTTAAGCCAAATTTCAACAGCCACAATATTTCTTTGATTTAGGAATTAGCATTCTTATTTATTCAATCAATAAGGATTTAAACTCTGAGTATGTGCACAGGATACTTAGAGTCAAAAGATGGTAAATACATCCTCTAGGGCTTCAGTTTTCATGGTGGTGGAAAAACAAAACTTTTAACAGTAATTAATAACGATAATAATTATAAATAATTAAGGCTCAAATATGTGGAATTCAAGGTTCCATTAAGCTTGCAATGGTTAGAGAAGGTTCCAGAGAGAAGATGGACTGAGTGAGCCTTGAAGTATGGTATGGAGAAACTAAGGTCTTGTGTCTCTGTTACATTATGTCCTTCTAAGTATAGGGAGAAGGGACAGCATTTTAGTACCTGGGCAGAGCACGAAGGAAATGAATTAGCTAAATATAGAATTACTATATTTCTATTCACACCTGCATTTTTCCTGGGCAAGAGTAAGCCACCATGATTAACGGATACTGTGAACCATCCTATCTCCTATTAAGAGAAAAATAATGTACACGTGTTTTGTGTATAATCTACCATGCATATGCATGTTCAAGCTTATGGAAAAATAAAAATAAATTTCGTTGTACATATTCAAGTACTAAATAGCTGATTGATATATATACTGGAAAGTTTGCATTACCAAGATGATTATCCAGTTGACAGTTGCTTAAAGAAATCAAGAACTGACCTCCAACTATTGTTTTTTTCTTTTTCTTTTGAGATGGAGTCTTGCTCTGTTGCCCAGGCTGGAGTGCAGTGGTGCCATCTCGACCACTGCAATCTCCATCTCCCAGGTTTAAGCGATTCTCCTGCCTCAGCCTCCCGAGCAGCTGGGACTACAGATGCGTGCCACCACACCAGGCTGTTTGTAGATTTAGTAGAGATGGGGTTTTGTCATGTTGGCCAGGTGCCAGGCTGGTCTTGAACTCCTGGCCTCAGGTGATCCTCCCACCTTGGCCTCCCACAATGCTGGGATTACAGGCGTGAGCAACCGCGTCCGGCCTAATTATTGTTAGTAAGAAAAATAATCATTCAGACACTCCCTTACCTGTCTCTGGGGCCAGGAGGCTTTGAGAATGGCTTCAGTTCTAAAGAACACGAGGAGCTTGCTGTCCTCCTCAGTCAGGTGAAATGATTGCCCCAAAATCTGCAGCACGTGAATGCGGGGCCGCACCGGCCAGGCGTCATCAGCACAGAAAGGCCGCAGCCACTCCAGCAGGTCCTCAGGTGAAACCAGCTCCTCACTGCAGGGCAAAATCCAGAGGTATCTGTAAACTCCTAAGCCTTTTATTTTCCCCCTTCCGGTAATCAAATGTGGTCACTGACCTAACACTTGTTTGTTGGATGACTTCGTTTTTTTCCTCTTGAAAGGAAAAATTTTGGTTTTTAAATGGCTTACAGCGAACTGTATTAGGTATTTAAAACCTATGTAAAATGAATGTAATTTTAAAACAGTATCATATTAAAATGAGTTATATAAAGCAGATAAACATCCTTGGCTAGCTTATTTCAAAATTTAATAAGTAGTAAGGTTTATTTCTGTTAATAATACCAATAGTGCAAGGCTGCATTCTAGTAATTTTTTTTTTTTCTTTTCTTTTTTTTTAATTTTTTTTTTTATTGATCATTCTTGGGTGTTTCTCGCAGAGGGGGATTTGGCAGGGTCATAGGACAACAGTGGAGGGAAGGTCAGCAGATAAACAAGTGAACAAAGGTCTCTGGTTTTCCTAGGCAGAGGACCCTGCGGCCTTCCGCAGTGTTTGTGTCCCTGGGTACTTAAGATTAGGGAGTGGTGATGACTCTTAACGAGCATGCTGCCTTCAAGCATCTGTTTAACAAAGCACATCTTGCACCGCCCTTAATCCATTTAACCCTGAGTGGACACAGCACATGTTTCAGAGGGCACAGGGTTGGGGATAAGGTCACAGATCAACAGGATCCCAAGGCAGAAGAATTTTTCTTAGTACAGAACAAAATGAAAAGTCTCCCATGTCTACTTCTATCCACACAGACCCGGCAACCATCCGATTTCTCAATTTTTTCCCCACCCTTCCCGCCTTTCTATTCCACAAAACCGCCATTGTCATCATGGCCCATCCCCAATGAGCCGCTGGGCACACCTCCCAGACGGGGTCGTGGCCGGGCAGAGGGGCTCCTCACTTCCCAGTAGGGGCGGCCGGGCAGAAGCGCCCCTCACCTCCCGGATGGGGCGGCTGGCCGGGCAGAGGGCTCCTCACTTCCCAGTAGGGGCGGCCGGGCAGAGGCGCCCCTCACCTCCCGGACGGGGCGGCTGGCCAGGCGGGGGGCTGATCCCCCCACCTCCCTCCCGGACGGGGCGGCTGGCCGGGCGGGGGGCTGACCCCCCCCACCTCCCTCCTGGACGGGGCGGCTGGCCGGGCGGGGGGCTGACCCCCCCACCTCCCTCCCGGACGGGGCGGCTGGCCGGGCGGGGGGCTGACCCCCCCACCTCCCTCCCGGACGGGGCGGCTGGCCGGGCAGAGGGGCTCCTCACTTCCCAGTAGGGGCGGCCGGGCAGAGGCGCCCCTCACCTCCCGGACGGGGCGGCTATATATCTGATTACTTGCTGACAATAATTAAGCAAAGTAGGCATCATAAGTTACTTTTTACAGCTGAACCAACAAACTTCAGGGAAGTGATATAATATGCCCACACAAATGAATAATAGTGCTGTAGGACCCCAAAGCTCCAGTTCTTTCTATCATTTTCCCCAGATGATTAGAATTTCAATATGCCATTAGAGTATCAAATCTTATACTACTCTAAAAGTGAAGTATGAATGCTTGGTTATTATAGGACTGTGAAGTTTAAAATGATTCAGAAAAGGGGACAGTTTGTACAATGTTCTATCTCATACTGGAATCTCTTTTCTTGTAACCCCAAATGAATATCTTATTTGATTATGTCAATGGATTATTTATCCATAACTCTTAAGGGGTTATCCATACAGGAGACTCACTCCCACAAGGGCCTGGAGATCCATGCTAAAGCACTGAATTATACAGGTTTTGCTGTAGCCAGATCCTTATAAGGCTTTTAGCTATAAATCACCTAGGCTGAATCCCAGTCTAACTTACCTTAAATCAAATTCCATGCCCTAATAAGATTACAAGTCTTTTTTTTTTAACTTCTGAGAAGAATACAATTCTGCAATGCCACTGAGTATGTCTTTCAGTATGTATTATTTAATATACTTGTCAAATGCTATCTTATGGCAATTTAAAAGAATTATTTGTATTTAAGAATAAGTGAAACTACAAAATGTTGTGGATAATTGGTTTAAGAATTTCATAAATTTAGCAACTCAGTTGTTAATTTTACCTATAAGATTCCTAAATATTTATCAGAAATGGAAACAATTAGGGTGTAAAAATAGGATGCTACAAGTATTTCTGGTGAACCTTTTGCAAGCTGAATAGACAGTACAGTGTAATGGGTCTAACGGGAAGACCGTTAAAAAAAATCTGATGGACCTAACTGAATCCTGGCTGCAGACTTTCCTAAGAACTCTAGGTAAAAATCATGAATATTATCCTTCCCAGGTTATACTGACACAGACGAAGGTCCCAAGAGTGTGTCACCTGGAGTCTGTGAAATCAAGATAACATATACAAAGCACCTAGCAAATTATGTGGTACAGAGGAAGTACTTAATAAATAGTAACCACCATTGTCATAATAACAATCTTCACCATAATTATCAGCATCATCAAAGCACTATAGTTTGTGCTTAATGATACAGAGATAAAAAAAAATTATATGGTCCGTGCCTTCAAAGAACTAATAATACCATGGAACGGCAAGACTTTAAAAGTGACTATTATCCAAATTACTAATATAAATGTGAACAACTGTTTCGGAGGAAGAGAGAATAGAACCAGGAAAGGCTTCAGAGAGGACGTGGCATCTGAACAGGATCACAGAGGATAATTAGAATGTATATAAATGCAAGTGTGGGAAAATATAATCCAGACAGAGAACAGCAAGAAAAAACCAGCAAAAGATTTCAAAGGACAAAGAATTTTCAGGGAGAGATTAAAGCACAGATGTGTGGGTGGTAAATTAGAGGAGAGAGGTAAGGAAAGATAGGCTTTCTCACCTAGGTAACCAAGAGACTGAATACAAGGCTGAAAAGGCGGTGCAGTTTAACTCTTTGACAGCACAGGCTCTGGTGGTGTTTGGCCCAGACTCACTGCCCACATTTGCCACTTCCTAACAATGTAACTCTGACCAAGAAGTCACTCAATAGAGCAGAGCCTCAGTTCCCTTATTCGTATATTGGAGATGGATAACAACACTTTCCTCATGGGGTTGTTGAGAAATTAAACAGAAACATAAAATAATAAATGCAAGGCATGTAATACAATGTCTGGCATATAACTAAGTGCTTCAATTAAAAGCAACCATTATTATTAAGGATATCTGATCTTTTTTGCATGAAATGGGAATGATAGAGGATTTCTGAGCAGTGAAACATCAAAATCATGTTACTGATTAGAAAAATGTATGGGCTGGGGCAGACTCAGGCACTTTTGATGAAGGCCTGAAGCTGTCTAATTCAGGAAGAAAGTAATTTAAAGCCCATTTCTGACTATAAGTCCTAACCAGTTTCACATAAAATGAAGCTGATTTTTTGGCCCTCTCACCCAAGTGCCAAGAAGAGATAAGTAGGAAAAGCTAGAATGTGAGGAAGCTGTTGTCATGAAGACAAGCTGGAAGTTATAATAATAACCAAAGCCCCCAATATGGTGAATAACAATGAAAACAATATTCATAATAATTTCTGAAGGTTTACTATGCACCATGAATTATATCACTTCATCATAACTATCTTTTTCTTGTATACTGTTATCATCTCCAATTTGTAGATGAGGTAACAATCTCAGATTTAAGAATTGACTATGGCATTTTGAGCTGAATGATATTAAAATTTTAAAAAAGATAAAAATAACTTGTCCAAGGTCACACAGTAAGTAGTGGCACCAATATCTGAACTTGGACTATCTGACTGCCTTGTCAATTACTATGCAATGCTACTGAACCAAACGGGCTATTCCAGAACAGTGTGGCAGTGGATTAAAATTACTCAGCTATGATGAGATATAGAAGGATTATCACTCTAATATTTTTCAAGTTATTAAATCAAATTAGTTCCTTTTACATTAGAACTTACTGTGCAGCTAATAACATTTGACATTTTAAAGGAACATGCTCTCATTTTGTGTTGATAGTTCAAACATATAATAAAATTATGAGAAGTCCTTCCTAAAATAGAAGCATTGTGTTCTGGAAGCACCGAGTCATAGATGTGCTTCACTATTACTGGTGCTCAAGAAAACGACACAGAAATGAAAGGCAGCTCTTTAGAAAAAGCTGTCAAGGACATTGACTAGACACTATCTCCTGAAGATTTTAGCTTCAAAATTGCTTATATTTTGATTTCAAATTGAGTTCTTAAAATTCACAGTCACTCTTACGGTTCAGCAAATATACAAACACATACACACAAACATATGCATAGGGAAACAGAGAGGAAGAACCGTGATAAAATTTTAACAACTGGCAAATCAAGGGGAAAAGCATGTCAGTATTTTTTTTTTATCTGTGTAATTTTTCTAAGGGTTTTAAATTTTTCAAGATTAACAGGTAAAAAACCGCAATTATAACTTTTATAATGTAAAAACTAGAATAGGAAGAAGGAAAGTGATTTCATTTCTCATCTTTTATGAAAGCAAGGAGAGGACTTAATGAGCTTAAAAATTAAAAAAGAACATCATTATTTCAAAACTTATTTACTTCATTATAAGGGTAATACAAATGATTTTTAAAAGTCATGAAATACACTTTGGGAGGCTGAGGCAGGCAGAACACAAGGTCTGGAGATCGAGACCATCCTGGCCAACATGGTGAAACCCCGTCTCTATTAAAAATACAAAAATTAGCTGGGCGTGGTGGTGCGTGCCTGTAATCCCAGCTACCCAGGAGGCTGAGGCAGGAGAATCGCTTGAACTAGGGAGTCAGAGGTTGCAAAGAGCCGAGATCGCACCACTGCACTTCAGCCTGGTGACAGAGCAAGACTCCATCTCAAATAAAAAAAAAAAAAGGTCATAAAATAGATAAAAAAAGAAAATCTCTCATAGTTTCACTACAAACACGTAGGGAATTGCTTCCACCTTTTTCCCTATAATGAGATTGGGGAGGGGATATTACACTGCAAATGATAATTTAGTACGCTATTTTTAAAAATTTGCTGATAAAGGAAACACACTCAGAATCAGTTTTGGTCCGAAAGATAGGAAGTCATGTGCAATACATAAACAGCTCTATTTACAGAAAAGAACAGCAGCAGCAACCATGACAACAAAACATGTCCATTGAATGACTAATTTGAGACTGTGTTACTCTGAGGTGGAATGAGTGTTCATCTGGCATTTCCCTATTATGTAATGTAGCATGGAAGACATTCACAAAAGTACAAAAGAATGGAAGGGAAATGTCAAGCAAAGAAAGGAAATTATTGAATCACAGCAAGAAGACAGATTTTTTAAGAATATAAATAAGCGAATCTTCAGTAAGAGAGTTTTCAGGTTCTGCATGGCATACACATACAATCAAAATAAAATATTCTTATATGAGAATGCAAGAAAGCAGAACTACATTCAAGCAAGCAAAACACACACATTTGAGATTTCTTGTAAATATAAATGTCATAGAATTTGAATCAAACCTGAAGGAACATTAGGTCTCTTCCATACTGAAAGTAAACTGGCAACCAGATTTTGTGGCTGGCTTGCATAGTAGATGCCAATGTTTCAAAATTAAGGAATTTCACCAACACATACATGAAGTCAGGATGTTCCACCGCATGTTTAAAAACTGGGTGACAGGAAAATAGTGGAAAAAACAGGCTGGGGCCAAGGCAGCAGGGGCCTCCTTTAGACAAGGCCTAGGTGAGCTTTCTAGTTCGTCCCAGGCTCTCCCACTGCCTACCTCCTCTGAAGGCCACTGGAGGAAGGGAGGGGTATATACAAGCGAGCTAACAGTGAGGGACATAAACACTCATTCCATGTAGGTCCCGTGCCTCCATTAATGAACTGACCCACATACTAT